>NC_000003.12:41222121-41525151 GCF_000001405.40 Homo sapiens | reverse complement strand
AAGATTCCCTCAGTTGGGTAGTCGTATGGACTGGATCACAGCAGATAATAGAAAAAGATATTTTAGGAACTGAAATATTTATTTGGACCCTGTTATAGCTTCCAGAATGCTCTCAAGTCTCATCTTTCACCTAGTTTGGTTAACCGTCTTTATCTCAGACTTAGCTCCTCTTCCTTTGTTTTGTTTGTTTGTTTGTTTTTTGTTTGTTCTTTTTGGAGACAGAGTCTTGCTCTATCGCCAGACTGGAGTGCAGTGACGCGATCTTGGCTCACTGCAACCTCCACCTCCTGGGTTCAAGCGATTCCCCTGCCTCAGCTTCCCGAGTAGCTTGGACTACAGGCACGTGTCACCACACCCGGCTAATTTTTTTGTATTTTATAGAGACGGGATTTCACCATGTTGGCCAGGATGGTCTCGATCTCCTGACCTTCTCATCTGCCCACCTCAGCCTCCCAAAGTGCTGGGATTACAGGCATGAACCACTCCACCCGGCTGCCCCTCTTCCTTTCTTAAGTGTGTTCCTGCCTCTGGCTGACTTCAGGCCAAAGGACTCTGTACTTGGTGACAGTTTTAAATACAGCTCTAATCCTGAGTACTGTGGAATTGAGGAAAGACTGGAGGAAAACAAGGACAGCCAGTTTTAGGGATTGTGGTGCTGACTGGTTTCCTCTTTACTTTCTTTTGAACTCCTAGTTGGCCATTGACTTGTTTCCAGGGTCACTACTGGGCATCTCTTTGAAAGTCCATTCAAAGGAGTAAGAGGTGGGAGAAAGAAGGTGGAGGAGTACGAAAGGGGAGACTAGTTTAGTAAATGACCTCACTCATTTCTGTACTTTCACTACCATACAGCCACTGCTTTAATTTAAAAAATAGCTATAGTGAGATATATATCACATACCACACAGTTCACCCATTTAGAGTGTATAATTCAGTGGTTTTTAGTGTATTCATGACACAATAAATTTTAGAACATTTTTGTCACCTCAGAAAGAAGCTCTGCTCATAGCAGTCACTCACCAATCCCCCTAAATCACCTCTGCCTAGACAACCACTAAGCTACTTTGTCGTTATAGATTTGCATATTCTGGACATATCATAGAAAAAGAATCATGCAGCATGGGGTTTTTTGGCTAGCTTCTTTCAGTTTGCATAACATTTTCAAGGTTCATCCAAATTATAACATGTATTGGTACTTCATTTCATTTGATTGCATAATTTTTTTTTATTATATGGATATACTACATTTTGTTTATCCATTCATTAGTTGATAGAATATAGGTTGTTTCCACTTCTGGCTGTTGTGAATAATGCTGTATAAACATTCATGGACAAGTTTTTGTGTTGATATGTTTTCATTTGTCTTAGGTATATACCTAGGAGTGGAATTGCTAGATCATATGGTAATTTTATGATTAATTTTTTTGAAGAACTGCCAGACTGTTTTCTGAAGTGGATGTATCATTTTACATTGCCACCAGCAATGTGTATGGACTCCAGTTTCTCCATACCTTCTCCTAAACTTATTATCTGTCTTTTCAATTGTGGCCATTCTAGTGGTGTGAAGTAATGTCTCATGTGGTTTTTAAAAAAATCCATAAAAATGTATTATACAAGTATTTATTTTTTATTGTAATAAAATATAAAATAAAATTTACCATTTTAGCCATTTTTAATGTTACAATTTTGTGGCATTAAGTGCATTCACATTGTTGTGTAACCATTATGACCATTCATCTCTAGATTCTAGAAGAAATGCACTCTGCTCACAATCTCAGTCCCAGAATGCCCTGTAACATATGTGTTGTCCCACTTCTGATCTTATTAGTAGTGACGTGCTTCATGTCTTCCTTCTCTCCATGTATCTTTATTGAGAACCTAATATGTGTAAGACATTATGTGCTGGATTCTTTTAGGGCCACCAAAATGAATAAAACTTGGTCTGGGGCTGGGCACAGTGGCTCATGCCTGTAATCCTAGCACTTTGGGAGGCTGAGGCAGGCGGATCACCTGAGGTCAGGAGTTCGTGACCAGCCTGGCCAACATGATGAAACTCCATCTCTACTAAAAATGCAAAAATTAGTCGGGCGTGGTGGTGAATGCCTGTAGTCTCAGCTACTCAAGAGGCTGAGGCAGAATCGCTTGAACCTGGGAGGTGGAGGTTACAGTGAGCAGAGATCGTGCCACTGTACTCCAGCCTGGGCGATAGAGCAAGACTCTGTCTCAAAAAAACAAAAACAAAACAAACAAAAATACCTTGATCTGTTGACTGTTTTTTCACCAGTTCTTACCCAGTTCCTCTTGTGATAACACACAGCTGGCACACAGCTGGCCAAGTTCCCTGGGGCAGATCCTTTTGCTTTGGAACACAATGAAAATCACTGGCAGAGACTGAGACCATAATTTGGATTTAACAGACCAATTTTGTGGTCTAAAAACTTTCAAGCAGTTGTTTCATTTTCAGTTCTGTCATATCATCTGACTTTAGTTTTGAAATATGGAGAACAGGATGTTAATAAAGAGAACTTTCCATTTTTCTTTCTTTAATATTTCATTGAGATAGAATGGCCTGTGTATTATTACTCCTCATCCCAAAAGCTTTCTCCCTAGTGTTTGGCTAGGTTTCTTAATGTCTAAAATATTCTCAAGTATCAAAGCCATATTTTCAATTATCAGAAAAGGTGTTTTTTTAATGTAAAAGAAGAAGACATTTGGCCAGGCATGTGGTGGCTCACGCCTGAAATCCCAGCACTTTGGGAGGCTGAGGCTGGTGGATAACCTGAGGCCAGGAGTTTGAGACCAGCCTGGCCAACATGGTGAAACCCCGTCTCTACTAAAAATACAAAAATTAGCTGAGTGTGATGTCATGCACCTGTAATCCCAACTGCATGAGATTACAGGTTGGGAGGCTGAGGCAAGAGAATTACTTGAACCCAGAAGGCAGGGGCTGCAGTGAGCTGAGACTGTGCCACTGCACTGCTGCCTGGGTGACAGAGTAAGACTCGGTCTCAAAAAAAAAAAAAAAGAAAAAAAAGAAAAAACATTTAACCAGTATATTAGATTTAAAACATGTTTAAAATAGCAAGGAGGGACGTATAACACTACATGTAAATTTATGATAGTATCAGAGAATAGCATACAATGAATTGTGCATCCTATAAAAACCACAAAGAGCTACGGAAAGATCCTTTTTTGAAGCTATCTTCCAAAAAAGTTATTAGTCTAGGAAAATTTGGCAAGTTAGCATGTGAATGAAAGAAAGTAACATGGCAAGGCAATTGAAATAGCTGCATTTGAATCTAGAGTCTACAACTTATTTGGTGAGATCTTTTGGGTCTTAATCTCCCCAGGGATATTGATTCCTATTTTATGTGTTTGTGTTGAAGCTTAAATGATAATTACATGTAAATCTGTCATGTATAATAACTGAATTAGTGTATTTAAAAGTAAATACTAAAAAACAGCTGAGTGATCTTCACATGGGACCATGTAAGCAGATCTTGAGAATGATTGAAGAGAAATCCAAGATAAGTGATTAGATTTCAAGACTGTATCACCTGTTTTACATGAGTTCAACTTTACCAACCCAAATAGATTCTTATGCAGAGTACTGAAAAATCCACAAATAGGATCTTAGAGTCATTGTTACAAAGAAACAGTGCCTAAGAGTTTAGGGTGGGAAATAACTCATTTTCAAAAAGAGGAATTGAAGAATTTGAGAACTATACATATCTGTCTAGACAAAATGATGATGTTGTGTTTTTGAAAATTGAAAAAAAAATAAGGTCTAATCAGTGAAGGCCTGAGACCATATATGATATATTAATGAAGATGAGACCTGGGAGATGGAAATCATGACCTCCCAGATCATACTATCAGAAGGACCGGGAACCTACTGACAGAGGACTGTTAGGTTGAGTAATGCTAGCTGGTAGGAAAAAGAAACTAAAATTTTAGTGTGTCAGCACTAAAAGTTGGTTTTTCAGTAGTGTAACAGTAGAATGTGTGGCACTCCTGGTCAGTGGGTGTTTTTCTTTCATGTGGTATCTGGCTTCTTCCATTTCATGGCTCCCTTGTTCCCTAGGGTCTTAGAATCATCTGCATCAGGCAGAAGAATAAAATAGTGGAAAAGGCACAGCTCCTTAATAATCCTAGCTAGAAGAAATATTTGCAAATCACATATCTGATAAGGAATTAATATCCTGAATATATAAAGAACTCCTACAACTCAACAAGAGAAAAACAAATAACCCAGTTCAGAAGTGGATGAAGATCTTGAATAGACATTTCTCCAAAGACAGTATACAAATGGCTGCTAAGCATTGAAAAAATAATCAATATCTTTAATGACTAGGGAAATACAAATCAAAACCACAATGAGATACCACTTCACCTAGTGTATAGTATAACTATTATTGAAACAATGGAAAAATAGCATGTTGGTGAGGATGTGGAGAAAGTGGAATCCTTGCGCATTGCTGGTAGAAATGTAAAATGGTTCAGCCGCTGTGGAAAATTGTATAGTAGTTCCTCAGAACGTTAAATAAGGAATTACATATGATTGAGCAATTCTCTTATAATATTCCCCAAAGAATTAAAAACAGGGACTCAAACACATACACAAATCTGCACAAATATGCATTGCAGCATTATTCATAATAGCCAAAGATGGAAACAACTCATGTCTCCATCACCAGATGAAAAGATAAGCCACATGTAGTATATGCATACAGTGAAATAATATTTAGCCATAAAAAGGAATTAAAGTGAGATAGAAAATACATTATCAATGAGCCTTGAAAACATTACATTAACTGAAAGAAGCCAGGCACAGAAGAACAAATATTGTTATGATTCTACTTGTGTGAGGTACCTAGAAAAATCAAATTTATAGGGACTGAAAGTAGAACAGGGGTTACCAGGGGCTGGGGGGAGGGAGAATGGGGAGGTACAGTTTAGTGGGTACAGAGATTTCTTTGTGAGATGATGAAAATGTTCTGGAGATAGTGGTGATGGTTACACAACACTGTGAATGTACTTCATGCCACTGAATTATATACTTAAAAAATAGTTAAAATGGTACATTTTTATGGTATGTGTATTTTACCGCAGTTAAAAATGAACCCCAGCTGAAAATGACACACGTGTCTTTTGTTCACATTCTGCTGGTGAGAGGTAGCCTTGCAGAGACTTTGGGTAATGTAGTGCTTGATTGAGCAACATTTCCCAGTAATTATTCCACAGTTTGGAAAGAAGTGCATGAATATTTTGTGGACAGCCAGCTATTTTGGCTACAAAGATCAAATTTAAGTTGATACATATGCAACTTACAAAATAGTAATTCAGTTTAGAGGCAACTCCTTGAAACTGTAGGGTCAGAAGACCCTGAAAAGTTCCTCTCAAACATGAGTCAGGTAAAAGATATATTAAAGTTCCCATTTTACCAATGCAAAATGAATAAAATGTACACAGTGTTTCTTTTATTCGTGTGCGCACTGTGTCTTATGTTTAAGGCTTTCATTAATTGACCTTGATTCTCCTGCCCCTGTTTTTCCTACATGTTCATGTATGCTTCAAATTCAAATTCCCTACCACACTGTGTTTCAGGAGAGGACAACTGTGTGGTGTCCCAACTGAGGAACATCAAATGTCTCTTCTGTATGAGGAAGAAGGTTGAGTTTAATTATTAGTGGAAGATTTAAAAATAAATATTGGAAATGAAATTAGCGACTGATTATCATTCGGCATCCACGGTAGTGAGGCAAGTAGGAACCCCTCCTGGGGAGTGGTGGAAGATGCTAGGATGTTTGGTTTGTAGGTGGAGTGACTAGTCAGAGCTCCAAGGGATGTCTTCAGATATGTGTCTGCCTCTCCTGTGAGGCACAGAGGAGGTGCTTGCTGTGACAAGCTCCAAAAGGCAGGACCTTGAGTCCTAGTGCAAGTTCTAGGGCAGCCACTTTGTGTTCAACGTAAGAAAGACCATTCCAACAGGTTGAAGATTGAATTTTGTAGAGGCCAACATCTGGACATAGTGAGTGAATGGTCTGTACTGTGAATGTCCCAGCAGCCTCAAAGGGAGACTGAACAGAGGAGCGATTCCAGCAGGGGTGGGAGGTGGGCTTATGGCCTCTAGAGCCCCTTCTAGCTCCAAGATTCTGTGATTCTTTCTTACATTTGCCAATGTTTGTGAACATTCCTGCAGTCTCCAAGATGAAAAGCAGAGAAGTTAATGTAATGAAAGAAAGCTATTAAGATGTAAATTGTTTTCTCTGTAAGTGCTTTCATAGTGTGCTGAAACATACATTCACTTTTATTCCCTTATGTCTAGGCTGCTGACGCTCAGGAAATAAAGATGGAAATGTGGAATCAAGCAGGTCATACCCGTACAAAGACAGACAGCTAACATCTGGCTCACTCTTTTTTCCCTTAACTGATAGAACCAGTGCTGCATAGTATCTCTAACGCCTTCTCTTTTATATCCTTAGTTTTAGAGAGAAAAAAATCTAATGTCGGGCAGCATTATTGAAGCACATTACTGCCATATTCAGCAAACGGTAGGACATTTAAAGTGAGGACAGTTATTACTGGGATTAAAACAGTAATAAAACTTTATAGAGGCATTTAATAACTCATTTACAGATCATGAAACAAAGCTAATAGTCAACCTTCATGGGTGAAGTGTTCTATTTGTCTTGTGGTCCATTGCTTTGACTTTTAGTCAAATGTCAAGAGATGACTTAGATTGCAAATGTCTTTATGTGCATCTTATTGTTAAAGCCTGCAGAATTTTGCACACTTAAAAATGAGTCCCCAAAGAGCAGTGATCCAGCATTAACATTTTAAATAAAATGTAAGGTATCAGCTCTTTCTACTTACAGATATATAGATGAGAGATTGGCAAACAATAAAATGATCTTTAGTCTGTATAAGCCCCAAATGTTGGATTTAATCCAGTCTTCTTCTCTAGGTATCTCCTAGTTACTAGCTATAAATAGCTGAATAAATTGTAGGTCATTTACCTCCCCTTCCATTAACAGTTTCCACCATAATTATTTCTGGACATGATAGTTTGTCTTCTCCTGCCTCCTAATAGCTCTTACTCTGTACCATATGCAGAAGATTTCCTTTCCCGTTAGACACGGTTCTGATTTGGGTTGTTCCCTTAAATTTCATTCAACAAATCTTTTTTGAGCCATGGAATATTTAGAGTAGGAGTATTCTTAATATTAAGTTGGTGCAAATGTAATTGCGGTTTTTGCCATTGCCTTTAATTACACAATTACCTTTGCACCAACCTAAATACTTTGTTCAAAACCCTCTCTGTACACATGACAAAAACTAGGCCAGTGAGGTGCAGAAACTTGCCCAGGATCCCTGGCTAGAAAGTGGCTGAGACAGCCCTGAGTGGCAGAGGCGCCCTTGCTGCCTGTGCCCTCACCAAGGGCTGAATTACCTCCCTTTCTCTTCAGAACAGCGAGTGCTTTAGTCACGGCACCATTAGATATTCTTTCTTTAAAAATAAAATTATTTTTCTAGAGACTGTTCCTGCTGCTATAACAAAATAGCCGAAAGACAGTAATTTATGAAGAACAGAAATTTATTTTCTCAGTTTTGGAGGCTGAGAAGTTCAAGGTCAAGGCACTGGCAGATTTGCTATCTGGTGAGGGCTGCTCTCTGCTTCCAAGATGGTGCCTCTTACTGTGTCCTCCCAATGGCAGAAGGGAACAGAAGGGCCCTCCTTAGTTCCCTCAAGCCCTTTAATAAGGGTCCTAATCCTATTCATGAGGGCAGAACTCTGACTTAATCACCTCTTAAAGGCCCTGCCTTTTAATACTATTATATTGGGTCTTAGGTTCTAATATATGAATTGTGCTGGAGGAGGGATGGATAGATTCAAATCATAGCACCATTGCTGCACATTTTTGCCAGCATTTGATATTATCAGTGTGTTGGATTTTAGTCATTCTGATGGGTGTATGGTGGTATCTCATTCTTTTAATTTGTAATTCCCTAATGACATATGATATTAAGTATCCTTTCCTGTGCTCATTTGCCATCTGTATATCTTCTTTGTTGAGGTATCTGTTCAGATCTTTTGCCCGTTTTTAATTGAATGGTTTGTTTTCTTATTTTTGAGCTTTAAGGATTCTTTGTATACTTTGGATACAGGTCCTTTAAAAAATTGTTTATGGGTACATAGTAGGTGTATATATTTATGGGATACATGAGATGATTTGATACAGGCATGTGGTGTGAAATAAGCACAACATGGAGAAGGGGTATTCATCCCATCAAGCGTTTATCCTTTCAGTTACAAACAAACCAATTACACACTTTATTTAAAAATAAACAATTATTATTGACTATAGTCACCCTGTTGTGCTATCAAATAGTAGGTCTTATTTATTCTGTTTTTTGGTACTCATTAACCATCTCAACCTTCCCCCACCCCCACCCCTCACTGCTCTTCCTAGCCTCTGGTAATCATCCTTCTACTCTGTATGTTCATGAGTTCAATTGTTCTGATTTTTAGATCACACAAATAAGTGAGAAAATGTGATGTTTGCCTTTCTGTGCCTGGCTTATTTCACTTAACCCAATGACCTTCAGTTCCATCCATGTTGTTGCAAATGACTGGATCTCATTCTTTTTTATGGCTGAATAGTACTCCATTGTGGAGTACTATAGTGGATACAAGTCCTTTATCAGATATGTTTTGCAAATATTTTATCCTAGCCTGTGACTTGTGTTTTTATTTTCTTCAGGTTTAGTTTATTTTGATACTTGGTTTTAATAGCTGAAAAGTAAATTTCATAAACATATATAGAAGTGAGTGCAGAAAGTACAGTATTGACTCTGCTTCCCAAATTAATACTTATTTTCAAATCTGTACACCAGTTACACAAAGAGTTTAAAAATTAATTTGTCTAGTAAAATTTCACTTTCTCAGAATTGTTGTCTATACTAACGAATCAGAACATGTATTTCTAATAGATTCAAGACCTATTGAGTTTCACTTAGAAAATGTTTAAATAGGTGTGAAAATGGTTTTCAATCTTTTGTTATATTTTATTTACTTTTTATTGAGGTTTAACATGCATGCAATACAGTGCATTAATTTTAAGCATACAATTTAGTGAATTTATACAGCTGTATACACTGTAAAATCAACAAATAGATTTAAAGAAAATTTCTAGTACACTAGAAAGTTACTTCAAGTCCCTTCTCAGACAGTGTTCATCAATCTTCTGATTTCTATCACCCTTGATTAGTTTTGCCTGTTCTTGAATGTCATATAAAAGGAATTAGAAAATATGTCTACTGATATGATTCGGCTCTGTCTTCACCCAAATCTCACCTTGAAGTGTAATAATCCCCACATATCAAGGGTGGGACTAGGTGGAAGTAACTGGATCATGGGGGCACTTTCCCTCCTTCTGTTCTCCTCATAATGAGTGCGTCTCATGAGATCTGATAGTTTTATAAGCATCTGGCGTTTCCCCTACTGGCACTCCGTCTCTCTCCTGCCACCATGTGAAGAAGGACGTGTTTGTTTCCCATTCTGTCATGATTGGAAGTTTTTTGAGGCCTCCCCAGCCATGACTCACATGCAGAACTGTGTCAGTTAAACCTCTTTCCTTTATAAATTACCCAGTTTTGGGCAATTTTTTATAGCAGCATGAGAACAGGCTAATACCTCTACTTATATGTCTGGCTGTTTTCACAGTGCATTTTCTGTGTCATCCACATTGTTGTTTTTATCAGTGTTTTTTTTTAATTACTATATAGTATTCTATTATATGAATATATGACAGTTTGTCTCTTTAGCATATCTATCTATATCTGTTTATATCAGTTTATTTCTTCAGCATATCTTTTCTTTTTCTTCTTTTTTTTTGAGATGGAGTCTCACTCTGTCGCCCAGACTGGAGTGCAGTGGTGTGATCTCAGCTCACTGCAACCTCCACCTCCCGAGTTCAAGCCATTCTTCTGCCTTAGCCTCCTAAGTAGGTGGGATTACAAGGGTGTACCATCACACACAGCTAATTTTTGTATTTTTAGTAGGGACAGGGTTTCATCAGGCTGGCCAGGCTGGTGACAAAAACTCCTGACCTCAAGTGATCTACCCGCCCCAGCCTCCCAACATGCTGCAATTACAAGCGTGAGCCACCATGCACAGCCAGCATATCTGTTCTTTAGTGACTCATAGAAAAGGTAATTATTTGAATATTTCTTTTTTTCTTATTTGTACAAATTTTGGGGGTAAACATGCATAGATTGTATAGTGGTCAAGTAAGGGCTTTTAAGTTATCCATCAACAGAATAGCATACATTGCACCCGTTAACCAGTTTCTCATCCTTCCTCCCACCCCTCACCCTTCTGAGTCTCCATTATCTCTCATCCCACTCTACGTCCACATGAACACATTTTCTGGCTCCCACTTATGAATAAGAACATGCAATGTTTGTCTTTCTGTGCCTGGCTTGTTTCACTCAGGATAATGGCCTCCACTTTCATTCATGTTGCTGCAAAAGACATGATTTCATTGTTTTTATGGCTATTATTTCGTTATATTTATATGCCACATTTTCTTTATCCATTTATTCACTAATGGACACCCAGGTCGATTTCATATCTTTGCTGTTGTGGAGCTTTGATTTGTTAATGAAGTGGCTTGGAATTCACCCAGAAGATTGCTGTGGTCTCATCAGAACTGAGTCCTTTGCTGGGCCTGAAGTCATTTGGATCAAACATGACCCTATTCCTTTGCTTCGCACGACCCCCTCCAGGTCTTTTGTTTGACCTGGTCCTGTAAAAAGAAAATCTGTCTCTGCATTTTATGTAAAAGTAAGATTATTACTTTTTATGTTAAAATCTTTAAGTTGTCCCCCCAAAAAGGCTGTTTATTTTATTAACTCTTTAACTGGGCTCAGTTCTCTGTGTGGTTCTTGATCATTTAAAATTGGTAGGTTGCCTGTTTCAAGCAAAATCTACCTCTTCCTCCAAAATGGTTTCCTTTTCAATTTTTTTAAACAATCCATTAAAAATAATTTTATTAGGTATCTAGTTCAGGATAAATTTACAGTTAAAATGCAAGAAAAATTTTCACTTCTTGAAGCAAACAGTTGGAACCCAGTTTTATGAAAAGGGCATTCTTTTTTATCTTAGTATTTATTTTTTTAAATTTTATTTCAATAGATTTTTAGGGAACAGGTGGTGCTTGGTAACATGAATACGTTCTTTAGTGGTGATTTTTGAGATTATGATGCATCCATCACCCAAGCAGTGTGCACTGTACCCGGTGTGTAGTCTTATCCCTCAGCTCCGTCCCACCTGTTCTCCCGAGTCTCCAAAGTCCATTGTATCATTTTTATGCCTTTGCATCCTCAGAGCTTAGCTCTCAATTATGAGTGAGAACATACAATGTTTGATTTTCTATTCCTGAGTTACTTTACTTAGAATAATAGTCTCCAATTCTATCCAGGTTGCTGTGAATGTCATTATTTTGTTCCTTGTTGTTGTTGATGGACTCTTGCTCTGTTGCCAGGCTGGAGTGCAGTGGCAGGATCTTGGCTCACTGCAACCTCCACCTCCTGGGTTCAAACGATTCTCCTGCCTCAGCCTCCCAAGTAGCTGGGACTACAGGCATGCGCCACCACGCCCAGATAACTTTGGTATTTCTAATAGAGATGGGGCTTCATTGTTGCCAGGATGGTCTTGATCTCTTGACCTCATGATCCGCCTACCTTGGCCTCCCAAAGTGCTGGGATTACAGGTGTGAGCCACCACACCTGGCCAACTCTGCTGATTATTTCTATTGCTGTGCAGAAGCTTTTTAGTTGAATTAAGTCCCACCTGTTTATCTTTGTTTTTTGTTGCATTTGCTTTTGGGTTGTTGGTTATGAAGTCTTTGCCTAAGCCAGTGTCTAGAAGGGTTTTTTCTGGTGTTATCTTCTAGAATCTTTATGGTTTCAGGTCTTAGATTTAAGTCTTTGATCCATCTTCAGTTCATTTTTATATAAGGTGAGAGATGAGATTTCACTTCCATTCTTCTACATGGGGCTTGCCAGTGATCCCAGCACCATTTGTTGAATAGGGTGTCCTCTCCCCACTTTCTGTTTTTTTGTTTGCCCTGTCCAAAATCAGTTAGCTGATTAGTAAGTTACTAACAGTAAGTATTTGGCTTTATTTCTGGTTTCTCTATTATATTTTATTGGTCTATGTGCCTATTTTTATACTAGTACCATGCTGTTTTGGTGACTATTACCTTATAGTATAGTTTGAAGTTGGGTAATATGATACCTCCAGATTTGTTCTTTTTGCTTAGTCTTGCTTTGGCTATGCAGTTCTTTTCTTGGTTCCATATGAATTTTAGGAGTGTTTTTTTCTAGTTCTGTGAAGAGTGATTGTGGTATTTCGATGAGGAATTACGTTGAATTTATAGATTGCTTTTGGCAGTATGGTCATTTTCTCAATATTGACTCTACCCATTCATGAGCATGGGATATGTTTACATTTGTTTGTGTTGTCTATTATTTCTTTCAGCAGTGTTTTGTAGTTTTCCTTGTAGAGGTCTTTCACCTCCTTGGTTAGGTATATTCTGAAGTGTTTTATTTAATTTTTACAGCTATTGTAAAAAGGGTTGAGTTCTTGATTTGATTCTCAGCTTGGTTGCTGTAGGTATATAGCAGAATTACTGAGTAGTGTACATTAATTTTATATCCTGCAACTTTGCTGAATTCATTTACCAGTTCTAGGAGCATTTTAGATGAGTCTTTGTGGTAGGTATATGATCATATCATCAGCAAACAGCGACAGTTTGACTTTATCTTTGCCAATGTGGATGTCCTTTAT
Organism: Homo sapiens; assembly: GCF_000001405.40. Taxonomy (NCBI): domain Eukaryota; kingdom Metazoa; phylum Chordata; class Mammalia; order Primates; family Hominidae; genus Homo; species Homo sapiens. The sequence goes on along the minus strand of NC_000003.12, from coordinate 41,512,298 downwards.
TTCTTTCTCTTGTCTGATTGCTCTGGCTAGAACTTCTACTATGTTGAATAGAAGTGATGAAAGTGGGGATCCTTGTCTTGTTCCAGTTCTCAGGGGGAATGCTTTCAACTTTTCCCTGTTGAGTATAATGTTGGCTGTGGGTTTTTCATAGATGACTTTTTATTGCCTTAAGGTATGTCCCTTCTATGCCAGTTTTGCCGAGGGTTTTAATCATGAAGTGTGCTGGATTTTGTCATATGCTTTTTCTGCATCTATTGAGATGATAGTCTGATTTTTCTTTTTAATTCTGTTTATGTGGTGTATCCCATTTATTGACTCATGTATGTTAAACCATCCCTGTGTCCCTGGTATGAAACCCACTTGATCGTGGTGGATTATCTTTTTGATACACTGTTGGATTGGTTATTTTGTTGAGGATTTTTTTATCTGTGTTCATCAGGGATATTGGTGTGTAGTTTTCTTTTTTTGTTATGTCCTTTCCTAGTTTTGGTATTAGGGTGATACTGGCTTTATAGAATGATTTAGGGGAGATTTCCTCTTTATTCTATGGAATAGTGTCACTAGGGTTGGTACCAGTTCTTCTCTGAATGTCTGATATAATTCAGTTGTGAATCTGTCTGGTACTGGACTTTTTTTTGTTGTTGGCAATTTTTAAATTACCATTTCAATCTCACTGTTTGCTTTTCTCTGTTCAGAGTTTCTATATCTTACTGGTTTAATGTAGGAGGGTTTTATATTTCCAGGAATTTATCCATCTCCTCTAGGTTTTCTAGTTTATGTGCCAAAAGGTGCTCATAGTAGCCTTGAATAATCTTTTGTGTTTCTGTGGTATCAGTAGTAATATATCCCATTTCATTTCTAATAGATCTTATTTGGATTTTCTCTCTTCTTTTCTTGGTTAATCTCACTAATGGTCTATCAATTTTATTTATCTTTTCAAAGAACCAGCTTTTTGTTTCATTTCTCTTTTGTATTTTTTGTTTTTTTGATTTCATTTAGTTTTGCTCTGATCTTTGTTATTTCTTTTCTTCTGCTGTGTTTTGGTTTGAATTGTTCTTGTTTCTCTAGTTTCGTGAGGTGTGACCTTAGAGCGTCTGTTTGTGCTCTTTCAGACTTTTTTTTTTTTTTTTTTTTTTGAGACGGAGTCTCGCTCTGTCGCCCAGGCTGGAGTGCAGTGGCATGATCTCAGCTCACTGCAAGCTCTGCCTCCCAGGTTCATGCCATTCTCCTGCCTCAGCCTCCCGAGTAGCTGGGACTGCAGGTGCATGCCACCACGCCCAGCTAATTTTTTGTATTTTTTAGTAGAGGTGGGGTTTCACCGTGTTAGCCAGGATGGTCTCGATCTCCTGACCTTGTGATCCACCCGCCTCAGCCTCCCAAAAGTGCAGGGATTACAGGCATGAGCCACTGCGCCCGTCCCAGACTTTTTGATGTAGGCATTTAATGCTATGAACTTTCCTCTTAGCACCACTTTTGCTGTATCCCAAAGGTTTTGATAGCTTGTGTCACTATTATTCAGTTCAAAGAATTTTTAAATTTCCATCTTGATTTCATTGTTAGCCCAATGATCATTCAGGAGCAGATTATTTAATAACCATGTATTTGCATGGTTTTGAGGGTTCCTTTTGGTGTTGATTTCCAATTTTATTCCACTGTGTTCTGAGAGAGTGCTAGATATAATTTCGATTTTTTAAAATTTACTGAGACTTATTTTGTGCTTTATCATATGGCCCATCTTGGAGAATGTTCCATGTACTGATGAATAGAATGTATATTCTATAGTAGTTGGGTAGAATGTTCTGTAAATGTCTTGTACATACATTTTTTCTAGGGTATAGTTTAAGTCCATTGTTTCTTTGTTGACTTTCTGTCTTGATGACCTGTCTAGTGCTGTTAGTGGAGTATTAAAATCCCCCACTATTATTGTGTTGACATCTGTCTTATTTCTTAGGACTAGCAGTAATTGTTTTATAAATTTGGGAGTTTCAGTATTAGGTGCATACATATTTAGGATTGTGATATTTTCCTGTTGTACTAGTCCTCTTATCATTATGTAATGTCCTTCTTTGTCTTTTTAAACTTCTCTTGCTTTAATGTTTGTTTTGTCTGATATAAGAATAGCTATTCCTGTTCACTTTTGGTGTCCATGTGCATGGAATATCTTTTTCTACTTATTTATCTTAAGTTTATGTGAGTTCTTATGTGTTAGGTGACTCTCCTGAAGACAGCAGAAATTTGTTTGGTGAATTTTTATTCATTCTGCCATTCTTTGTCTTTTAAGTGGTGCCTTTAGGCCATTTCACATTCAACGTTAGTACTGAGATGTGAAGGTACTATTCTATTCATCTTGCTATTTGTTGCCTGAATGCCTTGTTTCTTTTTTCATTGTATTATTGTTATATAGATCCTGTGAAATTTATGCATTAAAAAGGTTCTATTTTGGTGTATTTCAAGGATTTGTTTTGATTTAGAGCTCTTTTTAGCAGTTCTCATAATGCCGGCTTGGTAGTGCTGAGTTTTCTCAGAATTTGTTTGTCTGGAAAAGACTGTGTCTTTCCTTCATTTATGAAGCTTAGTTTCGCCAGATACAAAATTCTTGGCTGAAAATTATTTTGTTAAAGGAGGCTAAAAATAGGACACCAATCCTGTCTGGCTTGTAGAGTTTCTACTGATAAATCTGTTGTTACTGTAATAGTTTTTCTTTCATGGGTTACCTGATGCTTTTACCTCACAGCTCTTAAGATCCTTTTCTTTGTCCTGACTTTAGATAACCTGAAGACTGTGTGCCAAGGTGATGATCTTCCTGTGATGAGTTTCCCAGTTGTTCTTTGAGCTTCTTATATTTGGATGTCTAGATCTCTAGCAAGGCTGGGGAAATTTTCCTTGACTATTCTCTTAAATGTGTTTTCCAAACTTTTACATGTCTCTTCTTCCTCAGGAACACCAATTATTCTTAGGTTTAGATGCTTAACATAGTCCCAAACTTCTTGGAGGCTTTGTTCATTTTTTAAAAATTCTTTCTTCTTTTCTTTGATGCATTGGATTAATTTGAAAGCCTTGTTTTCGAGCTCTAAAATTCTTTCTTCTGCTTGTTTGATTCTATTGCTGAGACTTTCCAGTGCATTTTGCATTTCTCTAAGTGTGTTCTTCATTTCCAGAAGTTGCGATTGTTTTTTATTTATGCTATCTATGTCATTGAAGATTTCTCCTTTCATATCCTGTATCATGTTTTTGATTTCTTTAATTTGGAGTTCACCTTTCTCTGATGCCTCCTTGATTAGCTTAATAATTAACCTTCTGAGTTCTTTTTCTGGCAATTCAGAGATTTCATCTTGGTTTGGATCCATTGCTGGTGAGCTGGTGATCTTTTGGGGGTGTTAATCTACCTTGTTTTGTCATATTACCAGAATTGTTTTTCTGGTTCCTTCTCATTCGGGTAGACTATGTCAGAGGCAAGATGTGGGACTCAAGGGCTGCTGTTCAGATTCTTTTGTCCCACAGGGTGCTCTCTTGATGTGCTGTTCTCACCCTTCCCCTAGGGATGGGGCCTCCTGAGAGCCAACCTGCGGTGATTGTTTTTGCTATTCTGGGTCTAGCCACCCAGCAGAGCTACTGGGCTCAGGGCTGCTACTGAGGAATCTCTGCAAAGAGTCCTGTGATGTGATCCATCTTTATGTCTTTCGGCTGTGAATACCAGCACCTCCTCTGGTGGAGGTAGCAGGGGAGTGAAGTGGGCCTTGGTCCTTGGGTCCTTGGTTATATTTTTGTTTTGTGTTGGTTGACCTCCAGCCAGGAGGTGGCGCTTTCAAAAGTGCATTGCCTGTGATACTATAGGGAGGATGCAAATTTGCCTTAGGGTTGCCAGGTTAAGTATTCAGGTTTCTCAGGTGGTGGGCAGGGCCATAGAGCGCCCAAGAGATTATATCCTTTGTTTTCAGCAACCAGGGTGGGCAGAGAAAGACTACCAGGTGGAGGCAGGTATAGGCATGTCTGAGCTCAGACTCTCCTTGGGCAGGGCTTGCTGTGGCTGCTGTGAGGGGTGGGGGTGTGGTTCCCAGTCCAGTGAAGTTATGTTCCCAGAGGATTACGGCTGCATCTGCTGAGTCACGCAGGTCACCAGGGAAGTGGGAGAAAGCTGGCAGTCATAGGCCTCACCCTACTCTCATGCAGCCTGCAGTCCTAAAGGCCAGTCTCACTCCCACTGTGCTCCCCAGCGGCACCGACTCTAGTAGAGGAGCCAGTGACCAGTGCTGAGAACTTGCCCTGGACCACCAGCCTCCCTGCTGAGAAAGCAAGCCAACTCACAGTTTTTTGGCATCTCAGGGAGCTTGCAGTGGCAATTCAGTTCCTTCAAAGGGTCTATGGATGCTCTCAGCCTTCCTGGTATGTTGCTGTGGTAGTTCTTGGAGCAAATGTTCACAATGTATCTCCACACACTCTTCTGTCTGTTCTAGTGGGAGCTGCAAGCTGGTCCTGCCACCTTATTTGAATATTTCTTCATAGGAACAGAATCTGGATCATGAGTGGAGTCCGTTTTGAAATAACTATACTGGGATTCAACCTCCACAATGTATTTGTTTTAATATTTACTGCTTCAACTTTTCTGCAATATTTCTAAAATTGACAGTGTAACTTTTGTTGATAAAAATAAAATTTCAGTTTTTTTTTTTTTTTTTTTTTTTTTTTGGTGGTGGTTTTAATATATTATTTCAGCTGTTTTTACCGTGGGAAGAAAAGTGTTTTCCCCAATGGTTTGTGGTTTTCTGACTTTTACTGTAAAATATGAAATCTCACAGGGGCTTCTGAATATTTGTCATTTAGTTTCTTAAATGTTGAGAAGTACTGGACTGAGAGTCACATGAAATAAAGAATTTTAATTTTCTCTTGTGGGTACTTAGTTTTAAATTTTCATGCTAATTGTGATGGCTTCCTAGTATTTCTTGCTAAAATATCAAGCAAAATACATAGTAAGATTCATTTAACAGTAGTAGTTTTCACAATTTCACTATTTTTAGCTGGTTTTCAAATGTATTTAACTTGGCATTGTTTTTAACATTATAATGTGACTGAGGAAGCTGGGGAGCAGAATCACACTGACTTTTTTTTTTTTTTTTTTTTTTGCTCCTGGTTATTAGTATTATGTATAATTCTATTTTTTTTTTTGGCCGGAATCTATAAGGTACTTGTCTACCTTTTTATTGTTAATTTAGTTAAAACTGAATAATATAATTGGCACATCCATTTAACCAGGTGTACATGAACTGCTTTATAGCAAATATGTACATATGTATGTGTATATATGTGCAATATACTGAAATTTTACAGAAACTCATGGGATGTTCACTCTGGCTGTCTTGAGTCGTGCTGCCCCTACTCTTTCTCCAGGATACCCGCCAATGCGCATTCTGCTAGGCAGGAGGGTGCATGTGTCCGGTGAAAAGACCAGTTTCAGTTATTATCTTTTTGGTAAAAATAATTGTAAAACATGTTCATATATATATATATATATATATATATATATATATATATATTTTAAATCACACTCCAGTGTATTGCTTTGGAGAACTGTGGTCTAAAATAACAAAACACTTGCTTAAGAAATAGAGGACAAGAAAGTGATTCATTAGTGAAGGACTGATGGTCGAAAGTCAGGAATAGAGAGCAGAGAAGGAAAATAAACAGAGAAGTTGATGTTAAATTTGTAGAAAAGTAAGGAAAAATCTTAGAAGATTCCAAAAAGGAAGTGAAGCAGCAGCAGCAGCAGTAACGGCAAGAAAGAAAATGACTACAATCCAGGATTTCTACACAGCTTCTACTGTGTGGCTCAAAACCTGGAAAAGAATGTTAGATGAATTATTGTCAACTTCTGCTATTCTTCCTCCAGTGTAGATTCCTATATTTCCACACTTAGGAAATCTGCCTAACCATCTTTTCAGCTAGGTTAGACCACTTGAATAACTGTCTCCAGGACCAAAAGATGGATTGAAAGATAGATACAGCAGCCTGGTGCACCTTCTCTTTGGTTTATGCCTGTGTGTACTGGGGCCTTGGGGTTTTCTCATCTGGCTTTATCCATCCATACTAATTTATGTGAGTGCTAGCAGAGTAGAATAAAGAAGCTGTAATGTAGATTAATAAAAAGTGTTAATGTACCTTGTGATCTATTTAAGATGATTACATTAATATAAGCACTGTTTATGTGAAAGACATTTCTAGTTTCGTTTTTTTTGCTATATACACAATTAAAAGAACACTACAGTAAATGCATTTGACAAACATATATTTATAATTTAAAACTTTTGGTTTACTAAGATTAAAAGGGAATTACCTTAGTTTGATAAATAAGATTACCAAAAAACTAAAGCAAATATCATATTTAATAGAAGATTGAAAATTTCACCCTGAAATTGGGAGCAAGACAAAGATGTCCACCATGACCACTTTTATTAAATGTTGTATTGGAGGTCCTAGCCAGGACAATAAGTTAAGAAAAAGAAATAGATGCATTAAAAGTAGAAAGGAAGAAATAAAACTACCCTTATTTTCAGATGACATGATTGTGAACCTAGAAAATTAAAAAGAATCAATGAACTATTAAAATTAATAAGCAGTTTAGCTAGGTCCCTAAGCACAAGGTCAATATAAAAAAATCAATTGCTATAAGATTGATATAAAAAAATTGACCTGGTTTCTGCCAATTATAAATCAGTAAAAAATTTAAAGATGATTTAATTTATAGTAGCATTCATAAAAATACTTAGGAATAAATCTAATGAACAAAACATACTGAACATTAGGATATTCATAGGACATGATGTTTATAATGTTCAAAACATATTGAACATTAGGATGTTCATAGAACAGTATTTATAATAGAATGAATGAATTGCGACCACTGTTAATACAGTATGGATGGATCTCATATATGATTCTGGTTATATATAGTACAAAACCAGGCAGCAAATTAATCTTTGATGTTAGTAGTTAGGGCAGTAATGATTTTCAGGGAGGGTCTGGAAGGAGCATGAGGATTCTGGGTGTTCGCAATGTTCTTGCTTTTGAGCTACAGGGTATTTATGTGGGCCTGTCCAGTTTGTGAAAATTCATCTAGCTGCACACTTATGTACGCTTTTTCTGTATCTACTATACATCAATAACAAGTTCTCTGAAAATGTCTGTTTATATATGCAGATAGTAGCTTACTGGTATATGTGTACCTTAGATTCAGTCAGTTTGGATTATTTGACACCACTGCATAATAGCAGTGTGACCGTGCACACCTAGCCCAGGCACATGTCTGAACTTCTTCCTCATCTGTAAGATGGGGATAATATTATGCTTGTTTAGCTACACTGAGAGTTAATATTGGTATATAGATGTCATTGAGAATATGCTTGTTTCTCTCCCTTTAGGGGACAATGTGTGTGTTTATGCATAAAAAGCAACAACTCTAGTGAATTTTAAATTATGACTCTTGATTAGATTGAAAATGATCTATCTGCAAATGAAATGTTATTTCTAAATATATGTTTACAGTTTATATATATAGACCTAAGTGTAACTATATATTGATGTGGATATGTTCAGATATAGTACAAAATTCACTGGAGATTTTTTACGACATTGTGCCTGTAGATTTTTTTCTGTCTGAAAGCTATTATATAAAATTAAACATATGATTAGTTGCATTTAGGTTATAGATGATAGATTGGAATTTAATAATGATTTTTCTCCCTTTGTAGCTTGTCACATTTAATCAGTAGGTAATCAGACATTGATGGAAAATGAAATTCAAAATTATGCTCTACACTTCCATATTTGCATATGTCAATCTGCAAGCCTGAGTCATAACAGAAATGGCTTTTATTTCCATTTGCTTAGTCATTCACATATTCATTTATTTAAATATTTTTTGAGAACTAATTTCAGCTGCTATTCTAGGGTCTGGTCACAACAATGTATAAAACAAACAAAGGCCCCTATCTTATGTTTTAGGTGAGGGAGACAGTAAATAACCTGTGTGGTAAAAGTATGTCAGATGTTGACACAAACAGTTAGCAGATAGGACATGTGAGATGAGTGTTGTTGTAAGCAAGGTGATTGGGGAAGTCCTCTCTTTTTATGTTGATATTTGAGCAGAGAAGTGAAGGAAGGAAGGGAGAGTCATGCCAATGTGTAGGGACAAGCATTCTCTACCTGACCAACTAAATACTCCAGTCTTAATTTGAATCAAATGACCCAAAAGAAAAATTTCTAATATTTCTCTCTTTCTATGGGGAGATTTTGTTGTTTTTGTTTTGTTTGCTTTGTTTTTGTATATTTTGATTCAACCAAGATGGCCTTTTCTATTTCTAAAATCAAAGCATTGATTGAAATGACTAGTTCCAAATGTTGAAGTTCTAGAGGTAAACATTTCTAGTTCTAGCTCTTTTCAAGGTAACTGCTTACTGTTAAAATATATTTACATACATGAGTAAGATCCAGATTTTTTCAGAAGGAGAGAGTATTGTTTTATATCATTTTAGGACATTGAAATTTCAGGTGTTAATCATCAGATTTCTTGTTTTTTTAAAAGACAAAAACATACTAAATGCTAATTACATACGTGTTCTACTTTTAAATTAAATATAATCTGAAAAGATATAAAAAGACATCATTATTTAGTTTTTCAGAGTTCTGGAAGAAGGTTGGGTACCATGCAGAGCTAGAGCTGACAGCTGGCATCTGCAGATGGAAATCTATGTCTTCTTCTGTTTTCCTAGGTCATCTTTAGGTCATGGTGTGCCCATAGCATAAAGGAAGAGTTGGTGTCATGCTTATTTGTATAAATGATATGTGAAGTGTCTTACACATCCTGAGGTTGTCAACAACTAAGTCTTGGTCTCCTGTTGAATTTGTTGTTTGCCTTTGCACTCCTTGTAGCCATGACATTTCCACTGACAGCCCTTGGGGTCACCAGTTAGACCTTAAGTGATGTCCAGCTTGCTGAGATAGTTTTGGTGCACTAACTAAGTTTCTTGTGAGAGTTTTGAAATTAAATGTTGGTTTGCCGAGAAAAGCCTTACTTTCTTCTAGAAGACTGAAGTTGAAGTTAATTGACATCTACTCATAATTCTAACTTAGTCCTTTAGATATGTAGCATTCCTTTTCACATTCGTGTGGGTCTATATGTTCTCTGACCTCCTTGTCAACCAGAGGATTGGTTACCATTCCAGTACCTTTTTGAATTTCTGTAACTATTGATAAGCCTATCTAAAGTACATTTTTTTTTCCTTAGGCTAATTTATCAATAGTTGTATTGCTGTGTCAAAGGATATTGCATCTTTTTTTACAGCAATTAATGGACATTTGTACATTTAACCAGGTCTATTGAGATAATTTAATAAAATGCACTAATTACATGTGCAATTTGCTGAGTATATACTTGTGAAGCCATCACCATAATCAAGATATGAAACATTTTTATCACCTCAGTTTCCTTGTGTCCCTTGAAGTGAATTCCCTCAACCCCTCCCACTTCCTGGGAACCACTAATATTTTATGCCTACATAGTTTTGCCTTTTGAAAAAATGTTATATAAATGGAATCATACAATATGTAAACATTTGTGTCTGCCTTCTTTCACAATGCAAAATGCTTTTGAGATTCATTCATGTTGTCACATGTATCAATAGTATTGTTCTTTTGAATAGTATTCCACTGTATGACTGTATTTCATTTTGTTTATTAATTTCCCAGCTGGTGGACATTTTTGAGTTTTTTCTATATATTGTTGTGAATAAAGATTATATGAACACTCACATGTAAGTCTTTGTATTTACATCCGTTTTCATTTTTCTTGAGCAAATACCTAGAGGTGAGATTGCTGGGTTATATGGTAAATGTGCTTTTAAACTTTACAAGAAACTGCCCATCTCTGTTATTTAAAAGATAAAAGATAAGTGCTGGCAAAGATGTGGAAAAAAGAGAACACTTGTATGCTGTTAGTGGAAATGTAAATTAATACAGCCATTGTGGAAAACAGTATAGTGGTTCCTTAACAATTTAAAAATAGAATTACCATATCATCCAGCAATTCTACTTCTGGGAATATATCCAACGGAAATGAAATTCATGTGCCAAAAGATACATTTGCATTCCCATATTTATTGCAGCATTATTCACAGTAGCTAGGATATAGAATCAATTTAAATGTCCATCAGTGGATGAATAAATACAGAAAATATGGAATATGTACACAATGGAATACTATTCAGCCTTTAAAAAGAAGGAAAGCCTATGATTTGTAGCAATATGGATGAAGCTGGAGGACACTATGCCAAGTGAAGTAAGACAGGCACAGAAAGAGAAATACCACATGATCTCACTTATATGTGTAGTACAGAAAAGTCAAACTCATAGAAGCAAACAGGAGAATGGTGGTTACCAGGTATTATGGTGGTGGCAGGGTTTGGAGTGGGGAGGGGTGAGGTGCAGGGAATGGGATAATTGGGGACATATTAGTTAAAACACACAAAGTTTCAGTTAGATAGAAGGAGTAAGTTTAAGAGATCTATGGTATAGCATGGTGACTATAGTTAACAATAATGCATTGTATATACTTGAAAGTTGCCAAGAGAGTAGATTTTAATTATTCTGGCTACAAAAATGTATGTGAGGTGATAGTTATGTGAATTAGCTTGATTTAATTATTCCATAATATATACATATATCAAAGCATAAAAATATTGTACCTTATAAATAGATACAATTTTTATTTGTCAATTTTAAATATTAATTTTTGTTTTGTTTTGTTTGTTTTGAGACGGAGTCTTGCTCTGTCACCCAGGCTGGAGTGCAGTGGCGCAATCTCGGCTCACTGCAAGCGCCGCCTCCTGGGTTCACGCCATTCTCCTGCCTCAGCCTTCCGAGTAGCTGGGACCACAGGTGTCTGCCACCATGCCTGGCTAATTTGTTTGTATTTTTAGTAGAGACGGGGTTTCACCGTGTTAGCCAAGATGGTCTTGATCTCCTGACCTCGTGATCCGCCCGTCTCGGCCTCCCAAAGTGCTGGGATTGATTACAGGCATGAGCCACCGCGCCCAGCCAAACATTACTTTTTTAAAAACTGACTGTTTTCCAAACTGGCTGTGCCATTTGGCATTCTTACCAGCAGTGTGTGAAGTCCAGTTGTTTCGCATTCTCACCAACACTTATGAATTGTCAATCTATTTAATTTTAACCATCCTAGTGGCTGTGTAGTGGTATCTCATTATGGTCTTAATTTGTATCGCCCTGAGGTCTATTGATGTTGAGCTGTGCTAATTAGCCAATTAGTAACTGTAGACCTTAAAACAATGTATAAACCTTCCAAATTACTGGAGAACACAAAAACAATGAAGGCCTACTGGAGAAACAAAAACAAAGACATGTAAAAAATCCACGAAAACCCAGAAGGCACACAAGATCACATTTATAACAAAAATTTGCCATCACACATAGTAAGAGGAGTAAAAACTAATATGACCGGCATGAGCCTATACTCTCTGCTGGCCCCGAGTTCCAGGGTTTGGAGATTGCAGGGTTCAACTGTAATCTCCAAATCATTCCAGAACTGGCTGTGCTTGGTACCATCTGTTGGCCTCTGTGGGATCTAGTGAATGTATAGATGAAGTTGCTGTGTCTCTGGGATAGCCACTAGCATTTCTGGGAATTTCCAACTTGGCTTCGATCCAGGGGATTGGGCCAGAAGTCTGCTAGGGATTTGAGGACTCCCACTCCACTGCTCTGATTCCTGAAGAAAGGTTGCCTCCCACTAATCAGGTGGGCCTCTCCTTGCCCTCAATACCCCTCCTCCCTTTAATCATCACAGAAAGTAAAACCTAACTTAATAAGAACTCCTATCCTGGCCCCACTTCAGACCAATGAAATAAAGATTTTTGTATAGTGGGATCCTGACATTGATAGTTTTTAAAAATCAGGGTTTTCAACTGTTGAGAACCAGTGCCTTAAATGATTTCAGTAGGAAAAAAAAAAAAAGATAAGATGAAAATTAATGAGCTAGGCTTGCAATTTAGGAAGCTAGAAAAAAAAAACCCTGAAGGAAGTAGAAGGAAGAAAATAATAAAAAAGCAGAAATTAATGAAGCAGAAAGTTCATTAATACAGTTGGGAAGATCCACAAAGCCAACTGATAGATCTTTGAAATGACTGATAAAATGGAAAAAACTCAAGAAAGCCTTAAGAGAAAAATGAGAGAAGGTACAAATAAACAGTATTAAGAATGAAAAAGAGAAAATAATACGACTAGAGCAGTGACTGGAGAAAGAATAAAGGAATACTCTGGAAATATTATATCAGTAAATTTGAAAACATAGAAAAATAAACAGAAAAATATAGCTTAACCAAACTTTATTGAAGGAGTAGAAAGTCTGAATTGTTTTATAACCAAGGTGAATATAATTCATCATTCAAACCTAGACACTATTAAATATCACTAATCAAAACTCTCATATTAAAGAAGGACTTTAATGCAGGAAGTTTCTAGCCATAGACAACCTCATTTTTAACCCCAATGTGCCATACACATGTTATTTTTTTGCTCCTGGGATATTCCATTTTGTTCAACGTAAAGTTGGCAGGCCTTTGCGTAATTGATATATTAATTCAAATTTTACTACATTAATTTATTTGCCAGTTAAAGTCAAAATTGGACAAAAAAAATCTTTATGTAGAAGTGAAGGTTTAATCTCCCATCCTTTTCATTTTGCAGTGGGTTATACCCAGGCTGTGAGCCCACCACGTATTTTGTGCCGATCAATAAAAATTTGCCCAAGGTGTTCTGCCCTCAACACTCTACACATAGGAAAGAAGCTGCCACTTTGCCAGGAAATACTGGGATTATATTGTATTTTGGAGGTTTTGCAAATATTTAATCCATACTTTTCTGTTCAATATAGTCAACTCTTGATTGCCCAGGGGAGTTCAAAAGCAAGGCACTCTTCTCTTCATTTCAACAGAGCTAAAGAAGCTCTGTTGTCTATTGGGGTTCTTCATGAGCTTTTTCTAGCAAAAGAGTTTCCATCAATTAAAAAACTTTTGAAAGCCAATGTTCTGGAATTCCTAGCTCAATAAAAATATTGGCAAGGGAATGAATGAATGAAGTGGACCTGTGGTTCATGTTTCTTCTGTATAGATTTGTCTTTTCTAGACATTTCATATAAGTGGAATAATGTAATACTTAGTTGTTTGCATCTGGCCTTTTTTCACTTACCACAGCATTTTTGAGGTTTATCCATTTGTAGCATATCAGTATTTTGCTCCTTTTTATTGAAGAATAGTACTATATTGTATTTTGTGTTTTTTCTTTTCCTTAAATTTTGCTACAGATTTTATCAGTTACATTAATCTTTAAAAGAAGAAACTCTCGGCCAGACAGTGGCTCACGCCTGTAATCCCAGCACTTTGGGAAGCCGAGGTGGGCAAATCACAATGTCAGGAGATCGAGACCATCCTGGCTAACATGGTGAAACCCTGTCTCTACTAAAAATATAAAAAATTAGCTGGGCATGATGGCGGGCACCTGTAGTCCCAGCTACTCGGGAGGCTGAGGCAGGAGAATGGCGTGAACCCAGGAGGCAGAGCTTGCAGTGGGCTGAGATCGTGCCACTGCACTCCAGCCTGGGCAACACAGTGAGATTCTGTCTCAAAAACAAAACAAAAAACAAAGCAAAAAAAAAAAAAAGAAAAAAAAGAAGAAGCTCTCTAATGTTTGTCTGTTTTCTGTTTAATTGATTTCTGTTCTTAGCTTTATTAATTCATATCTTCTATTTACTTTGGGTTTAATTGGTTCTTTTTCCCCGGAGTCCTAAGGTGAGAATTTATAGAATTGGTTTTAAAGCTTTCTTCATTTCCAGTATTTAAGCTACCCAACTCTTTTTAAGCTCCATTGTGTTTTCATTATCATTCATTTTGAAATGTTTTCTAATTTCCCTTGTGATTATTTTCTTTGACCCATGAGTGTTTTAGAAACATGTTCCTTAATTCCCAAACATTTGAGGATTTTCTAGATACTTTATTGTTACTGATTTCTAATTTATTTTCAGTTATGTTGAATGAACACACTCAAACATTTCAGTTTTTTGAAAATTCCTAAACTTATTATTTTGGCCTGGCATTTAGTTTTTCTTAAAGAAGGTTTCATGTATACTTGGAAAGAGTGTGTATTCTGGAGTTGTGGCTATAGGAGTCTATAAAAATCATTGACATCAAGATATTTGATAACGCTATTCAGATTTTCTATAGCTGATTTTCTATATGCTCTTTTTTCAATGTTTCTGTCTCTGAGAGAAGTATTAAAATCTCCAGTTATGATGGGTTTTTCTATCTAATTAGTTATATCAGTTGTTGCTTTACATATTATTATTTTTTTAGAGATGGAGTCTATGTTGCCCAGGCTGAAGTGCAGTGGCTATTTATAGGCATGATTATAGCACACTACAGTCTTGAACTCCTGACCTCAGGCAGTCCTCCCACCTCAACCTCGTGAGTAGGTGAGACTACAGGCATGTATTACTGCACTCAGCTGCTTTATGTATTTTGAAGCTCTGTTATTCAATTCCTTTATATTTAAGATGTTAGGTATTCTTGATGACCCTTATATCATCAATATGGAATGTCCTTATTTGTGGTACAGTATATTTGGTTTTCAGAAAATTGACTTTTAACTTGCCTAGGTGTGGTCATATTTATAATTTTCTTATTTGGGGTTTGCTGAGCTCCTTGAATTTGCAAGAATACATTTTGTTTTGCCAAATTTGGCAAACTATGAGCTATTATTTCTTAAAAATATTTTTTCTTCCATTCTTTCTTTTTCCTCTTGAACCCCAATTATTATGTATATAGATATATGTATATTATATACATTAGTCTATTTGGTGTAGTTCAGCAGATTGAATCTCTGTTTTTAAAAAATCAAATGTTTCTTCTCTTTTCTTCAAGTTGAGCAATTTCTATAGATCTATTTTCAGGTTTACTGACCTTTTTTTCCTGCCATTTCTAGTCTGCTCTTCATCCCAACAAGTGAATGCTTCATTTCAGATAATACATGTTTTCATTTCAAAATTTCCATTTGGTTTATGTTTTCTATTTCCTAAAGAGTTCAGATCTGTTAATTCATTATAACCATATTTTCTTTTTATGTCTTTCAACATATTATCATTAGCTGCTTTAAAACCTGTATCATCTTAGTGTCTCTATTTAATATCTTTTTTTTTTTTTTGGTTATGGGTTACATTTCCCTGCTGCTTTGCATACATAATAATTTTTGATTGCATGGTGGCAGTTCTGGAGGCTGTATTGTGAATCTGAATTTTGTTGTCTTCCTTTAGAGAAGGTTGAGTTTTTTTCTGGGTGTTACTTAATTTACTGGTGGTTCAGCTAGATTTATTCAAGGCTTATTTTTTGTTTTTCTAATCGTGGGTCTATTAGTAAGGTGTTGCTTTTCTTAGATCTCAGTTGAATACCTAGAGTAGTTAGGGAGATCTTTTCTCTCTGGATTGTCGGAACTCCTTGACTGCCAGATCTGTGCAATCTTAAGTATCTCTGTTCAACTCAACAGCTTGCAGGTGGCTGTTCTCGATCATGCTTCCTGGAGTCTCATCTTAAAGCCAAAGACTAGGGCAGCACTATGCAGATTTCTGATGTCCTTTCTGAGCAGCTCCATTTTCTTTATTACTCTACCAGGAAAACTGTCGCTCCCTCAGCAAACTCCAACTTCAAGCTCTTACTTCTCATCAGCAAAGTAAGACTGCCCACTTCTACTTGGACCCTGTCACCATGTACCTTAGTCTAGAAAATTCCTCCAGACAAAATGCTGGGGTGGTTATGGGGCTCATTCATTGTATGTGTTTTTCCTCTCTCAGGAGTCAGAGTCTTATATTGCTTTTTGTCTGACATTTGAAAAACAGTTGCCTGATATATTTTGTCTAGGCTTAATGTTTATGATAGAAGGACTAGTTTGGTACTAGTTGTACCATAATCGTTGTATATCGCAGTCTTCCTTATTGTGTTTCCAATTTGAAGTTTACTTATGATGAGCATTTATTCATTTATTTAAGAGTGACTTATATTTCCTTCTCTTTGTTCATTCTACTCTTTTTAGTGTTTTCTTGTTGGTTTGTCAGTATTTTTTACAAATAGGTGAAAATTGACCTCTTTTTCTCTTATTTAATATGTTTACAAATTTGATACGTTTTACAAATACTACTTTATTGTTTGACTTTTGATTTTGTTAATGTTGTATTTCACTACAGAAATACAATATTTTATTAAGTATTATCTATAAATCTTTTATGGCTTCTGGCTTTTGTGTTATATTATGGATGCTTTCTCAACTCAAAGTTTTAAAAGTTCTTTTTTTTCTAACTGGTGTGAGATGGTATCTCATTGTGGTTTTGATTTGCATTTCTCTGATGGCCAGTGATGATGAGCATTTTTTCATGTGTCTTTTGGCTGCGTAAATGTCTTCTTTTGAGAAGTGTCTGTTCATATCCTTTGCCCACTTTTTGATGGGGTTGTTTGTTTTTTTCTTGTACATTTGTTTGAGTTCATTGTAGATTCTGGATATTAGCCCTTTGTCAGATGAGTAGGTTGCAAAAATTTTCTCCCATTTTGTAGGTTGCCTGTTCACTCTGATGGTAGTTTCTTTTGCTGTGCAGAAGCTCTTTAGTTCAATTAGATCCCATTTGTCAATTTTGTCCTTTGTTGCCATTGCTTTTGGTGTTTTAGACATGAAGTCCTTGCCCATGCCTATGTCCTGAATGGTATTGCCTAGGTTTTCTTCTAGGGTTTTTATGGTTTTAGGTCTAACATGTAAGTCTTTAATCCATCTTGAATTAATTTTTGTGTAAGGTGTAAGGAAGGGATCCAGTTTCAGCTTTCTACATATGGCTAGCCAGTTTTCCCAGCACCATTTGTTAAATAGGGAATCCTTTCCCCATTGCTTGTTTTTGTCAGGTTTGTCAGAGATCATACAGTTGTAGATATGCGGCATTATTTCTGAGGGCTCTGTTCTGTTCCATTGATCTATATCTCTGTTTTGGTACCAGTACCATGCTGTTTTGGTTACTGTAGCCTTGTATAGTTTGAAGTCAGGTAGTGTGATGCCTCCAGCTTTGTTCCTTTGGCTTAGCATTGACTTGGTGATGCAGGCTCTTTTTTGGTTCCATATGAACTTGAAAGTTGTTTTTTCCAATTCTGTGAAGAAAGTCGTTGGTAGCTTGATGGGGATGGCATTGAATCTATAAATTACCTTGGGCAGTATGGCCATTTTCACGATACTGATTCTTCCTACCTATGAGCATGGAATGTTCTTCCATTTGTTTGTATCCTCTTTTATTTCATTGAGCATTGGTTTGTAGTTCTCCTTGAAGAGGTCCTTCACGTCCCTTGTGAGTTGGATTCCTAAGTATTTTATTCTCTTTGAAGCAATTGTGAATGGGAGTTCACTCCTGATTTGGCTCTCTGTTTGTCTGTTATTGGTGTATAAGAATGCTTGTGATTTTTGCACATTGATTTTGTATCCTGAGACTTTGCTGAAGTTGCTTATCAGCTTAAGGAGATTTTGGGCTGAGACAGTGGGGTTTTCTAGATACACAATCATGTCGTCTGCAAACAGGGACAATTTGACTTCCTCTTTTCCTAATTGAATGCCCTTTATTTCCTTCTCCTGCCTAATTGTCCTGGCCAGAACTTCCAACACTATGTTGAATAGGAGTGGTGAGAGAGGGCATCCCTGTCTTGTGCCAGTTTTCAAAGGGAATGCTTCCAGTTTTTGCCCATTCAGTATGATATTGGCTGTGGTTTTGTCATAGATGGCTCTTATTATTTTGAGATACGTCCCATCAATACCTAATTTATTGAGAGTTTTTAGCGTGAAGGGCTGTTGAATTTTGTCAAAGGCCTTTTCTGCATCTATTGAGATAATCATGTGGTTTTTGTCTTTGGTTCTGTTTATATGCTGGATTACATTGATTGATTTGTGTATATTGAACCAGCCTTGCATCCCAGGGATGAAGCCCACTTGATCATGGTGGATAAGCTTTTGGATGTGCTGCTGGATTCAGTTTGCCAGTATTTTATTGAGGATTTTTGCATCAATGTTCATCAAGGATATTGGTCTAAAATTCTCTTTTTTGGTTGTGTCTCTGCCCAGCTTTGGTATCAGGATGATGCTGGCCTCATAAAATGAGTTAGGGAGGATTCCCTCTTTTTCTATTGATTGGAATAGTTTCAGAAGGAATGGTACCAGTTCCTCCTTGTACCTCTGGTAGAATTCGGCTGTGAATCCATCTGGTCCTGGACTCTTTTTGGTTGGTAAGCTGTTGATTATTGCCACAATTTGAGATCCTGTTATTGGTCTATTCAGAGATTCAACTTCTTCCTGGTTTAGTCTTGGGAGGGTGTATGTGTCGAGGAATTTATCCATTTCTTCTAGATTTTCTAGTTTATTTGTGTAGAGGTGTTTGTAGTATTCTCTGATGGTAGTTTGTATTTCTGTGGGATCGGTGGTGATATCCCCTTTATCATTTTTTATTGCATCTATTTGATTCTTATCTCTTTTTTTGTTTATTAGTCTTGCTAGCAGTCTATCAATTTTGTTGATCCTTTCAAAAAACCAGCTCCTGGATTCCCTGATTTTTTGAAGGGTTTTTTGTGTCTGTATTTGCTTCAGTTCTGCTCTGATTTTAGTTATTTCTTGCCTTCTGGTAGCTTTTGAATGTGTTTGCTCTTGCTTTTCTAGTTCTTTTAATTGTGATGTCAGGGTGTCAATTTTGGATCTTTCTTGCTTTCTCTTGTGGGCATTTAGTGCTATAAATTTCCCTCTACACACTGCTTTGAATGTGTCCCAGAGATTCTGGTATGTTGTGTCTTTGTTCTCGTTGGTTTCAAAGAACATCTTTATTTCTGCCTTCATTTCGTTATGTACCCAGTAGTCATTCAGGAGCAGGTTGTTCAGTTTCCATGCAGTTGAGCCGTTTTCAGTGAGTTTCTTAATCCTGAGTTCTAGTTTGATTGCACTGTGGTCTGAGAGACAGTTTGTTATAATTTCTGTTCTTTTACATTTGCTGAGGAGAGCTTTACTTCCAAGTATGTGGTCAATTTTGGAATAGGTGTGGTGTGGTACTGAAAAAAATGTATATTCTGTTGATTTGGGGTAGAGAGTTCTGTAGATGTCTATTAGGTCCGCTTGGTGCAGAGCTGAGTTCAATTCCTGTATATCCTTGTTAACTTTCTGTCTCATTGATCTGTCTAATGTTGACAGTGGGGTGTTAAAGTCTCCCATTATTATTGTGTGGGAGTCTAAGTCTCTTTGTAGTTCACTCAGGACTTGCTTTATGAATCTGGGTGCTCCTGTATTGGGTGCATATATATTTAGGATAGTTAGCTCTTCTTGTTGAATTGATCCCTTTACCATTATGTAATGGCCTTCTTTGTCTGTTTTGATCTTTGCTGGTTTAAAGTCTGTTTTATCAGAGACTAGGATTGCAACCCCTGCCTTTTTTTGTTTTCCATTTGTTTGGTAGATCTTCCTCCATCCTTTTATTTTGAGCCTATGTGTGTCTCTGCACATGAGATGGGTCTCCTGAATACAGCATACTGATGGGCCTTGACTCTTTATCCAATTTGCCAGTCTGTGTCTTTTAATTGGAGCATTTAGTCCAATTACATTTAAAGTTAATATTGTTATGTGTGGATTTGATCCTGTCATTATGATGTTAGCTGGTTATTTTGCTTGTTAGTTGATGCAGTTTCTTCCTAGTCTCAATGGTCTTTACATTTTGGCATGATTTTGCAGTGGCTGGTACCGGTTGTTCCTTTCCATGTTTAGTGCTTCCTTCAGGAGCTCTTTTAGGGCAGGAAACAACAGATGCTGGGGAGGATGTGGAGAAATAGGAACACTTTTACACTGTTGGCGGGACTGTAAACTAGTTCAACCATTGTGGAAGTCAGTGTGGCGATTCCTCAGGGATCTAGAACTAGAGATACCATTTGTCCCAGCCATCCCATTGCTGGGTATATACCCAAAGGACTATAAATCATGCTGCTATAAAGACACATGCACACGTATGTTTATTGCGGCAGTATTCACAATAGCAAAGACTTGGACCCGACCCAAATGTCCAACAATGATAGAGTGGATTAAGAAAATGTGTCACATATACACCATGGAATACTATGCAGCCATAAAAAATGATGAGTTCATGTCCTTTGTAGGGACATGGATGAAATTGGAAATCATCATTCTCAGTAAACTATTGCAAAGACAAAAAACCAAACACCACATGTTCTCATTCATAGATGGGAATTGAACAATGAGAACACATGGACACAGGAAGGGGAACATCATACTCTGGGGACTGTTGTGGGGTGGGGGGAGGCGGGAGGGATAGCATTAGAAGGTATACCTAATGCTAAATGACGAGTTAATGGGTGCAGCACACCAACATGGCACATGTATACATATGTAACTAACCTGCACATTGTGCACATGTACCCTAAAACTTAAAGTATAATAATAATTAAAAGAAATAAAAATAAAGCAAATGAATAAAAAAAAATATAAAAATTCTTTTTTTTCCTATTAATTTTATGGATTCAGTTTGATTATTAAATCATTGGGCCACCTGGAATGTACCGTGTTATAAGTTGTGGGAGTAGGATTTATTTTGTGGCTACTCATTAGTAATGATGCTGTTAACTGAATATTTCATCTTTTCTCCACTGATCTGAAATGCCATATTTTTGTACCTAATTTCTATATATTTTTGTGTAGATTTTAGTCCTCTTTTGCCCTTTCATTTTTCTACTTATGTTCCAGTGCCAAACTCTTTTAATTTTTGTAGTATTGTTACATATTTAGATATATGGTCGTGGTCATTGTTGCTTCTAGTTACTTTACCTTCTTTGGCAGTTTTCTTACTGTTGTATTTTATTTTTTATTTTTTCCAAAACAACTTTGTAATAGCTTTTATAGATTGAATAACATGTTGACTATTTATTTTATGGCAATTACTTTGAATTAATAGATTAATTTAGGAAGAATTGACATGTTTTAGAAATTGAGCTTTCCTATTCAAAAATATGGTAGGGCTCTTTATTTGTTTAAGGCCGTCTGCCTCTGTGTCCCTCAATAGTGTTTTAAGTATTTATTCACATAGACCTTGGACAGTTCTTGTTAAATGTGTTCTCAGTGATCTCATCTTTTCGTTGCTATTGTTAATGGGATCTTGTATTCCATCTTTTATGGTTATTACTCTTTTTCTTTTTGCAACAAATTCTGTGATTTTTGTGACTTTCACCTAAATGCTGTTCCATCTTTGTCTGTTTTCCTTACACAGACATTTATTGAGCACTGATTGGTGTCAGCTACTGAGAGCGTTTCTGTGTATAATGATTTAGAAGATGTAGTCCATGTCCTTAAGCACCAGTAGTGTTATCTTATAGTCTCTCTTATCCCAGTTAATTTACTTGTTGATTGATTCATTCAAAAAGTATTCAATGAATACCTTTAATATTCCCAAACCATGGTAGACATTGTAGAAAACTCTCAAGAAGCATCTTGCTCGGTTCAAATATATATTCAATATTTTAAAAATGTGTTTTGCCTTCAAATAGAGTTCCATTCTTTGAGGAGCTTGCAGTCTAGTTGGGGAAAAACATTTTATGTGAAAGGATAAAAAGCAGTATATGATGATATTGCAAAATTGAATGGTATGAACAGAAGCACTGAAAGAAGAAAGTAGTGAGTGGAGGAATGTGTACCTTGAGGGAAGCAGAGGCTGTCAGTAATGTAAGAAGGCAAGAGCACTTCAGTTGAAAAGAACAGTGGGAACAGAGCACAGAGGCAGGAGCGAATGATGAGACCACAGTCAGCTATGAACATACATTCTGGCTGGAAGTGTGGGTCTGTGCTGGAGCTGGAGTGTGGAGGAACTTGAATGCTGGGCTGAACTCAGACTGGGTCAGGTAAGTGATGGCGTGATGCTCAGGCTCCCTTATCAGTGGAGGAACATTATGTCAATGATGTTAAGCATGATTAGCTGCCCCAATCATGTGATGGAGATCAGAGGCAGAGAGAACTGTTAGAAAGCTAAACCAGCTACATATATAGTGATGAACACCAGAACTGGATCAAGAAAGGAACTGTAATATACAGAATCATTTCAGAGACACAGCAAAAGGGGCACAGTCAGGACTGAGTAACAGCTGTGGGTTGAGTGGGTGAAGATAGCATTGCCACCAAGGTTTCAAATCATAGGGACAGAAAAAGTCATTATGCCTTTTGACTGTTGCTGAAGATGTCAGTTTGGGAGTCCTGTCCTCTGAATCAGGTAAATAAATAAAGTTGGGAAAGAAAAAGATTCCTATGTGAGACTAATCCTAGTCATACCCTGTGTGTATTAATATTAATGTTTTAGGCTTTATGATGTTTAAAATCTAGTAACTAGACTTTTACTAGCCAAGACTGGTAGGAGGTGACATCTGAGGGGCAGTTTTCCTGGAGTGGGATGATTTGAGTCCACAGGAGAACTCGTATTTACTAGATCTTAGAGTGTGTTAGTGCTGACTTCCTTGAAAAAATTGCAAAGCAGCTACATTTCCTATACAGGAAAGGACTTTGCAGATAGTGCCTGGACAGATGAAGCTTAGGGAGAAAGCATCTAATCCTACTGAGGTGGGGGGTCATGGGGAGAAAAGATTGTGCCAGGAAGGGGGATGGTGTTGCACCTTGGTTCATTGCACTGTTAGTAGGATTTGGCTTCCTTACATGAGGATTGTGAGGCATGGGGCCAAGCAAGAGAATGAAAGAGTGAGTTACATCACACGCTGCCCTCTAATGAATACTTTCAGTCTTCTGAGGACCTCATTACCATCCCACTGTACCTGATAAAGGATTATATTACAAGTCAGCTAGTGATGAGCAACTGGAAATCCAGCAGGGCAGTGAGAAATAAGCCAGTGCAGAGAATAGATGATCTAATGCTGAAGTGTTTGTCAGTAAAGTATCTTTTGAAAATTCTAATCATGACTTTAGTAAGAAAAATAGAAAACATGCCTATGTCGTCAGTAAAAGAAGGATAGGATGGCATTTTCAGGGAGCACTAGTTGAAGGTTTCCTTAGGAATTGAGAAATTGGCATATTTGAGAAAAGACAGATGAAAGGGAGAGTTGAAGGAAACTTACATGAAAGTGGATAAACTGAGGGTCAGGGGTTGGGGGTTTGGAGGAGGCAGAAGGGGGCTGAGATAGAGCCTCAGTGGGAGGGGTGCTCACCAAGAGGGGCTCCTGAGAAGGAAGGAGTTTCTCTTACTCCGAGACCTGCAGGAAGGATGGCTGGAGTGTGTCATTTTCTCAGCTCTATTTTTTATATCCTTGATTTTCACATCATGCCCCTGTGCCAGAGTCATCCCATTTAGGCAAGCAAAGCCAGCACTTTAATGTCCCACAAGTGGCCAAGTGGTACTTTTCTCAGTATCAAGCTTTCTCATAGCTAAGACACTTGAAACTTTCTTCAAAGTGGAACAAACCTTACAAAAGTGTCAGAATGTAGCAAGAGTTTCACTTGGTGTTACAGAGGTGCAAACTGAACCCTGTATAGGAGCCTTACTCACTGTTAGCACATTGGTAAGTTTCAGGCCACAATTTAAAATGCTTGAAGTACTGTCAATCCTACTTCTTTTTAATTCTTTGCAAGATGTTAAATATCTGTATCTTTTCCAGTCACAAAAGTAATGCATATTCATGATAAAAATTCAACTAATGCAGAAGCGTATGAAGTTAAAAGTAAACTGATTCCCAGAGATGATCTGGGTTATGTGTGTGTGTAGAGCTTACCAAGCACAACTAGGTAATGAGGAAGAATCCAGGTCTGGAGTTAGCTTTCCTGGGTTCATGCCTAATTTCCAACTCTCTGGACCGTCTCCACTTTTTCCTATGCAGAGGGATGGGAATAATAACTGAGTGGTTGTAGAGGATGAGGTAATATGTGTAAACATACTGTGTGTAAAATAGCATGATGCTTGAAAAATAGGAAGTATTCCATTAAAAAGTTACTCTCAAATATCTGTAATATATATGCTAGAAACTAAACTTGCATTATTCTCTATGTATTGTTCTCTAACTCGGTTGTCCATATTTTATGTCATAGATGTAATTCTATGCCTTGCATGTATTTCTACTTCATCTTTTATAATGGTTTCCAATCTCATTGTTTCCTTCCCCTTCCAAGTAGTTGTCTTTGTTAAGTTGAGCACTCTTCATAGAATCATTGATCATTTGTATTTCTTTGGTAAATAGCTGTCCTTTATTCTTTGCTCATGGGTAACTGGGGTATTTGTCTTTTTCTTAGTGATTTGTAAGAATCACTAGCAAAATAATTTTTGTATTAGGGATATTTACACATGTTATATAACTTTTGTTAAAAATATATGTTAACTTTATTTAGTCTTTTGTCATGTAGCAATTAGAAACTTTTTTATTGTCAGATGTATCATTGTTTTCTGTTATGCCTTCTGGTAACCTTTCACACTTGAGAGATTGTTTTTATATTTAGAGCCTTATTCTGGCTGGGATTTGTTTTTATGAATGATATGAAGTGTAGAGATTTAGCCTGAATTTTGTTAATGGTTAGGTAGTTATACCATAATTACTTATTCCTCATAGAATTTGAAACCTCTGTTTATACAAGAATTCATATATCCATATACCACATTCCTATTATCTACGTCTAGACTCTGTTTTGTCCCATTGGTATAGCTCTTAATTCCTGTATTGGAATCAGAACATTTTTATTATTGTAGTATTGGAATATATTTTGATATTTGATAGGGCAAGTACTTAATTCTCTTTTTACAAAAATATCCCACCGTTCTTATGCATTTATCTTTTCAAATGAACTATAAAATCAACTGTAAAACATAACTTTGTTATGTTCCTCAAAAATCCCAATAAGATTTTGATCACCAATATTAATTATATGCCAATTTGGATTGTATCTTCACAGATACTTTTAATTGAAGGTCTTGTACCTTTCCATTTATTCAGTTTTCCTTTTATATCTTTACATAATGTGTTATATTATTATTTGCATAGGTCTCACATTTCTGATCAAATTGATTCCTAAGAAATAGCTTAAGTTGTAGTTTAGTTATGAAAGAGATTTTAAAATTATGTTTTTTCTGGATATTGTTGATATTAAAGGAAACTACGTACTGATTAGTAAGAGTTTCTTTTCATTTCTCCTAGGTTCTCAATCACATTATCTATAATTGATGATAATTTTAACGATTTGTTTCGGGTATTGTCAGCTTATTTCCTTTCTTTATTGCTTTGGCTAGATTACCTAACCAAATCTGAGTACAAAATTGGGAGAGTAGGCATCCTTATTTCCTGACTTTAATGGATATGCTTCTAGTGTTTCCCTTGAGATTGTGTATACAAATGGTCAATGGCCAGATCGTATATGAAAATAGAACACTGAAAAATAACCTCTGCAGTTAGTCCAGAAGGCCAAACCACAACCTCTGCAGAAATTGGCCCAAATTGGTCAGGACTTTGTCAATAACTACTAGCTTCTCTGATTTTTGCCCATACTTCCAACTCAGGACCAACTATAGAAATAAAAAAAATGCTCCCCAAACCAGTAGCACAAATTGCTCTACTTCTAGTTAGGCCATCTACCTCCATGCTTCCTCCCCATGCCAACAACATCCAGTCAGTGCATACCTGACACCGTTCAGTCTTTTCGTGATAAAACTCTCCCACTCCCCTGCCTGCCTTTGAGTCTCCGTCAAATGTAAATGATGGCCAATTCTCTTGCTATAGCAAGCTCTGAGTAGCCTCTGCTTGTTCTCATTTGGGTTACCTTTGTTTATTTCTGCACACTTTAATGTTCATTGATGGGTTTTCTAATGATTCATTGGCAACAAATTTCTAGAATGAAGCCTTCTTTGGTCATGTTGTAATGTCAGTTATTCCACATGTTTCTTGAATACCTACTATGAGCCAGGGGCTGTGCAAGGCTAGGTGATGCAGTAATAGCCCAATTACTGCAATTATTTTTTAGCCCTTTATATTCCTGCCCCTGTGGAATTTATGGTATAATAGGAAGACTGATATTCATGAGATACGTGCACATGCTTGATTGTGGGGTAAAGGGAAAAAAGCTCCAGGAAACTGGAAAGGAATGTTCAGGGAGGAAACCCAGAAGAGTGAGGTGTCCAGCAAACCAAGGAACGGCAGTTTCCAAAAGGTCAGATATGTTTAGAGCCATCCGGAGATCAAGTGCAAGGAGGTAAAGAATGAATATTATGTTATTTTGCATTTAACCAGGTTTCCTTATTTATTTTCCTTTATGGCTATTTCTGCCAGCTTCATTTTTTACATTCATATTTAAGTGAGCATTTAGAAGTCCCCTTATAACTTGAATTGATTTCAGTGTGACTTCAAATTTTTTAGAGATTTGATATGTAAAAGCTGCACGTCAATTCTTCTTAATATTTATTTTCTCCACCAGAAAACTGAAAATGAAATGCGCTCCCTGCTGATTGTTGTCATTTACTTGACAGCACTGGTGTTGAATATCGAATACTGCTCTACACCTCCCGCAACATCAGCTAGAATGGACTCACTCTGAGTGGCAGCTGTTAATTAACTATTGCAGAAAGATGCCACTGAAGTAAAAGATTGTCATGGGATAATAGATGCCCTGCTGTATAGAAATGCTCAAATAACTTCTGCAAAATAAGATTTTAGCAAAGCAGATTTATTTTCAAGGTAGAATTTCTTGCTGCCATAACAATTTTCTCTCCCTTCTTATTTACTTATTTTTTAGCCTTCTATATTTCTGTAGTTGGGGGAGAGATTCAACTTCCTATGGGAAGCATTCCCGCTTTCCTTTCTTATTCTTTTCTGTTCCCAATCACACCTTTTTAAACATACCTGGGTGTTGTTGGTTTTTTGTTTGTTTGTTGCATTCCCACTTTAAACTTGCTAGATGATCTTATTTTCTTCCTTTTCCCCTTTTCTGTCATTTTAGTTACAGGAAAGCAGTCTTGCAAAATGGGTAATAGCACAGACCATGGAGCCACATGGTCTTGGGAAAGTTACTTAACCTCCTGAGTCTCAGTTTCGTCATCTGTGAAATGGAGTTGTTGAAGGGATATGCCTTAGATATGGTAAAGCACTTAGAATAATACCTGGCACATGGAAAGAACCATGTGGGTATTTGCTGTTATTACTTTTTCTTTACATTAGGTTATTCCAATGTCTGATTTTTAGCTTTAGAATATTGACTTATAAATGATATAGTTTGTTATCATACATCTTTATTGAAAATTTATGGAAATAATTTTATGTAGAGTTTTAACAGGTTTAGAGATAAATAATATTCATTTACCACAATCTGACTCATAAAGTATCAGAGTGGAAAGAAACCTCAGATATCACGTGGTGGTCGTTCTCCATCTTCAAATGAGGAAATTAAGCCTGCGTAAAAAGGTCACTCGGGCCGGGCGCGGTGGCTCACGCCTGTAATCCCAGCACTTTGGGAGGCCAAGGTGGGCGGATCATAAGGTCAGGAGATCAAGACCATCCTGGCTAACACGGTGAAACCCCGTCTCTACTAAAAATACAAAAAATTAGCCGGGTGTGGTGGCGGGCGCCTGTAGTCCCAGCTACTCCGGAGGCTGAGGCAGTAGAATGGCGTGAACCCGGGAGGCGGAGCTTGCAGTGAGCCGAGATTGCACCACTGCACTCCAGCCTGGGTGACAGAGCGAGACTCCATCTCAAAACAAAAAAAGGAAAAGAAAGAAAAAAAAGTCACTCAGGTGTGGTAGTGCTGAGACCAGGATGTATATCTCCAGGCGCCCAGTCCAGGGGGTTTTCTCTGTTACAATTTAAACAGTATAGTTTTCATCCCATTTTGACCAAAAATGAGCCGATTTATAAAATTTTTCCCACAAAACAATATGGTAAATATAGGGTGTCTCTAATATTTATTTGATAAATGTATTTGATAGATATTGGAGACATCCTATATTTATTGATATTATCAGTATCAAATTGGGTTCTGTAAGTTCCCGGTCCATCACCTGATGCTGACTCAGAAGTGCATCTCATTACTAGGAACAGTGGCTGAAGACTTCTTGGTAAAGACAACAGACTAGGTTAAAGAAATTATGTTCGCTACTTCCTTATATTAGTTTCCTTTTGACATATTAGAAAAGACACAAGCTTCTGGAGGTCAGAAGTCCAAAGTCAAGGTATTGTCAGGGCATCATTCCTTCTGGGGGCTTCTGTTTCCTTGCCTTGGAAAACCAAGCTGAATAGCCTCAGAGGCCCCCTGCATTCTTTGGCTTCTGGTCCCTTCCTTGCAACACTTCAACTTCTTGCTTCTGTCATACGTCTTGTAGTATTCAGCCTGGTCTCCTGCCTCCCTCTGATGAGGATCCTTGTGATTATAATGGTCCCACTTGGATATTACAGGAAAATGCCCCATCTCAAGATTCTTAGCTTAATCACATTTGCAAAGTCCCTTTTCCCATGTAAGATCATATTCACAGGGTCCAGGGATTAGGATGTGGATGTCTTTGGGTGGGGTGGGGGAGCATTATTCAGCATTCCACATTCTCAAAACATCATTTAAATGAGGATTGAGTCTTCTAAACTATTAATTCCAGGGAAAACAGAAAGTTGCCCAGGAAAGGATAATCATTATTTTCTACATTATTTACTTGGGAATAGTGTTTATACAGTCACAGCAATGTAGTCTCTGAATATCAATCTGACCAAAATTAAGAGATAACTATATGGGGGTGTGGGGGTGGAAACAGTATGCATATGAGGTGGGGATGGGGAAAGAGAGCTTCGTCTTCATATTCCATGGTAGGAAGTCAGTAGATAATGCCTAAAACTAAAAAAATCTTGAAGCAGCAGAGCAAATGTGTTATTTAAAGAGATGGAGGTAAATAAAATAAGTAAAATAAGTGAAACTTCACATGTTCTCACTTATTTTTGGGAGCTAAAAATTAAAACAATTGAAATCATGGAGATAGGATGGAATGATCTTATTCCCAGAGACTGGGAAGGGTAGTGGGAGGTAGGACTAAAGTGGGGATGGTTAACAGGTACAAAAAAAAGAGAAGGAATGCATAAGATCTGGTATTTGCTAGCACAACAGGGTGACTATAGTCAGTACTAATTAAATTGTATATTTAAAAAGAACTAAGAGTATAATTAGATTAGTTGTAACACAAAGGATAAATGCTTGAGGTGATGGCTATACCATTTACCCTGATGTGATTATTATACATCAGATGCCTGCACCAAAATATCTCATGTACCTTATAAATATATACACCTTACACCTATTATGTACCCACAAAAATTAAAAAATTAAAAAAATCTGAACAACACAATAAACTATTTAAAGCTCTCAGTGAACTGAATTTTTTTAAAAAAGGAATTGAAAGTACTTGTCTGCAGAGAGAGGAAGGTAACCTGGGACTGCTGTAAGACTTCTGACTCTGAACAAACAGATTGAAAGAAAGGGAAAAGGGAGTGAAAATGTATGGAGTCAAGAAAGTAACTTGAATTTTGACAACTGGAGACTGCTAATCTAAAAGATTTAAAAAACACAACAACTTCCAGTCATTTTGTTGCTTAGGACTCTTACCTGCTCATATTAGAAACTTAACTCACCATAGCCAAGTGAAAAGGAGAATATCTTCATTTAGGCAAGAACTATTTTTATGTCCCAGGTACATCTGGAACTGAGGGCCCAAACTTGACACCTGAAGCCCCTTGCCCCAAGTTTCTCCTCTCTGGCCATAGCTTGCTTTTTTATATACTTGTCGTAACCCAGCTTCTGGCTCCCCTGTCCTTGAAATAAGACACCATCACTGCTGCTCCCAGCTTTCAAATGTTAAAATGTGTTTCTCAGAAGGATGCCATTTTCTCCTTCCTAGACCCTTTTCTGAAGTGCCAAGGGAAGGAAACAGCTGGCTGTGGCCTGGGAGCCAGTGCCCTCGTGCAGACTGGCTGCTGCACAGTAACTAGGTGGTACCTGTGTTACCAGAAAGGGGTCCTGATCCAGCCCCCAAAAGAGGGTTCTTGGATCTCATGCAAAAAAGAATTCAGGGTGATTCCACAGTGCAAAGTGAAAGCAAATATATTAAGTAAAGTGGTGAAAGAATAGCTACTTCATAGGCGAAGTAGGACATTCCCAAAAGTAAGAGGAGGAACGCACCCACCCTAGGTACAATGCTTGTTTATATATAGCACAACAACAACAAAAAAAATCATAGGGTCATGTGCTCTACTACAAGGGTTTGTGATAAAGGATTAATTTTCTTAATTATTTTGCAAAAATCAATATTATCTTTAAAGCAAAATTAGGAATGCTTTTGTTCTTTTTTTTTTTTTTTTTTTTTGAGACGGAGTCTCGCTCTGTCGCCCAGGCTGGAGTGCAGTGGCGGGATCTCGGCTCACTGCAAGCTCCGCCTCCCGGGTTCACGCCATTCTCCTGCCTCAGCCTCCCAAGTAGCTGGGACTACAGGCGCCCGCCACTACGCCCGGCTAATTTTTTGTATTTTTAGTAGAGACGGGGTTTCACCGTTTTAGCCGGGATGGTCTCGATCTCCTGACCTCGTGATCCGCCCGCCTCGGCCTCCCAAAGTGCTGGGATTACAGGCGTGAGCCACCGCGCCCGGCCAGGAATGCTTTTGTTCTTAAGACAGTGGGATATCAGGACATTCCTAAGTCTAGGTCTGTTTAGTAAATGTTATTAATCTGTTCCTTTAACTGTAAATATCTAAAGGCTAAGGATGCCTAACCTCCTGGGAATGCAGCCCAGTAGATTTCAGCCTTACCCTATTCAAGATGGAGTCAGTCTGGTTCAAACACCTCTGACACCTGAACTTCACTGTTTCTCTGCCTCGGCATTGTTAATGATATTAAGGGTTTGTATTTTTAGAACAAGACACTGCAGTTTAAATTAAAACATGTTAAATATGTTAAAAATGTGGTAATATGTCTCTTATACATAGCTGACCCCTGAACAATGTGGGGGTTAGGTGTGTCAGCCCCAACATGGTAAAAAGCCTCCATGTAACTTTTGACAACCCAAAAACCTAACTACTAATAGCCTACTGTTGACTGGAAGCCTTACTGATAACATAAAACTATTTATTAACATACATTTTGTATGTTTTATGTATTATACACTGATACAGTTTGGCTGTGTCCCTATCCACATCTCATCTTGAACTGTAGCTCCCATAATCCCCACATGTCATGGGAGGGACCTGGTGGAAGGTAATTGAATCATGGGGACAGTTATCTCCAGGCTGTTCTCATGATAGTGAGTTCTCATGAGATCTGATGGTTTTATAAGAGGCCTTACCCCCTTCACTCTGCACTTCTCCTTGCCACTGCCATGTGAAGAAGGACGTGTTTGCTTCCCCTTCCACCATGATTGTACATTTCCTGAGGCCTCCCCAGCCCTGTGAAACTATGAGTGAATTAAACCTCTTTCCTTTATAAATTACCCAGTCTTGGGTATGTCTTTATTAGCAGTGTGAGAATGGACTAATACATATGCTATATTCTTAAAATAAAACTATAGAATATTATACAATAAAACTAGAGAAAAAAATGTTATTAAGAAAATCATAAGGAAGAGAAGATATATTTGTTAAGTAGAAGTGGATCACCGTAAAGGTCTTCATTTTTATTTTCACATTGAGTAGACTGAGGAGGACAGGGAAGAGGAGAGGTTGGTTTTGCTATCTCAGGAGTGGCAGAGGCAGAAGAAAATTGCATTCAAGTGGATATAGTTCAAACCCATGTTGTTCAGGGGTCAACTGTATTCTTCAGTGGAAAAAAAAAGTAAGCTATAGAATATATCCCATGTGTAATATATCTGTGTATTTACAAATATCTCATATACTTAGAATCTATAGCAAACTTACATATAATACATTTTGAGGAAATGGGATGTCCATGAACTTCTCATTGTCTGTATGATACTTTTTTTTTTTTTTTTTTTTTTTGATACGGAGTCTCGCTCTGTCACCCAGGCTGGAGCGCAGTGGTGCAATCTTGGCTCACTGCAAGCTCCGCCTCCCAGGTTCACGTCATTCTCCTGCCTCAGCTTCCCGAGTAGCTGGGACTACAGGCGCCCGCCACCACGCCTGGCTAATTTTTTGTATTTTTAGTAGAGACAAGGTTTCATCGTGTTAGCCAGGATGGTCTTGATCTCCTGACCTCTCGATCCGCCTGCCTTGGCCTCCCAAAGCACTGAGATTACAGGCGTGAGCCACCATGCCTGGTCTGTATGATACTTTTATATACAAATATACACATTGGTATTATTTGAATTTTTACAGAGTATGATAAGGAAAAATGAAAAATAGGAATTTGTCTATAATGAATATATATTGCTTTTATAGTAAGAAACCAATGGGAGAAATTGTTGCCATATTGTATTGCCTACAGGATAAAATCTAGTGTCTCCTGTCCTTTAGGAGTTTTAGGAATCTGCATGCCACGTCTCTCTACTCTTCTGCCCTACCTGTCTCTGCTGTTTTTCACAGGCCCTAGCTTCTAGCCTTCCCACAATTGCCTGAATACAGCATGTTCAAATCCCACCTGCAAGTCTTTCTCATTGTTTACTGACCAAGCCTGTCTTGCCTTTCTTCCTCCATTCTACCTGTCCAAATCCAGATGATCTGCAAAGTCCACTTCAAGTCTCTCCTTCCCCACAATAACTT
Organism: Homo sapiens; assembly: GCF_000001405.40. NCBI lineage: Eukaryota > Metazoa > Chordata > Mammalia > Primates > Hominidae > Homo > Homo sapiens. The sequence goes on along the minus strand of NC_000003.12, from coordinate 41,479,486 downwards.
TCCCTGCCTTCCCGTTGATCATCATCTTCTCCGACCAACAGCACCAACTGGTGCTTTATCCTGTGATCCAGTTCATATTCCAATATATTTATATGGGCTGTGAAGGGAAGGGACTATTCCTTACTTTTTTTGTAATTCCTTCAGTCTGGCATTGTAAAATTTACATTATAAATGCTTAGCGTATTGCAAATGAACCAGTGAGTGAAAGAGTGATGCTGATTTTCTCCCGAATGTTTACTTACCATCTCAGAAGTAGATGACAGGGGAGGAAAAAGGAGAAGGGCTGAAGATTTTCTGAGGTGTAGGGCTCTAAAGGTTGTTCTCCAGTTCATTGCCCAGCTTGCAAAAATCCCTTATAATTCAGCAAGTGCTGAATTAAAGTTGGAATTGAATTGATAAAGCTTTCAGGTTTTTGGGGATAGACCCCAGGCTGTGCTGCTGATGAGGGATCACCCCCACCCCAAGAGGATTTTCTTCTCTGCATCTCCACTCTATTCTCTTCCCAGCACTTTCCTGGGCATTGGAATATATGATCAATCATTCTTTAACCATCTTATTACCTGGACGTAATTGGAAAGTAAGTTTATGTAACGTTGAGCTAAGAATAGAATTTAGTTTTTGAATTAGTCATAAGTAACATTGTATCTTAAGTTTTGAGTATGAAATTACCAGCCACTCCTACTTTCTGTATTCTCACAAAAATCCTTCCAGGCATATTTGCTTAAATTAATCCTAAGCCACTTGAGCTATGAGTAGTCAAAATGAGTGTATCTTCAGTGCAGAAATCCCTCAAGGGTTAAACTTCTCCTTTCAGGGATTTTATAATTGAGTTTATCCCATCCGAAACTTTTCACTCTCAAGTATGTAACTTGGACTTCTTTTTGGCCATGCAGCAAAAATTCAGGATTTCTGCCTAAACCAGAAAAGGGCATGGCACTCACTTGGGACAGGCTACCAGAATAAATTATATGCTTGGAATAATTCAACACAGTAATCTTTGCTAATCATAGGAGGATCCAGAGACCACTGTGGGCTCAGAAGGGAGCTGGGCTGGTTTAAGATACTCTAATATGCAAAATTTTCTTAGGAAAGTAATTCAAAATGAATGTACTGAATACAGAGACTTTCCAGATTTTTGAAAGAAAACATTTTGTTGAAACATTAGCTTCTGTCTTATTTGAGAAGTCTCAGCATGTGATTCATCAGGTTCTTTCGGATTATAGGATTTGATGGGGTACTTTACTTCAGCAAAGCCCAGAATTGTGAATTAGCTCATCATACTCATTGAGCTAAATGTGTTTGATGTCCTTCCCCTGACTAGAGAAGGTTAAACTCCCATGGGCCCTGGAGCTTAGACCCATGGATGAGGGTGAGGATTTCAGGTAAAGAAGCCAAACTGAAAGCTCTAGGCCAAAGGGACTGCAGAGTTGGGAGTACAAATGCAGGAGGAGGAGTAGAGCTGGGTTTGAAAGGCATTGGCCTGGTGACAAGCACAATGTAGACACCTATGTGGTCTTGTATTAGCACTTATGCCAACCTAGGTGAGCATGTTAGACCCATGCTTAACAGGGCTAAAATAGCATAGGCAAATCTTACACTGAGATGATTCAGAAATGTTTAACCTCATAGATGTTTGGTCACATTGTCATGTGGGGCCATGCCGTATGTGAGTGGTTGCTTGTTAACCTTTGGCCAGAAGAGGCTGCATGCCCTTGGTGCTCCATGGCTCCATGGCGACCCCACAGTTCACAGATACTTACATTTATAACCTGTCAGTATGTCCAAGACAGGCATTGCCACTTTCACTGTCAAAGTTCTTCAGTTTAAAAACAGACTTTTTAACTTAACTGATTTAATGTGACTTCTGGTTTTAGTGGTTAATCATTGATCAGTTTGGGAAAGAATTATGTCCCCACATTGAATTTCACAAATGCTTTTATACTTCTTTTCCAGATTGTGTGTTTAGGTTGATTTTAACAAACCCTAGTGTAAGTGACCACATGTTTGCATGATGTAAATGTAAAATTAGCCAGAAGAAAGCCTCTATGCAGGAAGGTTACCTTTGATTTAGAGTGTTGTATTTTCAAATCATTAAAAATGAGATATAAAGCACTTTCTAAAGCTTGGAAATTCAAAGTATATTCTTATATTAGCTCTCTAACAGATTGTGAAAAACTAATAACAAGAACACAATGATTGGAGTTGGGAACAGTTCATGTATATTAATATTCTCAGAACATTAAACACTTGAAAATAACTTACGGAGAGACTCCTTTAGGGGTTTGCTTATAATTCATACAAAATAAATCTTGGATTTTTTAGGAGTTGGTTATAATTAATGCAAAATAATTCTTGGGTTCTTTGAATTAATGAATGTTGGCTTCTTTTAGAGATGTTGGGATGGAATATTAAGAAATTGTTGTGGTAGCATTTGACCAGAGGACTGGGAAGTACTAGCACACTATCCCAGATGCATCCCAACAGCATCTCTGAGAGAGATAACAGGCATGCAAAGCACGGAAGCCCTTTTCATTATGCTGAGGTACACGTTTCTCTATTTCCTATACCTACCTACTAGTCTGGAGACAAAGGTGGCTTTGACTTTCCCTGTATATTTATCTCAGTGTTTAAACTTCAGTCTCGGATGTTAATATTTTCATGTAAGAAAGCTTCCCTCACTCTTTCAAGTAGATGTGTATCAGCTAGAACCAGTAGAAGAGGCAAGAGTCATAAAAATAATAATAATTAAAAAAAGGGCTATGCATTTGCCCAGTAGTCCAAAGCAGAGCTGATCTAAGCCACAGGTAACTACTACACCTTAGACTGAGTCTAGATGAGAGAGAGGGAGAGAAAAGAGAGGAAAAAATAAAAAAAAAAGGAATGGCTTAATGTTTCCCAGGGGTCAGGCCTCTGGCTATGCCATATTGTTACAAGCCTTCTTCGTGGAAGATGAAGACAGAAAGAGCCACACACCCATCTCCACTGACATTTTGATCTCTTGGAAAGTCTTAACTCTGGAGAACACAGCCTTGGCAATATCCTTGAACTTCCCTGCATCTCTTTGGAGGTGGAATATCTTGTCTTGATCATGGCTGTCTGTGGAGAAGAATAAAAGTAGGGAGATAGGGGAGTGTTAATTTTTCTCCCCTCCATACCAAAAGTTTCTACCTTGACTTGCTTTGTTTCTTTTTAGATTTATTTCTTCACTTAGTAAAATGCATCATGTATTAGCCTGTTTACAGAGCTTCACCAACATTAGTAGTCTAATTTTCAATTCCCACTAGGTAAGGTGGGAGACTAACAGCGGTTGCTCCCTCTCTCTTTGTACCCTTAGGGGTTATGGACCACTGGTGGTGTCAGCCCTATGCAAACCCAGGTTTAAGCCTTCCTGCTTGCCCTCCCTCCCTCCTCCTTTCCCTCCCTCCCTCCCTTCCTTCCTTTTTCCCTCCTCTCCTGCCCTCCCATGCCTCCCTCCCTTTTTCCCTCCTTCTCTCCTGCCCTCCCATGCCTCCCTCCCTCTTTCCCTCCATCCTTTCCTCCCTTCTCCCTCCTTCCTTCGCTCCTTCCCTCACTCCTTCCCTTCCTCTTTTCTTCCCTCCTTCTCTCCTCCCTTCCTGTTTCCTAACTTCTTCTTTGGGCAAATTCTGAAACAGTAGGGAAGCAAATATGTCTACACTTACATGGTATGTGGGAAAATGCAACATGGAAGATCTGGTAGCTTGAAGTCTGACTTCAGTCCACAGTACCTAGTAAATTTTACTAATGATAGTTATCAGTGGCCTGGAAATTGTCAAATCAGTGAACTTTTCTCAGGTTTTGAATTGTCTCAGTTTAACGTTCTTTTTTTAATTTTTATTTTTTAAATTGTAACTGACAAATTATAGTTGTATATTTATGGGGTACAAAGTGATATTGTAATTTATGAATATAATGTGGAATAATTAAATCAAGCAGTTAAAATGTTCATGATCTCAAATACTTATTTTTTTGTGGTGAGAATGTTTGAAATGTATACTCTTAGTGATTTTGAAGTATACATTATTACTATATTCACCATGCTGTGCATTATATGTCAAAGAAAAAAATCTTATTTCTTCTGTCTAATTGAGATTTTGTACCTTTTGACCATCATCTCCACATTCTGCCCACCTTCTCAGTCTCTGGTATCCACCATTCTACTCTCTGCTTCTTTGTATTTTATTGTTTTAGATGTTATGTATATGAGAACATGTGGTATTTGTCTTCCCGTGTCTGGTTTATTTCACATAGCATAATGCTTTCCACGTCCATCCATGTTGTCACAAATGACAGAATTTTTTCTTTTTTAAGGCTGAATAAAATTCCATTGCGTGTATGTACCACATTTTCTTTATCCTTTTATCTGCTGATGGACACCTAGATTGAGTCTATAACTTGTCTACTGTGAATAGTGCTTCAATGCACATGAGAGTGCAGATATCTCTTCAATGTGTTGATTTCAAATCTTATGGGTAAATACCCAGAAGTGGGATTTCTGGATCATATGGTAATTCTGTTTTTAATTTTTTAAAGGAGCCTCCGTATACTTTTCCATAATAGTCATACTAATTTACATTTCACCAACAGTGTACAGGAGTTCCCTTTCCTCCACATTGTTGCCAATGTTTGTTTTCTTTTTTTTTTTTTAATAATAATCATTCTGACAGATGTAAGGTGATATCTCCTTGTGGTTTTAATTTTTATTTCCCTGGTGATGAGCATCTTTTCATGTATCTCGTGGCCATTTGTATGTCTTCTTTTGAGAAATGTCTATTCAAGTTCCTTGTTCGTTTTTAAATCAGAATGTTTTTCTGTAGTGTTGTTGAGTTCCATATATATTTTGTATATTAACCCCTTATCATATGTATGGCTTGCACATATTTTCTCTCAGTCTGTAGCTTGTCTCTTTACTCTGTTATTTTGCAGAGTGTGTTGTGCAGAAACTTTATATTTGGATGTATCTGTCTGTTTTTGCTTTTGTTGCCTGCACTTTTGAGGTCAAATCTAAAAAGTTACTGCCCAGAATAGTGTCTTGTGTTTTTTCCCCTCTGTGTTTTCTTCTAGTGGTTTTTCAGTGTCAGGTCTTATGTCTGAGTCTTTAATCCATTTTGAACTGATTTTTGTATGTAGGGTGAGGATAAGGGTCCAGTTTTAGTCTTCTACATATGGATGTCTGATTTACCTAGCACCATTTACTGAAGAGACAGTCGTTTCCCTATTATATGTTCTTGATACCTTTGTCAAGAGTCAATTGGCTACACATGTGTTTCATTTCTGGGCTCTCTATTCTTTTCTACTGGTCAATGTGTCTATTTTTATGCCAGTACCATGCTTTTTAAGTTACTATTGCTTTGTAGTATAGTTTGAAATCAGGAAGTGTGACGTCTCTAGCTTCGTTCTTTTTGTTCAATATTGCCTTGGCCATTTGAGGGCTCCATATGAATTTATTTTGTGGTTCCATTTGAATTTTACAATTGTTTTGCCTATTTTTATGAAAAATGCTATTGAAATTTTATTAGGGATTGCTGCATTGAATCTGTAGATTGCTTTAGGCAGAACGGACATTTTAACAATATTAATTCCTCCAATCCATGAACATGGGATATCTTTCCATTTATCCATGTCTTTGTTAATTTCTTTTCTTTTTCTTTTTAATTTTCTATAGTTTTCAGGGTACAGTTATTTCACCATCTTAAATTTATTCATAAGTATTTTTTTACAACTATTGTAAATGACTTTTTTTTCAGAAAGTTTGTTAAATTTAACTGTATTTATTAGTTCTTCTTTTTTTTTTTTTTTTTTTCTTTGAGACAGAATCTCATTCTGTTGCCCAGCCTGGAGTGCCGTGGTGCGATCTCAGCTCACTGCAACCTCCGCCTACCAGGTTCAAGCGATGCTCCCACCTCAGCCTCCTGTGTAGCTGGGATTACAGGCATGTTCCACCATGCCCGGCTAATTTTTGTATTTTTAGTAGAAATGGGATTTCACCATGTTGGCCAGGCTGGTCTTGAACTCCTGACTGCAAGTGATCCTCCTGCCTTGGCCTCCCAAAGTGCTGGGTTTACAGGCGTGAGCCACTGTGCCCAGCCTATATTTACTAGTTCTAGCAGTTTTATATGGTGGAATCTTTAGCGTTTTCCACATACAAGATCATATTGTTGACAAACAGCAACAATTCTACTTTTTCCTTTATGGATGCCTTTTCTTTTTTTCTCTTGCCTAATTACTCTGGTAAAGTCTTCTAATACTGTGTTCAATATAAGTGGCAAGAGTGGGCATCCTTGTGTTCCTCTGGATCTTAGAGGAAAATGTTTTATTTTTTCATCATTGAATGTAATGTTACCTATGCTTATCATCTATGTCCTTTATTATGTTGAGGTACATTGATTTGTTGAGAGTTTTTAATCATGAAAAGATGTTGAATTTTGTCAAATTATTTCTATGCATCTATTGATTATATAATTTTTTTCCTTCATTCTTATGTGATATTGATTTGCATATGTTGAACCATCCTTGCATGCCAGAGATAAATCTCATTTGATCATAGTGAATGAACCTCTTAATATATTGTGGAATTCAGTTTATTAGCATTTTATTGAGTATTTTTACATCTGTATTTATCAAAGACAGTGGCCTTTAGTTTTTTATTCTTGTGATATCCTTGTCTGGCTTTGGTATGAGGGTAATGCTGGGCTCATAAAAAGAATTTGAAACTATTATTTCCCCTTCGATTTTTTGGAAGAGTTTGTGAAGGATTGGTATTAGTTTTTCTTTAAAAGTTTGGTAGAATTCAACAGTGAAGCCATTAGGTCCTGGGCTTTTCTTTGACGGAAGACTTTTTACTATTTATTCAATCTTCTTGTTGATCTGTTCAGATTTTCTTTTTTTTTTTTTTCTTTTTTTTGACAGTCCCACTCTGTCACCCAGGCTGGAGTGCAGTGGTGTGATCTCTGCTCACCGCAACCTCCACCTCCTGGGCTCAAGTGATTCTCTTGCCTCAGCCTCCTAAGTAGCTGGCATTACAGGCATGCACCACCACACCTGGCTAATTTTTGTATTTTTATTAGAGATGGGGTTTCATCATATTGGCCAGGCTGGTTTTGAACTCCTGACCTCAGGTCATCTGCCTGCCTTGGCCTCCCAAAGTCCTGGGATTACAGGCATGAGCCACCATGCCCAGCCCAGATTTTCTTTTTCTTTATGATTTAGTCTTAGTAGGTTATATGTGTTTAGGAATACATCCTTTCTTCTCGGTTATTCAATTTTTTTTGACATTTAGTTGTTTACAATAGCTCTTATGATTCTTTGTATTTCTGTTTAATTTCTTCTCTTTCATTTCTGATTTTATTTATTTGAGTCATCTCTTTTTTTTCTTAGTCTAAAGATTTCTCAATTTTTATTTTTTCAAAAATACAAGTTTTAGTTTATTTTAGTATTGCTTTTCTAGTTCTATTTCATTGTTTTCTGCTCTGATATTTTTAATTTTTCTGCTAAAATTGAGCTTAGCTTATTCTTCATTTTGTTTTTTTTTTTTGAGATATAACATTAAGTTGTTTATTTGAGACCTTTCTTTTTGATGTAGGTACTTATTGTAATAAACTTTTTTCTCAGAACTGCTTTTGCTGTATCCTGTAAGTTTTAGAATTTTGTATCTCCATTTTCATTTGTCTCAATTTTTTTAAATTTTCCTTTTAATTTCTTTATTAACTCATTGGTTGTTCAGGAACATGTTGTTTTTCATGTATTTGTCAATTTTCCAAAATTACTCCTGTTGTTGATTTTTTAGTTTCATACCATCCTATTTGGTAAAGGTACTTGTTATTATTTCAGTCTTCTTAAATTTGTGAATACTTGTGAAGACATGTCAAGACTTGTCCTCACGTATAATCTATCCTGAAGAATGTTCCATGTGTGCTTGAGAAGATTGTATATTTTGTTGCTGTTAGGTGGAATGTTCTGCATATGTCTGTTAGTTCATTGGTCTAAAGTGTTGTTCAAGACCAGTGTTTTCTTATTAATTTCTGTCTGGATGATTTTTCCATTGCTATAAGTGGGATAAGTCCCATACTATTCTTGTATTGCAGTCTATCTCTCCATTTAGATCCTTTAGTATTTGCTTTATATAATTTTGGTGCTCTGATGTTGGGTGCATATATATTTACAGTTGTTATATCCTCTTGTTGAACTGACCCTTTTATCATTATATAACTTCTTTCTTTATTGCTTTCTGTAGTTTTGGTTTAAAGTCTGTTTTGTTTTATATAAATAGAAGTCTCTCTGCCCTCTTTTGGTTTCCCTTTGCGTGGAATATCTTTTTCCATTCCTTCACTTTCAGTTTGTGTGTGTCCTTAAAAGTGAGGTGAGTATCTTGTAGGCGGCTTATAGTTGGGTCTAGTTTTGTGGTTTTTTGTTCTGTTGTTTGTTTGTTTAATTCATTCAATTACTCTATGTCTTTTTGTTGGAGAATTTAATCTGTTTACATTCAAGGTAATTATCAATAGGTAAGGACTTCTGTCATTTTATTATTTTCTGGTTGTTTTGCTTCTTTCTTCCTCTCTTGTCTTCCTTTGCAGTTTGATGGTTTTCTATAGTGATATGCTTTGAATCTTTCCTGTTTTTGTTTTGTGTGTCTACTATACATTTTTATTTTGTGATTACCATGAGACTTACATAGAACATCTTATAACAGTCTGTTTCAAGCTGCTAACTTCTTAACTTTGCATACAGCTTTACAGTTTTATTGCCCTTCATTTTATGTTTTTGATATCAGAATTTACATCATTTTGTAATATGCATTTATTAACAGTTTATTTTAGCTGTAGTCATTATTATTAGTTTTTTCCTTGGAACCCTCACACTAGGAGTAAAACCACTTTACATGCCGCAATTAGAGTTCTAAGGTATCCTGAATATGGCTTTGTATTACTTATACCATTGAGTTTTGTGATTTTGTGTGTTTTATGTTATTAGTGGTTTTTTGTTTAACTTAACTCTCTTTAGCCAATCATGTAAGGCAAGCCTAGTGGTGATGAATTCCGTTAGCATTTGTTTGTCTGGGAAAGTTTTTCTTTTTCATTTTGGAAAGACAATTTTATTGGGTAAAATATTCTTGTTTGGCAGCATTTTTTCCTTCAGCCCTTTGAATAAATCATCCCACTCTCTCTTGCCCTGCAGGAATTCTGTTAAGAAATCTACTGACATTGTATTGGGACTCCCTTGGATGTAATGTGTTTCTTGTTGCTGTCAGCATATTAGCATATTTTCTTCATCTTTGATTTTTCATAATTTGATTATGTGTCCTGGTGAACTCTTCTTTTGGTTTACTTTGATTGGAGACCTCTGTGCTTCCTCTACCTGAATGTTGGCATCTATCCCTAAATTAAAAGAAGTTTTCAGCCATTAGTTCCTTTAAAAATACTTTGTTTTTTTTTTTTTTTTTTTTTTTTTTTTCTGTTCTGTTTCTTCTTGAATTCCTCTTATGCATAGGTTAGGTCTCTTAATGGTATTCCATAATCCTTATAGGCTTTTGTCACTCTTATTTATTTACTTATTTATTTATTTGCAGCTCTGATTGGATAATTTCAGATGTTCTATCTTCAAGTTCACTGATTCTTCAGTGTGAGGGAGCCTATGTTGAAGCTTCCTGTTTGTATTTTTCAGTTCAGTATTGTCTCTAGTATTTCTGTTTATAAAATTTGACCCTTTCTTTAGGGTCTATTGTTGGAGCTTTCTTAGTTTCTTTTGGATATATCATGATTTCCTGATTCTTTGTAATTCTTGTGTTCTTGCATTGGTGTTTGTGCAGTTGAGGAGATAGCCATCTTTTTAGGCTTTTAAGGTGTTTTTTTTTTTTTTTTTTTTTTTTTGGCAGGTGTAGGCCTTCACTCTTTCATTTAGCTTTTATTGTAGATGGGCCGGCTTTGATGGCCATGGGCAGGCAGAGCTTGCTTTGGGCTCTCTAGATGGCTGGGCTGCTGCCTTTGCTCTCAATTTTGATGAGGCAGCTGGCTGGGCTCTTCTATCCAGTGAGACCACTGGTTGATCTCTGGAAATACAGTTGGCCCATCATTGGGCTGGGCCACAGGAGTATATTCTTTGGCCAGATAGTTTTACTATTTGAGTTCAGTAGTTGAACAGGGTTGCAGGAGGGGCTGTGATCAGGATGCTAATTGGAATGGCTGGGAGCAGCTGCTATGTTCATTAGAAATTCACAGTTGAGATTTGTCTCTCTGTCTAGGCAGGCTCTTGAGGTGAGCTTTGAAGCTTGACTGAGTGCTGTTTAAACTCCTGGGTGTGATAGATAGAGCCTCTGCTCTTTGTGGAAATTTGCTGTGATGATCGTCTTGCTCCCTGGATGTGAGGCTTTGGGGCAAGGTATGAGGCTGGTCCTGGAGGCTGACTGTGTAGAGATTTAAGCTAGGTAGAACTTTTGATCACTTCTGGAGTGACTAGCTCAGCTTTTCAAGTTGGATGGGCTATTAGCTGGTACCACTGATTGGGCACTACTGCTGACAGGTACACAAAGCTAACACCATATCTATGTCCTGATGGCTTTCTACTACACCTCCTTTCTTTGTTTCTGCCTAATCCCAGTTGGTCTAGTGGTAGCATTTTCCCTTGTGTTCCCCATGATGTAAGATAGGAGTGGGCTTTCTGGAAAGTGCCACAAGATGCTAGAGAAGATGGTTGTCCACCTCTGGTTCTCTTCCCTCTGTAGAAACCCCAGTTCCTGGAGAATCCTCTCTTTGTGGCACTATGCTAACCTCTGGGAGGTGGAAAGGTAGTATAGTCAAAATAAGACCCTTTTATCTTACCCTTTTCATGTGGAAAAGTTCCATAAACCACACAGGTGACTCAGGCTTATTCCCAATTTTGGAGGATTTCATCAGAGTGTTCATATCTGTGGATAGTTGCTGATAGAACTTTCTGTGGAACGTGCGGAAACCTAAGACCTCCTATTCTTCTATAGGAGGTCTATAGACTCCAACTAGACATTCTTGACACCCATTTTCTTTTTAATTCTAGTTATTCCTTGATATCCATTACTTTACATTGTCGTGATTCCTACTGTATTATATTAGCACCTTTGCCTCCATTTCCTCTGTAAATCCTTGCCCCTGTTTGGGACTTACTCGACCCTCAGTCTTTGACTCTGTTTCTCTCTAAATTTGACTGTCCTTTGGGAAATTTTCTGTTCTCTCTGATCATCTTTTGCTTCTTTTTTGTTGTTGTTGTCTTTTAGTTTTAACTGTTACCTAGTTTTTAGGGCTTAATCTCCCTTGAACGTTGGCACTTTGAATGTCCCTTTGTTGTATCAAACTCAGCATATCTTAAAAGTTAACTTAAAATTACCTAGAAACTCACTTCCCCATTTCTTCTAGTGAGAGTATAGTGCCAGGAAAAGAGCAAGTGCTCAGTAAATTCTGCTATTAACCCAGTGAAGACAGCACATACTGCTTTATTTATCTTCCTGAAGCATTTCTCTAGTTTGTCCCAACCTGTTTTTTCTTAACTCTGCATTTTTAAATTTAAGTATATTTTATATGCAGTAAAAGGTACAAATCTTATATTTAGTTTTGAAAAATGCATGCACTGCTATAACCAACACCCCATCAAAGTATAGAACATTTCTGTCACCCTAGAAAGTTCCATCTTCCCCTCTCCTAGAAATAACTTCTGTTCTGACCCCAATCAATAGAGACAAGTTTTCTTTAGAACCTTAAATAAATGTGTTCATACAACTTATTTCATAGAATTCTTTAATTTTTGCAATCTGTCTGTCAGCATTTTTTTTGAGATTCATCTATGTTCTTGTAAAGTTCAGTGTTTGATATTTTTAGTTGCTAAGTGATATTCCACTATATGATTATATCTTAATTTGTTTAGTCTCCTGTTGATGGACACCTGGGCTATTTCTAGTTTGGGGCTTTTTTTGTTTGTTTGTAACAGAGTCGTGCTCTATCACCCAGGCAGGAGTGCAGTGGCACAATCTCAGCTCACTACAACTTCTGCCTCCTGGGTTCAAACGATTCTCCTGCCTCAGCCTCCTGAGTCGCTGGGATTATAGTGTGTGCCACCATGCCCAGCTAATTTTTTGTACTTTTAGTAGAGATGGGTTTTCACCATGTTGGTCAGGCTGGTCTCGAATTCCTGCCTCAAGTGATCTGCCCACCTCGGCCTCCCAAAGTGCTGGAATTACAGGTGTGAGCCACGGTGCCTGGCCGCAGTTTGGAGCTATTTTGAATAAAGCTCTAATTAATCTTTATGTGGACATATGTGTTCATTTTACTTGGATAAATACCTTGGAGTAAGATTTCTGGATAATATGGTAAATGTATATTTAGATTTATTTAAAAATGCCAACTGTTTTTCATCAGTAATATATGTGAGTCCTGGTTGCTGCACATCATTACTAACATTTTGTGTTAGTTTTTTAGATTATAATTATTTATATGTATGTATGGTGATATCCCATTGTGATTTTAATCTGCATTTCCCTGATGATAGTGATATTGAACACTTTTCATATACTTATTGACTGTTATACCTTTTGTGAACTGGCTATTCACATATTTTACCCATTTTTAAAAATTGTATTATTTGTACTTTTATTATCGAGTTGTGGGAATTGTTTGTATATTCTGGATACAGGTTTTTGGACACACACATGCACATATACACACACATATATACACACATACATATATACATGTAGAAAAAGAGAAGAATATTTTTTCCTATTCTTTGGCTTCCTTATTTATTATTTTTTAATAATATCTTTTGATTTGCAAAAGCTTTACTTTTTAATGAAGTCTAATTTATCCATTTTTTAAAGACCAGGTATTTTGGGATCCTAAGAAATCTTGCCTACCTAGTTGCAAAATCTTCTCTTACATTTTCTCCTAGAACCTTTTTAATTTTAGCATGTATGTTTAGATCTATCATTCATCTGAAATTAGTGTTTGTATGTTGTGTGAGGTAATGGTCAAGGATCTCTCTTTTCCCCCCATTTGGATACTCAGTTTTTCCTTACCCTTTTGTTGAAAAGGATTTTTTTCTGAAGAGTTCCTGACTGTGTAATTGTGGGTCTGTTTCTGGAGTCTGGCATTAGAAATATCTGTATGAACTCATTTTTCTTAAAGAGACAGATACTTACTATCTCCGTTTACTGAATCAGTGACTCAGTAGCAATGAACACCCCGAATGCTCAGACCATGGACTCTAAGTACACATTCTCATTGAATGAAACCAGGGCTCCTTGGAGAAGTGTCTAATGCCCAGTCAGAAGCAGGAATTCTATAATATGAACTCAGTGCACATTATTATAGCAGAAGCAAGGATACTTTCAAGGAGCTCTTAGTGGCCAAAGATAGGACATATTGAGCATACAAATGAATAGTGATTGAAATCAATTGAAACCCATAATATATATTATTTAAAAATGCATTATGTTCACAATGGTGCTACAAAATGAATGCATTAGTAACTTTTGGTAGTTTCTATCTTCGTCTACCCTTCCCACTTCACACCTTGGTTATCTTTGGTGGTTGCTAACACTCCAAAATCATTGTTCTGAAACTGGTAAACGACAGGAAAGAATAAACATTTATCTTGCTTTTCCTTTTCAAAATAACAACCCTTGAATCCATGGATCAATTTTAACATAACTAAGACAAATGGTATATCTTTCCAGATAAGATGCAACAGGAAATCCAAAGAACCCAGCCCCAGGTATTACTGCCAAAGGAATTGAACCTGAATTAAATCAAGTCTCTAGGTGCAATTACCAATTTACAGGACATGTAGGGATATAGGAACAGTTCCATGAGAAAATCTACAAGAAAACTGTTCTAATTTATCCAACAAATAAGTGGCATAAAAAATTGTAAGTAGAGGAAGGACTATTAGAAATTAAAGGAGACTTAAGGTCCATGACCAAATGGAATTTATGGAGCTGCTTTGCATCCTGATTCATATAAACTAATTGTAAAAAAATAGTTTTGAGACAGTTGAGTATATAAAAAATACATTGATTTTTAAAAGTGGCAATGGTATTGTAGTTAAAAACGAGTCTTTATCTGTTATACAGAAGTATTTACAGGAGAAATAAGATGTGTTCTGGTATTTGCTTTAAAATGCTTTTCAAAAGACAGGTAAAATAGACACAATATTGATATTGTTGAAAAGGGTAATGAAGGTACATTTTGCTGAACTGTCTCATGACTTTGTTTTCATAATAAAATATTTAAACATGAAAAACATGCATTTTGACCCTGAAGTGAAAGTTCTGGCTATGAAGAACACTGAAAATATGGCTGAGATCAGCTTCTTAAAATCATATTAATGGGTTTTGCTGGCGTTATCACTGTTGTGAAGAAATATTTTTATCTCATACTTCATTTCTAATCTTATCTGAGAACCTTCCCTTGGGAGCTGGTGACTTCAGTGTGTAAAATCAGAGCTTGGCATCTGTTGTCTGTTTTTTACACAGTAGACTGGAAATACTTTCTGTCCCAGCAGGGATTTGATTGCATTCATTCTTTGCACTCCTTCCTTGAAGACTGAATGAAGTTCAAGAAGAACATTGATGCCCACTAACTGTTTACTCTGAAGTAAGCAGTATGTAGATGGGTGCTCTGGGACCCACCTCTGCCTCCTAAAGAACCATATCCTTCTTTGCTGCTCACAGAGCTGGACTCCACCAGTACTTACCCCTTTTACCTTTGACCATCTGTGTGACATGTCACAAAGTCATCAGGAACCCCCAAATGAAAAACCTGTTGTCTTGCAGCGTATGTTTACCAAATACTATGTTTTCAAGCCCTTCTATCTACAGCTCACAGATGCCAAGTGCTGATTCATAGCCTGTACATGGGTGATGCATTGTAACTCTAAGGAGAATGCCTGGTGGTGCAGTGCACATGCTGTAATAATTGCTTTTCTGCACTATGTATCATTGATGATATGGGTTATCAGACCTTGTCATTTGATAAGGAAATTTTGACGGTAATTCATTCTACTTTCAAGTTTGTTTATTTTCAGCCTTGAAACTCAGTTTTGTTTTTGTTTTTATAAGCATCTTAGCAGTTGTGTGAGACTTATGCCTTTTTTTGGCCACAGGAGGTATAACTTTGATGCGTCTGTCATTCTATGTCACTGCCTTTAGTGACAAAATTAGTTCACTTTTGTAATCTGATAATTTTGTGATAATTTCGCATTTGTCAGGAAGACTGGATTGTTTTGCTGGAAGTGACAAGGTGCACTGTATAGAAGAGGTGCCAAAACTTACATGGCTGTGCTTAGCTGAGTTTCCATTCAATTGATGATCTGGAGTAGGGACAAATAGATTGCAGGTCCAGTAAAATATAGCTTTTAATACACATCAGACTTCCTTGCCGTGCTTTTCCCCCATCTGCGTGTGTAAAATATTTATCTTTG
The DNA here is from genome assembly GCF_000001405.40 of Homo sapiens. Lineage (NCBI taxonomy): Eukaryota > Metazoa > Chordata > Mammalia > Primates > Hominidae > Homo > Homo sapiens. The sequence goes on along the minus strand of NC_000003.12, from coordinate 41,464,030 downwards.
AAAATTCACTTTTTTTTTTTTTTTAGAACATCTGAATTTATGCTCTACTGATTCCAAAGTTCTCATTCATCATTTAGGTTTATAACATTATTTCATGTTGTAATTTCACTTTTGTTGTATTTCAATTCAAAGGTTAACACTATATAATAGGATAAAAATGTCAATTTAATGTAAACAATAACACCCCCAAAATGTGAAAATGTATTTATTGTAACAGACTATATCAAACTAAACATCAGTAAAGACCAACCACACTGTTAATATGAGGTTTGCAGAGACAAAGGGATGGCACCTGGTAATTTCTAAATTTCAAATTTCTTATAATTTATCTTACATTTGTGGACTGCATTATGGAAACCACCCAGTTGCTAGATAGAGCAGACCACTGGGTTCACTGTGGCCCTTGATCATGCACTAAAGAAAACTGCCTTCAAACAAGAATCTGGGGACAGTTGTTTTCCTTCAGTGCCAGGGAGTCCTCAGACCCTGTGAAGCCTGCCCATGTAGGATGGTGTTTCTCAAGCTGTGGTTTGGAACCTTTGCATCAAAATCACTTGGGGAACTTCTTTAACAAGTATTTTCCTAAGACACTCTCTGGGAGTGAGGCCTGGAAACCTGCATTTTAAACAACTTTCCTCAGTGAATCTGATAAGAGTATAGTTTAAGTATTGCTTAGGGTTTATGCAACATAGAGCCAGAATGCCTCTCTTTTTGGTTCATATGACACATTTGTGTACTTAATGATGAGGTTTTTTTCTTTTCCTTTTTTACCCTCAGGACTTGTCAGTCACATCTGTAACCTGCTCACTGAAACTGCCACACTGTGCTTGGATGTGGACAATAAAAACAACAATGAGATGGCAGCTCCACTGCTCTTTTCCCTGCTTGATATTTTGCACAGCATGCTGACCTATACCTCCGGTATTGTACGGCTGGCTTTGCAGGTAGAGGATCTGTTTTCCTGTGTCTTGAGCAGCCCTACTCCATTTCATGCTTCCCTTTCATTCTCTTCTTTCTTATCTTCCTCTATTGTGTCTTTACTTATTTAAAAGAATGTATAATTCTATAGAGAGTGTCTTCTGAAGAGTCATCTTTGGGTGACCAATGTCAAGAACAGAGAATTTGATCAAAATCTTCAGGGAAGGAAGGAGAGGCCTACTACTAAGCAAAGACTTAGCAAGCATTAGTTGGGAAACCACTCCTGACCAAGGAGAGCATTTGCCTTAGGCACATCCTAGGTTGGCCAAGTAGTTTGCAGCTTTTCATGTCCTGAGGTGGCTCTCCAGTTCCCCCTCAGCAGGATAGGTCAGCTTTCTAGGAATAATGGATTGAGGGTTTGTGTACATACACATGCATGTGTGTGTTTGTAGACACATATACATACCTATGTAACTCATAAGCTCATTTTCTTTCCCTTATGACTGATACCATGGACTTGTGAGATGGTTTTGAGGAATAGAGGTGTATTCAGTGGCTATGGAAAAAGCCAATTAGCCATAAACTGTAACCTGTATTTACTTAGCATTATGCTGTAAGGCAGGAAGGAGGTGTGGTTTTATAGAGTACTTTCCTATGCCTGTTTTATTTAATGCTCTGTCTAACCGATGGAGTCAGCTGATATTTAGATCAAGTGAAAGTGACAGGGTCAAGGTGAATTTATTGTTACATTTAAAATCCTGATACAATTGCAAGAGATGTATATCAAATGATGGCATCCAAGCTTGGATAGACGCAGAAGCTAAAGTTGAAACCAAACTGTTTTGATACCTTGCCAAAGTCACAGTAGCAGAGCCAAGAATGACTCCCTAGACCCCAGGATAGCCTCTGTTATTCATCATTATGATAAATGATATCTTTTATCCACAGTTAAGCTGGTCAAGTATTTAGCTTGTCTAATATGATTTAATAAATCCAAGATCCCCTCAACAAATATTATTAGTTACTAAGTATTAAACCCAAACTGTAAAGCCAGTAGATTAATTAAAAAGCCATGGCCTTTGAATTACCTAGCTGCTTTTATTAGCTCATTTATAATAATTCCAAATTAACAGTAAATAATTGTTACGTACTTAAATAATTGCTAATTATGTATTTCTCCTATCTTTTCCTCTCCATTCTAGTAAGTTTCTTTTCAGAGAACACAGTTTCTTATTTCAGTTTCCATAGTGGTAGATTTTTGTAATTCTTTGAGATGTAGTTGATAGTTACTTTTACAGGATACCTTGATGACAATCTGTAAAAGATTTTCTTGTAAATTGTAGACAGAAAAAGGATCAGAAGTTAAAAATCTTCAGGATAATAGAAATTCTTTTTTTTACTACAAGTGATTAGGTAGATATTCAGGGATGTTTTGAAAGGAAACTCCTTAATACAAAATATTTTTGAATTTTCTATTTCCAACTTGCTGGTTTCCCAGTAGATCACTGTTTTTTATTGTTTTCATAGTCTTGAACACCACTGTACATTTTACTGCTACCATCTTTCTAAATCATCCCTCATAATATCTGCCATGTATTGCTTTTGGCCTTGACCACTGACTTTGATCTCCATGACACCTGGTGTCAATATGAAGGAGGAGGAGTCCTTGAGGCTGAATTAGGTGGAAGAGTTGGGAAAAGAAATGGAATGTGAATCAAAGACATATCTGCCTTGAAACACTGAGCCATAAGTACTTTCCAAAACCCTAAGTCACCCCTTCCATTTATAGACATACTTCTCACACTGGGGATTCTTCTGCACTTGAAACCTGTATCTATTTCTAATAAGAGCTTCTTAAAAGTAGAAGAATTGAGAGAGGCCAGTGCTTAAAATTATAATAATGCTTAGATTCACAAAGCACTTTTCCAGGGAGGAGAGTGGTATGATGCAAGTATGTGTATGGGGGAGCAAAGGCAGGCACGTGTCAGAATCTCCATCAGAAGTTCAGTCCCTACCCACTACCTTCCCCATGATTTAAAACTGGTCCCTGTTCACCTCTGAATGTTATGTGTGAAAGATAATGGAGGCAGAGACAAAGTGCCTGAGACTCAGTGGTGTGGTGGGGACATGTGGGTTGTGCAGGCTGGAATGCCTTAGATTCAAATCCCAGACACACCAGTATACCACTCCCCACCTCTGTAACCTCGGGCAAGTTACTGCACCTAAGTATCAGTTTCCTCATCTGGAAAGTAGATGTGGTCACCACTCTGCGGGGTGGTTGTGAGACTTCAATGGGAGAATAAAATATATATAATTATATATAGATGTAAAGTGACATACATATACCTGGCCCGGTGAAGGTGACCAATAAGTGGTTACTGTATCATGAACAGCAACAAGAAGAAAGGTGCTTCCTTTTTTGTTTACAGGGGGCCTCCTGTGGGCCATGACTTTCTCATTTCTACATCCCGGTGCATGGAAGAGCACTCAGTTCATATTTACTGACTAACTCCTAGCAGGCTTATGAGTTATTTTGTACTTATGAGCCTAGCATAGGGCTAGGCACCTGTAATTTCAGCAGGAATCAAGGGAGAAAGGGTGTTAGCTCTCAGGAAGCTTACAGTTTAATAGGGAAGACTGTCAACATACAAGTAATGAAGCAAGTCGTCATCTTATTGCATGTGTGAAAATGCAGCAATTGAAAGGTATTACATGCTGCAGAATGAATAATGAGGCAGGGGACCAAACCCAATTTTGAGATTAGGGAGGGCTTTTCTAGGGAAGACAAATATTTATTATTCTAATTCAGGTCACCTGACTTTCCAATCTGGGCCTTGTTTATCCTTTCTGAGGTGGTATGGGGAAGTTTGTTACCTCATCCTCCTGATAGTAGGACCATTAAACTGCTGTTGATTTGCAGATGTGTCAGTATTGTTGAAAGACTGTAATGTGGCTACTGAGTCTTTCTTAGTCCCACATACACATAAAGGCTATGCGTAGTTGGGGGCTATTTTAGGGGGCTGTCTGTTTTTAGCATCTCTTATAATTATCCAACTTGATTCCTTCACGGCCTTCCCCTCGTTGGCCTTCACCATAAACTACCCTCTGCCTGGTTGTTGAATGCGGATGAGATTTTTCTGTCATAGCCCATAGTCCTGATAGTTTCTCCCTTCCTTTGAAAACTTCAGTGACATCTCATTATCTATAACTTACTGACTCCTTGCTGAGACATTCAAAGGCTTATACAGTCGAGCCCCAGGGTACCTTTCCAGCTCATCTGCCTGACCTCCATGCTGCCCATACCCCAATCAGACAGTTGCACTGCCATCTTGTAAGTGGATGCTGTGCTTTGTCACTCCTGTGCCTTTCCTCATGAAATTTCCACATGTGAAATATTTGTACTCCATATGACTTCTAGTAGACCCCGTCCCCACCATCCAAGTGATGAAGTCAATTGTGACATTATCCTACTTCCCTCCTTAACCTAAACTTTATTTCTACCTCTATTATAGCAGTTTTCATATTCTGCCTTAGCACAGTTATTTGGAACTTGTCATCCTTTTAGTTAAACCATGAGATCCTAGATAATGGGGACTGAATCATGTTCATCTTTGCATTGTGAATGTGCAGCATGATCGTGTTTGGGGAGCACAGTAAGTGTTGAATTGAATTGATCCGAGCCGCACCATTGACAGTTATGCTCCACTGTGTGCTAAAACCTGCTGGAGATATAACGACAGGAACTGGGCTGGGCATGGTGACTCATGCTTATAATTCCAGCCCTTTGGGAGAGGCCCAGGTGGGCAGATCACATGTGGTCAGGAGTTCAAGACCAGCCTGGCCAACATGGTGAAATCTTGTCTCTACTAAAAATAAAAAAAATAAAAAAATAAATTAGCCGGGTGTGGTGGCACACACCTGTAGTCCTAGCTACTCGGGAGGCTGAAGCAGGAGAATCATTTGAACCTGGGAGGCGGAGGTTTCAGTGAACCGAGATCACGCCACTGCACTCCAGCCTGGGTGACAGAGCGAGACTCCATCTCAAAAAATAAAAATAAAGGCTGGGCACGGTGGCTGACACCTGTAATCCCAGCACTTTGGGAGGCTGAGGCAGGCAGATCATGAGGTCTGGAGTTTGAGAGCAGCCTGGCCAACATGGTGAAACCCTGTCTCTATTAAAAATATAAAAATTAGCCAGTCATGCTTGCGGGGACCCGTAATCCCAGCCACTTGGGAGGCTGAGGCAGGGGAATTGCTTGAACCCAGGAGGCAGAGGTTGCACTAAGCCGAGATCGTGCCACTGCACTCCAGCCTGGATGAAAGAGAGAGACTGCATCTCAAAAAGATAAATAAGACAGGAACTACTTGAGAAAGTAACTGTCTCTTGTTCTTTATAGATGCCTTACTTCTGTGTATATTTAGCAGACCTCTGTTGATTACCTACTTCTGTGTGCTAGATTTGTGTAGCAATGCTAGATGTAAGAGAACTGTATTATACCTGGCCTTTTTTTTTAATACTAAGAAGCTGTATTCTGTTATCTCACTTTAGGTAATGCTGTATTGCTATTTAATGTTAAATATGGCCCAGAAATTGACAGGCCACCCGCCTCGGCCTCCCAACGTGCTGGAATTACAAGCATGAGCTACCATGCCCAGCTCAGTTCCTGTCTTATATCTCCAGCAGGTTTTAGCACACACTAGAGCATAACTGTCAATGGTGTGGCTCAGATCAATTCAACACTTACTGTGCTCTCCAAACACCATCATGTTGCACGTTCGCAATGTAAAGATGAATATGATTCAGTCCCCATCCTCTAGGATCTCATGGTTTAACTAAAGGATGACAAGTTCCAAAGGAATGTCACCTTCTTTAGTTGGATATGTTTAAGGCTACTAAATGTATGTTTCTACCTAAAGTTCTTCTTTGAAATCCATATTCATATACCTAGCAGCTTGCTCAATATGACCTCTAGAATGCCCCATAGACCAAAGCTGAACTCAGGATCTACCTCCCAAATCCATTTCCCTGCCAGCAAGCCCTGCCCCACTCACCCTGCCACGCAAACCAGAAACCTGGAGGCGTTCTTAAAATTTCCCTCTTTTTTTATATCCCACATCTAATCTGTCACCAAATCATGTAGATTTTACCATAAACATCTAACACATCCAATTGCCTCTCTCAAACCCTGCTGCTATCACCCTAGCCCAGGCTAGCATCCTCTATCGCCTGGGTTATAACAGCTAGGGGATCGCTAGGAGTGGGGTGAGTTCACACACAGCAATGACAAAAGGGAGTGGTTCTGGAAAGGGGTCAGTGGGACCAGAAGCAAAGTCAGAGGACCTGGATGGAGCAGACAGTCATGATGTTGTGACAGGGACACGGGCCCTGTACAAGATGCACACAAAGGGTGGCAAATCCAGGAGTTAGGAGGCTGACATGAGGGAGTCTGATGTTGGGAAATTGGAGAGAGGCTGAGAGGCAAGGCAGGCCTGGGCCTTTGCATTTGATTCTGGGGGCTTCAGTGTTTATTGCTGCATCCAGGCAGGTGTCCTTTTGTTGCACAGAGCTTCCTTTGTGGGCCAGTACTTTTGTGGGGAGAGTGGAATTTCTAATGTCTTTCTTTTGTGCCACCTCTCTGTTGTGCAAAGCTGTAGCCTTCTCTTTCTTCTGGAACTCTTGGCAACTTTGCAAGGAGGTGGCCACATGAATACTGGTAGGCTGGGTCGATGTTTCTTGGCGACTATGACGTATGACTATGCAGATCTTGGAGGATCTGGAGGACCATGGGACATCCTGGTGGAAAAAGTCCTACAGTGTTTCTTGTACTGTGGCCCCATTCCCTTGCTTGTGTGTGTTTGGAAAGGAGGCACCGTACCCCTCACTGCTGCCTCATTGCTGATTTGCAAGACTGCCTTATCTCTCCCAGGAAGAAATCAATCTGCTCTAAGGGATAATGTGGTAATGTGGAAAGGCTAATATTCCATGTCAGATAATGTTTCAGAGGGCAAGGGATCAACGGCCAAGATTCAGAAAGGTTCAGACCTCTTGGATAGTGCCGCACATTTGTTTCCTGACAGGAAATTCTCCATTTCCGATAAAGTTAGTCAGGGAAGTGAGAGGGAAGCTCCGAGCTAATGATGACCCTTGTTCTCCTTATCTTTTGAGATGTGCAAGTTGTTAAAAACAGGTGTCCGATTTTCAGTCAAGTTCTTCTGAACCAAAGAAAACAGGCAACTGAAATTCTGTCCATAGGCCAGAAGTGCAGAAGGAAACTAGGCATTTATGAGAAGGGTCCTGGAGTCCAGGTTAATGACTTAAGGCAGGGCAGCCTGTGGCCTGCTCTGTTAGCTCTGGCAAAGGTCATTATTGAAAAGTGGTTTTGTTTCTTCTGAGTAAACGTAAAAACAGAGAGGAAGGGCGTCTACATATTATAGCAAATGGAAAAAATAATCCATACCATTTTTTAATATAAAATTATTCATCTCTATGATAGAAATCTCCTTTGGAATTAGACAGTTCTATAAAACCCCTGCGAGAAGACACACAATGTAAAAACCACTCACTCATTTATTTTCATTGCCATTTAAGTCTAAACATTCATAGGAATATCTACCTGTATTTGAAGCCTATTCATGCAATGATATGTTGGACAAATATTTTAGATGTTATTTGAGCATATGTATGCATATAGAGAAGGAAAGCATAGCAGAATGCACTTGGTATGTATCATGTGCATAAATATGCTCAGAGGAGATTAGCATTTGTGACTTGGAGTCAGCCTGGGTTTGGTCCTCTGGCTTTGTCACTCCTTAACTGTGAGATGTTAGACAAACTACCCAGCTTCTCTAAAGTTCAGTTTTCTTCAGCACCTAGTCTCAGGATGGTTAAGATAAAGCACTTTTGGCTGGGCGCGGTGGCTCACATCTGCAATGCCAGCATTTTGGGAGTCTGTGATGGGTGGATCACGTGAGGTCAGGAGTTAGAGACCTGCCTGGCCAACATGGCAAAACCCCGTCTCTACTAAAAATACAAAAACTAGCGAGGTGTGGTGGCAAGAGCCTGTAATCTTAGCTACTCAGGAGGCTGAGTCAGGAGAATCGCTTGAACCCAGGAGGCAGAGGTTGCAGTGAGCTGAGATTGTGCCACTGCACAACAGCCTGGGTGACAGAGGGAGACTCCAACTCAAAAAGAAAAAAAAGATTAAGCGCTTCCTCACTGCAATATATGGGACATCACCATTATTCCTCCATTAGCAACCTTTGTAATTGCTTTATCTATGTGCTGTCCAGGTCAGCCTCTGTAGCCTGAGCTGGTGGCAGTGGCAATATCTACACTCCTTGTTATGTCATAACAAAGCATAGTATCTCTTCTGGGGCCTCCATCTATTCCATCCTTGGGAACTGAGGTAGAATGCTTCCTCAGCCCCTTGTGTCTGCCCGATGGAGTGGTCCTGTTTCCTTTGGCCAAGCTGACTAATCACCAAGACCGTCTTTCATTTCTCTTCTCTCTGTTCCAGGCCCAGAAGTCTGGCTCAGGAGAGGACCCTCAGGCTGCAGAAGACCTGCTGCTGCTCAACAGACCTCTGACAGACCTGATTAGCCTGCTCATTCCACTGGTAAGAGCTCACCTGTATGTCTTTTGGGGCATTACTGAAGTTGAAGTAATTTTATTTGAATTTCCTGATCTCTTGAGTTTCTATGTTATTTTTATTCCCTTCAAAACTAGAGCCAAAAGAACTTTCAGAAGATTATTTGGCCTGGAAAACTAAATCTCTACTTTATTTTAAAACCAGGTGGCTTATTCATTTAAATAGATATTTAGGTAAGGCAAAATCTCAAATCTAATTACTTTCTTAACAAATGCGAGGTAAAAAATTCAACAAATGAATTCTAAGAGGAAAGAAGAAATTGCTATGGGAATCAATTTCTTCTCAAAAAGATATTTTAGAGTTTGACTTGGCATGCAGGACTTCCCCAGAAATGCAAAAGCACAGACACAGACCTAGGGCCCACCCCCTCAATCTCAATAGAAATGGAATGAAATAAGCAAAATTAAATAAAAACAGGTAAGACTATACACGACCATTGAATATACAAAAAGAGCTCAACAGAAATTCAGAGTTTGGACGTATTAAACAGTTTTAGCCTAGCACTTTGGGAAACCAAGGTGAGTGGATCATTTGAATCAGGTGTTCGAGACCAGCCTGACCAGTATGGTGAAACCCCGTCTCTACTAAAAATACAAAAAAAAAATTAGCCAGGCGTGGTGGTGTTCACCTGTAATTCCAGCTACTCGGGAGGCTGAGTCAGGAGAATCACTTGAACCCAGGAGGCAGAGGTTGCAGTGAACCAAGATCGTGCCACTTCACTCCAGCCTGGGTGAAAAAGCGAGACTCCATCTCAAAAAATTAAAAATTAAGAAAACTGTTTTAAACATATAATTTCACTGTCTACAAAACGTCCCAGTCTTTTAAAATCAAATTATTGTTCCTAATTAATTTTAACTTTATATTTTTGCCAATTAATTCTATCATCTTTTTTTCTTTTCTTTTCTTTCTTTTTTTTTTTTTTTTGAGATGAAGTCTTGCTCTCTTGCCCAGGCTGGAGTGAAGTGGCATGATCTCAGCTCACTGCAGCATCCGCCTACCAGGTTCAAGCAATTCTCCTGCCTCAGCCTCCCAAGTAGCTGGGATTACAGGTGCCCACCACCACGCCCAGCTAATTTTTGCATTTTTAATAGAGACAGGGTTTCACCATATTGTCCAGGCCGGTCTCAAATTCCTGGCTTCAAGTGATCCGCCTGCCTTGGCCTCCCAAATTGCTGGGATTACAGGTGTGAGCCACCACGCCTGGCCTAATTTTATCATCTTTCTAGTTAAGAACATCTAGTTGCCCTTTCTTAAATGGAATTTTTCTTTTTTCTTTTTTTTTTTTTAATTATACTTTAAGTTCTAGGGTACATGTGCACAATGTGCAGGTTTGTTACATATGTATACATGTGCCATGTTGGTGTGCTGCACCCATTAAGTCATCATTTACATTAGGTATATCTCCTAATGCTATCCCTCCCCCCTCCCCCCACCCCATGACAGGCCCCAGTGTGTGGTGTTCCCCTTCCTGTATCCAAGTGTTCTCATTGTTCAATTCCCACCTATGAGTGAGAACATGTGGTGTTTGGTTTTTTGTCCCTGTGATAGTTTGCTGAGAATGATGGTTTCCAGCTTCATCCATGTCCCTACAAAGGACATGAACTCATCCTTTTTTATGGCTGCATAGTATTCCTTAAATGGAATTTTTCTATGATATCCATGTTCCATGGAATTATAAGTTAGAAATTACATGGAAGATGAAATATAAGAAATAAAGTGAACAATAACAATAATAATGCAAGACCGTATTGCATGCAGAGTTCATGGGCATGGGCTCAATTTAGCTCTGCCACTTACCAGCTGTGTGACTTTGGATAGATATTAACTAACAATATTTGTTACTTAATTTATTGATGCCACAGTTTCTTCATCTGTAAAATGAAGTTAGTAATGCTAATGAGATCATGAAGTTATTTTGAGGATTAAATGAACAGGACCTGGCATATAGTATGTGTTCAACAAATATAGCTATGTAAAAATTGATACAGGCCAGGTGTGGTGGCTCATGCCTGTAATACTGGCACTTTGGGTGGTCGAGATGGGAGAATCGATTGGGTCCTGGCATTTGAGACTAGCCTAGGCAACATAGCAGGACTCCGTCTCTACAAAAATGTTTAAAATTTGGCCAGGTGTGGTGGTGCACACCTGTAGTTCTAGCTACTTGGGAGGCTGAGGCTTGAGGATTGCTTGAGCCCAGGAGTGTGAGGCGGCAGCCAGCAATGATGACACCACTGCACTCTAGCCTGGGCAAAAGAGTGAAAGAGTGAGACCCTGTCTCAAAAAAACAAAAAACAAAAAAACGCAATTTCACCACTGTTAACCAGTGCTGACAATGAGCTAGATTCTATTAGTGCTTTACCTTTGATCTTACTTAGCCCTTCTTTCCTTATGACATAGGCCCATCCTTGCCTTCCACATAAGTACCCCAAAGCTTACAAAGGATAAAAATACAAGAGAGCTCAGTGTCTGAACTGAGTGTACATTTTCCCTACCACCGTTCTCCTTGGCCTCTGGATTAACTGCGAACACGTTAAACTCTTAACTTTATTCCATGTTTGGGAATAGTCTCACTGAAATACAATGTTTTGATTCAAAAGCCATTCTGTTTTGGCTGTTTTTAAGTTTTGGAGGTCTTTATGAATGGAAGATATTCTTAGCTCGAACATGGAGTCATTTCCAGATGCATTTTTCATAGTTTAAGATGTTCTGAATGGAGGCTACTTTTTGCCTTTTCATCCTAAGGATGATAACCTTTTTGTCCATTTATGACAAACACATAAATGGACAAAAATGCTTGTAGACTTCACAAAGCATTTTTGTTTAAGAAGCACAAAATATTTTACACTTCTGTTTTATGTAGTTATATCTAATTACTTAGCAGAGTTAATTAGGAAATAGAAATGATTATGTCTTCAAAATGTGAGGAACACCAACACAGAGTGGCTCTGATGAACCTGGGTTTGCTTACACTCCTTGTAAGAGCTGCCCTGATTACACTGTTTAATTGCTGGGTTTGAGTGATTGGATTTAACTCTCAGTGGAAAGAGAGTAGATACTCCCATCTCCTCTCCTGGAGGAATCTGCTTCTTTCAGAATTGTTTGTTGAACAGGCGTCTATTCCAGATAATCTAATCTAACAACCCAAATACTGTAGGCCCTAATGAAAAATCCCTGGATGGAGCAGTAGATGAAACTTGAAATGCAGACTTAATTCTCTACCCTGGAGTGGCCTAGGTGCTGCCTAGGGAGCTTTCTGGAGGTTCTGATGTAGATGAAGAGCAGATAACCAGGAACTTGGAGCAGATAGATGGCTCTGTGTAGGCCACAGAGGTCTATTAAATACGGCAGTATGCATCTACCAAGATCAAAATCAGAAGATTCCCCACAAGGCTGGCTTTAGGAATTCCAGTAATCAGGGAGGAAGGTGAGTATAGAACATTAAATGTGAAATGGTAGTTTTTGTTGGTATTTGAGGATTTTGCATTTAAATATTTATTAGCATGCTTTATGTATTCTTCTCTCACTATTCTTTTTCTGTTTTTTATAAAATTTAAACACAAGAGGGTACCACCTTGGGCTCTAAATTTAGGCTGACACCTTCCGTTTTTGATTCCTTGATATTACATTGAATCACATAAAATTGCCAATATCCGACCATTTGAGGCCTACAAAAGTAGCAGTTTCATTTGGTTCAACCTTATATTAGGAATATGACAATTTATTAGTCTGTACTACCAATAGTTCCTGAAATTCATATAGCACTTTTTTTCTACGTGGTGCTATCCCCCAATTACTTGAATTGGAATATCATACGATTCTGGCCAGAGGTTGCCAGGAGCTGTGGATTTTGAGTCAGAAATCCAAGACTGAATGTCTGGTTCTGCTGCTGCCCAGCTGTGTGATCTTGGATGGGGCACTCTTTGTCTCTGAGCCTGAGGATTAAATGAGATGATACCTGGGAGAAATGATCAACTGTCATTTCTCGAAAATTTCCCCTTTGATCACATATTATGTCTGATTTTTAGCCTTATCCTCTGCTTGCTATGATTTGTTGGAATAGTCCCTCCTGCCCTCATAAAGTGCTTCTTTTGTCTCTCTCACCCAGCCAACCTCCAATGCTACCCCTCTGCTCAGTTTAGGATTCTTTACAAGACGATTCTTGGAACCTTCTTTATAGACATCCTCCCTTGTGTTTGTAAGTCCCTCCCAAAGGCCCCCTCTTGTTCCCTGCTTATTTCCAGATGTCTTCTGGTTTCTTACCTTGAATATTTACATATGTAAAAGCACAGGGTCCAGTTTCCTTGAATACTATCCACTGCTTAGAGGTTTTCCCGCCTTTCTCCTGGAATTCTGCTGGAGCTGCAGCTTTCACTGTCCTGCTTAGAGCCCTGCAGCCCAATGGTGATGCCACCCAGTGTTCAGGGCAGGTGATTACCCAAGGAATAAAATTGTCCTCTGAGAGGTTTTTCTCAGCTCTTTGTGACACTGCGCTCCAGTTACTTGTAACTTGATCACAGTTAGGTTCTAGTATATTGGCTAGATGTATGCATGATGTGTGTAGGCTGCATTGTGTACAATATATACACATTTATCATTGGAACCATTACGTATAAAAATGGCCTGTGACAAGAACACTGCCATATGTCTTCTCTGGAAAAGATTAACACACATTTATAGCTGTGTATAAAGTGAAGAAAAGTAGTAATAAGGCTATTGAGGACCTAAACTAGAGCACATACAGACCAAAGATAAATTTTACAGTGGTTGATAAAAAATGTAATAGGTTACAGAATGAGGTGCTGGAATTGCTTTCCCGTAGGGAAAAATAAACACACTTTCAGTTTTCATCTGACTTGGATAATTTTGGAAGCACTTGGCCTAAAGGCAACAGAATGAACTTGTTAGCTTTTGAGGTTTTTTCCAGATATGGTCCTATGAAAGTAAACCTACTTATCCTTAAGAGAATATGAAACCTGTCAACCTATAATTTATGACCTATATTTATAATATACACTGTAGGAGAGCCATAGTGAAATGTTTATATAAGACAGTGATTCTAAGTCTGTTTTGACAATCTGATTATTCTTGATTCTCTTACCATAAAAATGCCTAGACTTGCTTATGTGCAGAGTTCACGCAGTTCTCAATTTCAGGGGGAACTTCAAACCCTCAGTTGGTAACCATAGTATAAGATATGGCTAATATAGGATATAATAAGTTGACTGTCTCCTGAAGGAAAGATAAAGCAAGGTGCTTATTTGACCAAAGTGTTTTATTCCTGAAAGAAAGAAAATGAGAAGCCAAAGTATATATTCTAGATAAGTTTTTAAACTAGATAGTTAACTATGATAAGAAATGATGCTACAGCCTGCTTGTCCCTTAATTAAAATAGATATTTCCTATGGTATTATTTTAAAAATATTCTTTATTATATATCAAAGGTGCCAGTATTTAGACTAATTTATATTGTTCTGTTTATTTCACATGAATCATGTGTGCCTTTTTTGGCCACTGAAAAGATGGTCCTTGACAGTCCATTTAGGACCCAGTCCTCAACTTGTATCAGTGTGGCTATACTAGATAACTGGGAGACCAAGCTGTCGCCTGAACATCTGATGATTCTTATCAATTCATGTTTCTGAGATCACTGTGCCAGTTTTAAAAAAAAGTAAATTAACATAAAAATAAATTAAAAATAAAACACAATGTAGAAAAAGTTCATTTCTGTTTTCCATTTTTATTACTAAATTTCTTCCTTTCACAAAGTACATGAGCAGATTTTTCTTTTCAAATGGTGGTGGACTTGTACTTGCCTGTTCTCCTTCTGTTTCCTGCTGACTTCACAGTCAGTGGCATGAAATACAGGTAATGCTTTATGGTGATTATGGTTTATGGTGATGGAGCCCAGGGGTAGTAGTAGTCTTTTTGCAAGTCAAACCCAAGAGATTGGGGATTTTATTAGTTCTATACTAAGCAGCTCCTCTAAGGAGTCAGTACTCCATTTAAAGATGATACCCCTCTTTCTGAGTAGCCACCGCCCATCTGCCTTCTGGACATTTCCACTGGATACGCCATAAGTACCTCAGATTCAACAGGGTTAAAACAAACTCATAAGTACCTCCTGAAAACTGTTCCTACTTTAGAAGGCCAAGGCAAGAGGATCGCTTGAGCCCAGGAGTTCAAGACCAGCCTGGGCAACATAGTGAGACCTGGTCTCTAAAAAAAAAATTTTTAAATAAAACTTGGGGCCGGGCATGGTGGCTCACAACTGTAATCCCAGCACTTTGGGAGGCTGAGGTGGGCAGATCACTTGAGGTCAGGAGTTTGAGACCAGCCTGGCCAGTATGGTGAAACCCTGTATCTACTAAAAATACAAAAATTAACCAGGCATGGTGGCGCATGCCTGTAGTCCCAACTACTTGGGAGACTGAGGCAGGAGAATTGCTTGAAACCAGGAGGCAGAGGTTGCAGTGAGCCGAGAAACCAGGAGGCGGAGGTTGCAGTGAGCTGAGATGGTGCCGTTGCACTCCAGCCTGGGTGACAGAGTGAGACTCCATCTTGAAAAAATAAAATAATAAAAATAAAACTGTTCCTCCTTTTGTGCTTTGTCTGTCAGTGAATGAAACTAACTTCCACTCAATTGCCCAAGCCAAGAACGTGGACATCATTCTTGTCTTTTCCTTCGCCATCCTGCCCCGTTTCATCAAGCCCTGGCAGTTCTGCCACCCAAACACATCACACATCACACGTTACAGACTGCCATTTTCTCCTCGTTGCCATGAGCACTATCATGAAGGTCACCACCATCCTCCTGCCCTTACAGGACCACAGGAGCCTTCCACCTGGATTCTCTGCCTGTTCTTGCTCCCTCTACTGTCTTCTCCATGGTACAGTCAGAGTGTTCTTTCCAAAATACAAAACTCATCCTGTCATGCATTGACTTAATAAACTCTAACTTCTGAACAGGCTTACAAAATCATAGATAATTGGACCCTTTCTTATGTTTCTAGCACTTTCTCTTGGTTTTTCTAGTCATATTCTATGTTCTGTGCACCAACTCTTTTCAGTTCTTTAAACATGCCTTGATTTCCCTTAGCTCATTCTCCTTTCATTTTGCTGACTTTTCCTTGGCTTTCAGGTCTTGGCTTCATTGTCACTTACTTTAGGAAGCTGGTTACACCCACGAAAACTGGTTTAGCGTGCCTCAGACCCCGGCTCCCATAGCATCCCCAGCCTCCTAGTCCTAACACTTCCTGTTACCTGGTACCAAAAACACTTGTTTATGTCTCTGTCCCTCCCACTAAGCTGTAAACCCTAGGAAGGCAGGAGCCATATCGGTTTGCTTCACTTTGGGGCCTGTTACAGAGAAGGGATTTAATTATATTTGTGTAGGAAAGGAAGTAAAGAGCTAGCAAATGTAGCATAGACTAAGTCTGGTAAGACATAGATTCAAGTACAAATTTATTCAGAGAATTTGTCCGCAGCACTCCTGCTGTCCTGCCTGGCCTCTAGTAGGAGGTGGTGGTGGTGATGGCTCACTGGCTCGGCTCGCTTGCTTTAAAATTGCATCATTTAGACTTCTCTCTAGAAGTTGCCCTCTTCTTAGCAGGGTTAGCCCTGACATTCATTGGGCAGCCTGTGTTTCTGAAACAACCCAAACCCTATCTTTGATTGACAAGAAAGGATCCAAAAGGGCAGATGACATTAACCAGGGACCCATGTATTTCTGGAAAATTGCTGTGCTTATAGCCACCGCAATACATAAAAACCGAGCCCTAGGATCCCGGCAGCATTGGTGAGCACGAAGCCTCTGAGCAGTCAAAATAGATGCCACAGCATCATTACCCTTTTCTAACAGGAAAGTCCCCAGGGCTCTGACATTCAATGTTTAGATTTGTCTAGCTTTAGGGAAGAAAGGCCCCGGAACTGCAGATCTGCTTTCTCCCATTACTTTTTATGCCTTTGTCTTGAGTGGCTGTCATGTAGCAATATGTTTTTTTAATGGCATTTTGTTATTGGCCAAGGCTGCCTGCTCTAGGTTGAGTAAAAAAACATGCATTTATGTGGCGGGATATGAGGTGTGCCAGAAAAGAGCTCCTCCAGAAAGTCATTCTCACCCATGATGATCCACACTCCAGCATTCTCCTGTCTTCTTTTCAAGCCCTCTTTCAGAAGTAATGCTTTAATATGAATACATTTCACTGAAAGAACAAGACTAGGGCAATGGGACAGACCGATAGGCGAGAGATGGGAGTTAGAGAGGTTGAAGAAAGAATTGAATGTGGAACTGTGAAACGTGGGTCATGCCAAAAGCAAAGTCTAGCTAATTAAAAGGTTTTTAAAGGTGTCTTGTCTTTTTTTTTTTTTTTTTTTTTTTTTTGAGACAGAGTCTCGCTCTGTCACCCGGGCTGGAGTGCAGTGGTGCCATCTCGGCTAACTGCAACCTCCACCTCCCGGGTTCAAGCAATTCTCCTGCCTCAACCTCCCAAGTAGCTAGGATTACAGGCACACGCCACCATGCCCGGCTAATTTTTTTTTTGGTACGTTTTTATTTTTATTTTATTTTATTTTTATTTCTATTCTTTTATTATGCTTTAAGTTTTATGGTACATGTGCACAACGTACAGGTTTGTTACATATATATACATGTGCCATGTTGGTGTGCTGCACCCATTAACTCATCATTTAACATTAGGTATATCTCCTAATGCTATCCCTCCACCCTCCCCCCACCCCACAACAGGCCCCGGTGTGTGATATTCCCCTTCCTGTGTCCATGTGTTCTCATTGTTCAATTCACACCCATCAGTGAGAACTTGCGGTGTTTGTTTTTTTTGTCCCTGCGATAGTTTGCTGAGAATGATGGTTTCCAGCTTCATCCATGTCCCTACAAAGGACATGAACTCATCCTTTTTTATGGCTGCATAGTATTCCATGGTGTATATGTGCCACATTTTCTTAATACAGTCTATCATTGTTAGACATTTGGCTTGGTTCCAAGTCTTTGCTATTGTGAATAGTGCCTCAGTAAACATA
Organism: Homo sapiens; assembly: GCF_000001405.40. Taxonomy (NCBI): domain Eukaryota; kingdom Metazoa; phylum Chordata; class Mammalia; order Primates; family Hominidae; genus Homo; species Homo sapiens. The sequence continues at coordinate 41,446,427 of NC_000003.12, read as the reverse complement.
TGTGTGCATGTGTCTTTATGGCAGCATGATTTATAATCCTTTGGGTATATACCCAGTAAAGGGATGGCTGGGTCAAATGGTATTTCTAGTTCTAGATCCCTGAGGAATCGCCACACTGACTTCCACAATGGTTGAACTAGTTTACATTCCCACCAACAGTGTAAAAATGTTCCTATTTCTCCACATCCTCTTCGGCACCTGTTGTTTCCTGACTTTTTAATGATTGCCATTCTAACTGGTGTGAGATGGTATCTCATTGTGGTTTTGATTTGCATTTCTCTGATGGCCAGTGATGATGAGCATTTTTTTCATGTGTGTTTTGGCTGCATAAATGTCTTCTTTTGAGAAGTGTCTGTTCATATCCTTCTCCCACTTTTTGATGGGGTTGTTTGTTTTTTTCTTGTAAATTTGTTTGAGTTCATTGTAGATTCTTGATATTAGCCCTTTGTCAGATGAGTAGGTTGCGAAAATTTTCTCCCATTTTGTAGGTTGCCTGTTCACTCTGATGGTGGTTTCTTTTGCTGTGCAGAAGCTCTTTAGTTTAATGAGATCCCATTTGTCAATTTTGTCTTTTGTTGCCATTGCTTTTGGTGTTTTAGACATGAAGTCCTTGCCCATGCCTATGTCCTGAATGGTATTGCCTAGGTTTTCTTCTAGGGTTTTTATGGTTTTAGGTCTAACATGTAAGTCTTTAATCCATCTTGAATTAATTTTTGTGTAAGGTGTAAGGAAGGGATCCAGTTTCAGCTTTCTCCATATGGCTAGCCAGTTTCCCCAGCACCATTTATTAAATAGGGGATCCTTTCCCCATTTCTTGTTTTTGTCAGGTTTGTCAAAGATCAGATGGTTGTAGATATGCGGCATTATTTCTGAGGGCTCTGTTCTGTTCCATTGATCTATATCTCTGTTTTGGTACCAGTACCATGCTGTTTTGGTTACTGTAGCCTTGTAGCATAGTTTGAAGTCAGGTAGCATGATGCCTCCAGCTTTGTTCTTTTGGCTTAGGATTGACTTGGCGATGCAGGCTCTTTTTTGGTTCCATATGAACTTGAAAGTTGTTTTTTCCAATTCTGTGAAGAAAGTCATTGGTAGCTTGATGGGGATGGCATTGAATCTATAAATTACCTTGGGCAGTATGGCCATTTTCACGATATTGATTCTTCCTACCCATGAGCATGGAATGTTCTTCCATTTGTTTGTATCCTTTTTTATTTCCTTGAGCAGTGGTTTGTAGTTCTCCTTGAAGAGGTCCTTCACATCCCTTGTAAGTTGGATTCCTAAGTATTTTATCCTTTTTGAAGCAATTGTGAATGGGAGTTCACTCCTGATTTGGCTCTCTGTTTGTCTGTTATTGGTGTATAAGAATGCTTGTGATTTTTGCACATTGATTTTGTATCCTGAGACTTCGCTGAGGTTGCTTATCAGCTTAAGGAGATTTTGGGCTGAGACAATGGGGTTTTCTAGATATACAATCATGTCATCTTCAAACAGGGACAATTTGAATTCCTCTTTTCTTAATTGAATACCCTTTATTTCTTTCTCCTGCCTGATTGCCCTGGCCAGAACTTCCAACACTATGTTGAATAGGAGTGGTGAGATTGTATCTTTTTAAAGTAGAGATGGGATTTCACCATACTGGCCAGGTTGATCTCAAACTCCTGACTTTGTGATCCGTCCACCTCGGCCTTTCAAAGTGCTGGGATTACAGATGTGAGCCACCGCGCCTGGCCATTTTATTTTCTTGCCTTGATTTTTAAATGTAGGATAAGAATACTTTTGCATAATTAATGGTTAAGTTTTTATGTGCATCAATGAGGAAATTGAGTCTTAATAATTAGACTCTAATAACCAAATCTCAAGGTTAGATATTAGAACCAGGTAAAAACACACCAGAATTTTAGTATAACATTATATTTATACATCTCACTGATGTGAGAATTGGGCAGAATGGTAATAACTGATGGTCTTTTGAGTTCCACAACTTATAACAAATTCATTATGAGACATAGTATCTGTAAGGAGATTATATATATACAGAGAGAGAGAGAGAGAGAGAGAGAGAGAGAAGTCACTTAAATCATTTAGAAAGAGATACCCCCAAGAGAAAAGTGGTCAAAAGAATTAAGCAGGTAATTCACAACAGCAGAAATACAAATGCCCAATGTTAATTTCACCAAACACATAAGTTCATTAGTAATAAGGGAAAATTAAATGAGAAAAAAATGAAATGCAAGTTTTTACTTTTCCAATCTTCAAAGTTGGAAGCTGGCTGTGGGAATATATATTGGTAAATTAAAATATTAATTGGTCTGTATCGAAAGCCTTATGATTATTTATGCCTTTTAATGTCGTCATTCCACTTATAGAAATTTATGCATAGGTAATAATCAGAAGTACAGAATTATTTTGTATAAACAGATATACTTTACAGCATTATTTTTAGTACTGAAAACTTTGTTAATCTATATGTTGCTCAATTGGAAATTAATTAAATTCAATTCTTAGGGTAGATTCTTAGGGTAGATATTGTGCTACTCACAATATCATGTTTCCTGAGCATATTTAATCATATGGGAAAATATTTGTAACATAAGTTAAATATTAGAATATATTGCTTAACATGCTAGTTAAAAGTGTATTTTAAAATGTGTATATAATTGAAAAATATATTTATTGAAAATATATATTTAAAATTAGGTTCATTTTATAATATGTATCACGATATATATACAAAGAGCAGAGAGACAGTCTTTGCATGGTTCTAATATGCACAAATTTCAGTTTAATATTAATAATGTCAGTCCCCTTAACAACATGGTCCAAAGTTTAGTTACCATGGTATGTTAACTGGAAGTAATTACATGAAAGTATAAACTTTGCCATTAGCTCTTCAGTCAAGAAATCACTATGTAAATAACAGGTGCACATCACCATTAGTGACTAGTCATTTCACTTATTCAAAGTCTGTCAGCATTTGCTTACTATGCATCCATTATTTATTTTATGCACAGGCAGCAAAGCATATAGTTGGGTTGCCTCTTTGTCCCCTAGTGATAAGTCTGTGTAGCATTTTACAAAAGTTGATAAGTGAAAGAAGGAATTGTCCAGCAAAGATGAAGGTGAATCAAATAAATTAAAAATGATAATGTGGGAAGTGAAATTTGAAAGGAATGTAAGTGGAGTTACAGAAGAAAGAGCTGACTGTAGGATTATTGAAACTACTACCATTTGAGAAGCTCTGGGTATGTAGCCAGAGAAACCTGGTGAGAATGAACTTATCTGCATAAATGACAAGGGTGGTTTTGATGAAAAGGATAAAGATGTTCCAGAGGAAGTGATACAGGCAAAAATCTTCACATTAAAGGAGCTCTGGGAAATGTCCATGACACTGAAAGTGCAAAGGATAAAATGTTGAGAGTTGAGCCATATTAGAAAGCAGGATGACAGTTCACCAAGTCATAGAAAGTGTGCTGTTTCTATGTCATAAATTATATGATGAGAAGAAGAGAAGCACTATTCAAACTACTCTTGATAAGTGTTTTACAAAGAAATAAGATGCTTTAATTCTCCATGTTTTTAATGTTTCACGTTACAGAGTACTAAATAAATATTAAATTTACTGTTTTTTATTCCTCAACACGTAAGTACACATTTATAATCAACAATAAGGACCAGGTGCAGTGGCTCATGTCTGTAGTCCCAGTGCTTTGGGAGACTGAGGTGGGAGGATCACTTGAGCCCAGGAGTTCAAGGTAACAGTGAGCTATGGTGACACCACTACACTCCAGCCTGTGTGACAGAGACTCTGTCTCTAATAATAATAATAAGGTTTTAAATATTTTGAAAAGAAACTTTAAAGATCATGGAGCAACCTAATTTCTCCATTCATTATTAAGATTATTTTGCATGTTTTAACTTTGCATGGTCATTTTTGTGGTCCTTTAATACCATGCAAAGTGAGGACTACTTCTGTATAATATAGGACACACATACACTGAAATGCTTGCAGTGGTTTACTCTGGGTGGTAGAACTACATGTGATTTCTGTTTTCTTCTTTAAATCATCTGCGTATTTCAGATTTTCTTTAAGGTACCTTTACAGATTTACCACTTTTATAATCACAAAACATTTTAAGTCCCCATTTCTATCTTATGTTACCCGTTTTTCCTTAGCACAAACAATGATATTAAATTTCTACCTCCTCTGTCCTGTCCTGGCTCCCTAATACTCTCTCTCTAATAAATCAGTGATACCCCTTTCCCATCAGCTAACAGTCCACTTTGGGGCCTTTTTTCCATTTTTCCCCATTTTGGGGGCAAGAAAGCAAGACCCAACTATATACTGCTTACAAGAAGCATATCTTAGCTATAAAGACACATGTAGGTTAAAGGTAAAAGAATGGAAGAAGATGCACCATGGTTACACTAATCAAAAGAAAGCTGGAGTGGCTATTTTAAAATATTAGACAAAGTAGATTTCAGAGCAAAACTGTTGCCAGAGATAAAGAAGGTCATGTCCTAATGATACGATAGTCAATCAAATAGACCTAACAGTGCTAAACAAACCACATGAAGCAAAACAACTATTAGAAGCAAAAGGGTAAAAAGACAAATATGCAGCTTAAATAAAAGATTTCAGTGCCCGTTTGTTAATAATTGATAGAAGAGATGAAAGAAAATCAGCAAGGGAATGGTAGCCTTGAGCAACACTACCACCTAACTTTACCTGATTGCCATTCACAGAGCACCCAGCAAAAGAAGGAAATACATTATTGGAAGCGCACACTGAACATTTTACCAAGATATACCATATTTTGCACGATAAAACAAGCCTCAAACTTAAGAATATTCAAGTCATATAAAGTATACATAAATTTATACATATGTAAATATTATATATTTTGTAATATAGAGAAATTATAAATTGATAAATATGTAGAACTCACCATAATGGAATTAAAAGCCAATTTAAAAAAGATACTTGGAAGATCCCCAAATATTTGAAACTAACACACTCCTAAAGAGTCATGGGTCAAATTAAAAATCGAAAAGAATATCTTGAACTGAATGAAAGTGAAAGCACTACATATGAGAATTTGTGGGATGCTCCTAAAACAGTACTTAGGGGGAGGGAGATTTACAGCACATGACTCCTCTTTTAGAAAAGTTTGGGAAAGGTCTCAAATCAATTACCTTAGTTTCTACCTTAAAAGACTAGAAAAAGAAGAGCAAATTAAACCCAACGTAAGTAGAAGAAAGGGACTAATAAAGATTACAGAAATCAAATCAAAAATAAGGAACTAGGAAAACAGTGGAGAACATAAGTAAAATCAAAACCCAATTCTTTGAGATGGTCAACAAAATTGATAAACCCATTGCCATACTAATCAGGGAAAAAAGACACTACTTGCCTGTATCAGGAATGAGAGAAGAATATGGAGAGACATCTCTACAAATTCTACAGATATTAAAAGGAATAAGGGAATATTATAAATAGCTTTATGCCAATCAATGAAAGAACTTAGATGAAATGGAAAACTTTCTTGAAAGGTACAAACTATTAAACTCACTCAAGAAAAAAACAACCTGAATAACCCTGTGTCTATTAAAAAATAGAATTTTTAGTTTAAAATGTTTCCATAAGGAAGCCTCCAGTGCCAGATAGCTTCAGTGGTAAATTCAGTGAAATATTTCAGAAATAATAACCAAATTTACAAAATCTTTCCCAGAAAATTGAAGAAGCTCTGTTTCCCAACTCATTCTAGAGGCTAGCATTACCCTGATACCAGAAACCAAAGATGGTACAAGAAAAGAAAACTACCAATATCCTGTATGACCATAGATGCAAAAATTTAAACAAAATTTTAGCAAATTGAATCTAACCATATATTGAAAGAATAAATATACCATGGCCAAGAGGGATTTATCCCAGTAATGCAGGATTGGTTTAATATTTAAAAATCAATCAAGTAATATATACATTAGCAAGCTAAGAAAGGAAAACTATTTCATTGTTTCAATAGAGACAGAAATGTACTTGGTAAAAATCTAACATTTATTTCTGATGAAACCTGGTAAAGCACATCTCTGAAAAATCTACAGTTAGCATTATACTTAATGGTGGAAGCCTTAACGCTTTCTACCTAAGATCTGAAACACAAACAGAGATGTTTGCTTTCACTGCTTCCATTTGCCATTGTATTAGAGGTCCCTGCCAGTGCAATCAAACAAGAAAAATAATTAAAAATCATCCAGATTGGAAAAGAAGTAGTACAACTGTCTTTATCCATAGATGACATGATGTCTATGTTGAAAATTCAATTGAATCAACAAAAAGCTACTAGAAATTAAATAAAGAAGTCTGTCCACATTGCAGTAAACAAAATCAATATGCAAAAAAATCTATTTTATTTCTGGCAATGGACAATTTGAAATTGAAATAAGTAATGCGTTTTGCAATAGCATAAAAATATGAAATATTAGGGGAAAATCTAACAAAAGGTATGGAAACCACAAAACATTGCTTAGAGAAATTAAAGGACTTCTACATATGTGGAGAGATATACCTGGTTCAGGAGCGGGAAGGCTCAATATTGTTAAGATGCTAGTTCTCCCAAAATTGATGTGTAAACTCAATGTGGTCCCAGTCAAAATCCCAGCAGACATTTTTTGTAGAGATTGATCAACTAGCTTTAAAATTTACATGAAATATAAAGGACCTTAGAATAGTCAAAACAACTTTGAAAATGAATAAAGTTGGAGGGCTAATACTCTGATTTCAAGACTTACTATGAAGCTACTGTAATCAAAATAGTGAGGTATTAGTGAATATAAAATTATAATGGTGATGGTTATGTTCACTGTCTTGATTGTTGTATACTTTGTACTTTATTGCATGTCAGTTATCACTCAAGAAAGCTGTTAAAAATAAGTCATTTTTAGCTTGCTTTATTATTTTCATTTCTTTCTGGGTGAATTCACCTAGTGGTCATTTTGTTCGGTGGTTTCCTCCATTTCAGTCTAACTTCCTATCCAAGTTCATCAAGAGTGGAAGGTATTTGTGTTTTGTGATGCTCTTGTTTCTTTTCTCTAAACCAACTGCTTTCTATCTAGTGGTACTATAGTTACCTTGCCCTGGGTCCCCAAATCCAGAAACAAATGCAAGGCCCAAATTTCTATCTCAAGCTATTATTTGGTATATCACAAATCCAGATACTGAGCCTTCAGTGAATTTGGTCCAGGTTCTGTGGCTAATGTTTCAACAGTAGAATAGCTTCATTTATTAGCAGGAGGCCCACAGCTGGAAAAGCTTCTTCTGTCTCCTTTTGTTCACGGGGAACCCCAACCCCCATTTCACACTCTCTGGCTGGCTTTTGTCTTGCCACACCTGGATTGATAGTCCGATTACATTGAAGATCCTATTTCTTTTTCCTTTTTTTTTTTTTTTTTAAATTTTCCTGGTGTTTTATTTGTGCAGTTTGCTATAAGGATTATGCTAACCATATGGAATGAATTAGGGAGCTTTACATCTCTTTTCTATCCTCTGGAATGGTTTACAAATAAATGTGCCCCGGAAGGTTTTTCTTTTTCTTTTCTTGAGTCGGGGATCTCATTCTGTTGCCCAGGCTAGAGAGCAGTGGTGGCATGATCACAGCTCATGGCAGCCTCGAACTCCTGAGCTCAAGTGATCCTCCCACCTCAGTCTCCCAAGTGGCTGGGACTACATGCATGCACCACAATGCCTGGCCAAGTTTGTTTTTTTTTGTCCTTGTTTTAACTTTTGTAGAGATGAGGTCTTGCCCAGGCTGGTCTCAAACTGCTGGTCTCAGTGATCCTGAAGATCCTATTTCTTGGTAGCTACTTCTGACTGTGTTTGAACTTCAAGCTGCTGTGTATGTTTGTTCCATTCCTGACCCATGGGGATAACTATCTGTATTTTTTAAAGCTTCCATTATTATAGTTTCTACTGGGGAAGGGTGCAAATTTTGAACTCACGCACCATCCTGACTGGAAGGTCACATGCTTGTATAGTTGTCAGCTTTACCCCTGGCACATTTTAAAGTGCTCACCATAGCACGCTCTCAATAAATAATTGTTGGATCCATGAATAAGATGTACTAAGTGCCAAAATCTGGTTACAAAAAAAGTTATATGGTCTGATTTATGTCACACTTTATATATGTGTATATAAAATGTACAAAAAGAAGTGAGGCTGGAGAAACAGCAAGGGCTTACTCTAGGGTATTTCTCGATAATTATTTTAAAAAATGCCTTTCTTTGCTGTCCTTGTCCTGACCCTGCTTTTTTTTTTTTTTTTTTAACAATAAACATGTATTTTAAAAAACCAGAATATGATAAAGTTATTTTCGTTTGGAAAATAGTAAACAAATGAACTAGGGTCCTGACTTTCAGCTCTCCAGAGTTGAGGCACAGCTCTTCCCACCAGTTCCCCATCCCCAGAGCACCAAGTCATTTTTGCACATGATTTTCTGTTACCCTTCTCACTGGCCTTCTCTTCCTCCAGGTTCTAATTTTCAGGTGCTCTAAAAGGACTAAAAGGACTTGTAAACAGAATCTCTCCCTTATATCCCTTCAAGAAGTCTTTCTGTGGTGCTATTTGAAATTCTTTTAATTAGTATTAGAAAATGAAAGCCTTAGCCTTGGGTTGCTTTCTTAGAATTAACCTGCTCATGTGCCTGCATTTCTGGCAAGTCAGTGATGACATTCAGATCATTCTTATTTTAATTTGGGGTGTGAGTGATAAAATAGAAAGGTGTTTAGTGTTCATGAGGTGGAGCAGGGCCTTGGAAACTTTTACTCAAGGGACCTGATCTCAGAGGCATCTCTCACTCTGCATCTCTGGGGACCAAGATATCCTCTTGCTCTGCCCAGAGTATAGTGTGTAAGACACAAAAGCAGAGCAGGGTGGAAGCTCACTGCCAGCTGTTTACACACCAGAGATACCCAACATTTTCCCTATGAGGTGGAGAGAAATATCTACATAGTGATTTTAGCTTCAGAATCTTGAGCATTTTTCCTAATATACTTTATCAATTTCAGTGAAAAGTGAATTTTTCTCTTAATTTAGGATTTGAAATTCTAGAGTCAAGTCTGATAGATAAACTCCAAGCTTCTTAGATCATTCAAAAGTACACATCCCTTCCATCCTCCCTGCCAAGGGCCATTATAGTAAGAAAACTTCATGAATATTCACCAGCTCTGCAACTCCGAGTTTCTCATAGTAGCTGTTATCATCAGAATTCAGTCTTTAATCCTGCCAGAAAAGATCAGAATACTGTTCTGTTGAGTGGAGACTAAGTATAGCTTGGTTGGCTTTCCTGTGGCAATAAATTGACTATCTGTAATGCTATTTTCTTGAGTCCAAAATAAGCAGCTAGATATGACTTAGCAGAGCATAAAACTTTATCTTGAATGTAGGTATGTTGCTTTTCCACTTCCAGACTCAGTAAGTTCATGTCTTGATACTTTGTGCTATATCCATGAAATGATAAGAATAGCATTTTCTTTTATAAGAAAGCAGATGAGTTTTTTTTCATAAATATTACTTGTGGCATTTGCTAGTCTTAATTAATTCATGATGCCCTTCCTGAGGGAGCTGGATTGTGCCCCTGTGCTGCAGAGGACATGGGGGCCTTGATTGTTGTCACCAGCAGCAGCCCTTGAGTCTGCTTCCTAATTACTATGAAAGGACGTGGTTGCTCGGTCCCACTTGCCAAGCAGTCAGGACATTTTGGGCAGTTGGCCCCTAACATATTTCTGTCCAATAACCCAGTACAGCTGATTGACACAGTGCATAAAGGCTCCTTTTTCATCCTGTTCATTTGAGAGATGTAGGGAGTTAAAATGACAGTTTTCTGCCTACAAGACAGTGGTTGGACTAGAAGAGCTCTGCTGGCCCCTTCAAACTCAATCATTTAAAAATTCACCCAAGAGATAATGAAAAATTGAATATATAGTAACAGATAATGAAAAATACCTGGTATCAGTTTCAAATAAAACTATGTACTACAATATAGTATGGCGTTTTTAAAAAGCATCAACCAAAAATATAGATGCTCCTCAACTTGCAATGGGGTTATGCCTCGGTTAAGCCTGTCATAAGTTGAAGGTATTGTAAGTTGAAAATGCATTTAATACCCCTAAACCTACCAAACATCATAGCTTAGCCTCGCCTACCTTATATGTGCTCAGAACACTTACATTAGCCATTAGTTGGTCAAAATTATCTTAATACAAAGCTGTTTTATAATAAAGTGTTGAGTATCTCATGCAATTTATTGACTACTGTATTGAAAGTGAAAAAGACAATGGTTGTATGGGTACCCAAAGTACTGTTTCTACTGAATGCGTATCGCTTTCCCACCATCATAAAGTCAAAAAACCTTAAGTAAAATCATCGTAAGTTGGGGACTGTCTGTATGCTTTATTTATTTATTTATTTATTTATTTATTTATGAATGAGACGGAGTCTTGCTCTGTTGCCCAGGCTAGAGTACAATGGCGCAATCTTTGCTCACTCCAACCTCCACCTCCCAGAGTTCAATTGATTCTCCTGCCTCAGCCTCCTGAGTAGTTGGGATTACAGGCACCTGCCACCATGCCCAGCTAATTTTTATATTTTTGGTAGAGATAGGGTTTCACTATGTTGGTCAGGCTGGTCTTGAACTCCTGACCTCTGGTGATCCACCCACCTCAGCCTCCCAAAGTGCTGGGATTACAGGCATGAGCCACTGCACCCAGCCTGTCTGTATTCTTAAGGTAGTTGGTTACATGCATTTTCCATTTTCCTACTATTAAAGTTTCACTTGGGTCCAAAAGTAATTGTATGCATACTCAGTTCAAAGTTACTATTTATTCTCAGATAGAACCTTATTTAACAATTTGAGTTATTTTGGGCCACACCTATATTATCTGGTAAAACCAGTCAGCCTTGATTGATTTGATCCCATTAACCATCCTTCCTAGAAACAGATATATAGTTATTTTGGATCATTAACTTATGTATCTTCTATTAGTTATTTTTATTTTCATGTTGATTGGACACCCTGTGATCATTAGTAGTTAGGTTCACACAGTTCTGTTTGTCCCTGGGCTTAAAGCATCTTTGGGAACAACATTACTAAAGACTTGAGATGTGAGATTCATTTCTTGAGATGCTTCTACCATCAGGAGCATGGCTGGTTGGACTGAGTGCTTTCATATGCAGCAGATAACCACCCACTTTACAGAGAAGTAAACTTATGTATAAATTGCTTGCTTAAGCTATTTCTGTCTTTGAGTTTGTCAGTGTGAATTTTGAAGGATAAATTTTTCAACTCATAACTTTTTATAATTATGGTTCAGCTCATAATTAAAGATTCAGTTGAGGCAAGAAAAGGAAACTCACATTTCATGTAAATGAAACCACAAAGCTGTTTGGAATGTGGAGGCCAAGATAATTACAAAATTCGTCATGCAGAAACACTGCAAATACAGAAAATTCAGTGTTTAACCTAGTGATCGCTATGGGAAAAATAAATTGACTAAGTACTAAACTTTTTTCTGTAGGTTATTTTAAAAAGTCAATTCAAACTAAAACACTTTCACCATTAACACTAGGCAAACATACTATAATGTAAAACAATAATAAAAAATATATTTATATGCTGGGACTTTTCACATACAAGGTACCAAAAGTAAATGAAAAATGAATTGGTCATCCTGATTATGGGCGGATTTGCCCCCTTCTGAGTTTTAAATGTACCTGCATGATTTACAGTATCTTACATTTTTTTCTCCAAATATTTTGGATGTTTGACAAATAGATTCTATGTGCTAGTGTCCTTTTAAAAGTAATAATTATATATGCCCAGTAAAAATAATTCAAACTCTTTGAAAGGGTTAATAAATGAAAAGTAAATATCTTCCTCTCTTATCCAGACTCACAAAAAATAGTGTTTGCTTTTACAATTATATGTATATGTGTGGGTATAAATAAATGTATATATGCCCCTTTTATATAATGAAATCATAGTATATATGCATATCTGCAACTTGCTTTCTATCCCATTTCTCAATATATTTTAACAAAATTTCCATATCAGTACATATAAATACACTTTGAGTATTCCTTATCCAAAATGCTTGGGACAAGAAGTGTTTTGAATTTTGGAATATTTGCCCCTAAATAATGAAATATCTTAGGGAAAGGAACCAAGTCTAAACATAAAATTCATTTATGTTTCATATACACCTTGTTCATATAGCATGAAGATAATTTTATTTTTCTTTCAGGGATACTGATAATCTTTGTATTGTGTGTCTGTGTTTTGATTGTGACCTGTCACATTCAGGTGTGGAATTTTCCATTTGTGGTATCATATTGACACTCAAAAAGTTTGGGATAGGCCGGGTGTGGTGGCTCACGCCTGTAATCCCAGCACTTTGGGAGGCCAAGGCGGGCGGATCACGAGGTCAGGAGATTGAGACCATCCTGACTAACATGGTGAAACCCTGTCTCTACTAAACAAAATACAAAAAATTAGCCCGGTGTGGTGGCGGGCGCCTGTAGTCCCAGCTAGTCTGGAGGCTGAGGCAGGAGAACGGCGTGAACCCGGAAGGCGGAGGTTGCAGTGAGCCTGGATCGCGCCATTGCACTCCAGCCTGGGCGACAGAGCGAGACTCCGTCTCAAAAAAAAAGTTTGGGATTTTTGAGCATTTTAGGTTTTGGATTTTAGGATTAGAGATGCTCAATCTGTATAACTATTTTGGATGACTGTGGTACTGTATGAACATACCATAATCAAATTAGTAAGATTTCCCATTAATGGATGTTTAAGCTTCTAGGTGTGTGTATGTGGAGGGGGTACATTTTTCTGGCAAAGAGAACTGCACTGAAAATTTTTGTTCAACATACTATGTTTACTTGTGCTTATATAATTATAGGACAAATTTCTAGAAATAGAATTGCTAGGTAAAAGGTTGTGAATTTTTAGTTTTGATATAGATTGCCAAACTGCTCTCCCTAAAAGCTAGAGGACCAGTTTTCATTCTCATCAAAAGATTGTCTGTTTCTCCTTGCTGATACTCAGTTTTCTGAAATTGTAACATTTTGCCATTCTGACACATGAAACCTGATAGGTCTTTGATGTTTTGCATTTCCTTCATCACTTATGAAGTTTAGCATCTTTTGTAGGTTAATTAGTCATTTGTGTGTCTTTTTACACAATTATTAAAGCTTTAGTGTAACCCTTGCTCATGTTTTTCTACTTAGTTTACCTCTTTCATTGATTCGTAAGAACTCTTTGTATATTAATAGGCTTATCCTTTTTTCACAACAAATAGACTTTTTTAGTTTCTCCTTGCATTTTTAATTTTTATAGGTATTTTCACTATAAAGATAGTTCTGTTCAATCAAATTTATCAGTGTCTTTAAGAGTTTTGAGTTTTATGTTATGTTTTAAAATGTCTTTCCACTCCAGGGTTATAAATACAGTCACCCACATTTTCTTCTACTACTTCCATGGTTTTTTTTTTTAAACGTTTATTTGATTTGTTCAGGATTATTTTATTGTAAGGAATAGGTAGACATCTATGTAGTGGTATGTTGGTAAAAGATTTCAGGCATTTTGTTCCATTGGTTCTAGTTATCCTTTGCCACATATTAAATAAGTGGAGTGGCACCTGTGTATCTTATGAAATTATCATTTCTTTGGATGAATGTGATTGGTTGTATTTATTCCATGCATCATAATCATTAAGTAATTGGGAGCAGTGTATGTCCTGGGAAATAATAGCAAAGTGTCTTCTATGAAAATATCATCTCCTTGACCTAATTTGCTGCTTCCTAATACAACTAAACAAAAGGAGATGATTGATAGTGATTCTTTTGTACCACAGAAGTGGGGGTGAGTAGTGGCTTCCCGGTGGGAAAGCTGTTCTGGTATAGTTCCCCAAGGATTACACAGAAGAGCCTTCTTTTTACATTATGTGATCCTCCAGAAAAAGCATTTTCGGGACTGGTTTTCCCTGTGGAAATACATGTTTTCTTCATTGGTTCATCGGAGAGAAACAGACTAAAGATATGCTTTGTTGTTTTTGGGGAGGTGATGAAGAAAACGCCATTTAAAGTTGAGGTGCTAATGGGTAACATAATCATTTATGCTTGTATTTCTTTAAAGTCTCTATTTCAAGGTCATACTGATTGCATTTTACTTTGTCAGTACTGGTCTTTAGTATCTCAGCCTCTTCCAATGTATGTATACTACATTTGTAAACTGTAGAAGCCGTCGTTGCCTTGTTTTCAACAGGGATAATCACGTAATAGCATGGAGCTGTGCATTTACAAGTAACAACAATAAAAAAGAAATAGTCCTTTGGGAGGCCGAGGTGGGTGGATCACGAGGTCAGGAGATCGAGATCAGCCTGGCTAACACAGTGAAACCGCGTCTCTACTAAAAAATACATAAAAATTAGCCGGGCGTGGTGGCCGGCGCCTGTAGTCCCAGCTACTTGGGAGGCTGAGGCAGGAGAATGGCGTGAACCCGAGAGGCGGAGCTTGCGGTGAACCGAGATCGCGCCACTGCACTCCAGCCTGGGTGACAGAGCAGGACTCTGTCTCAAAAAAAAAAAAAGAAAAGAAAAAGGAAAAAAAAGAAATAGTCGCATCTTTAAAAACTGAAAATGAATTGACGTTATCTAATTAATTTGACATTCGATATGAGGCTGTTTGGCAGGAAATATAGGGCATTTCTGATTCAGTTGGGTCACCTCTGAACACCCGTTTGTTTAAGTGTGGTTGAGTAGGCTTTACTGATTAACAGATGAATGACCATGAGCAAGTTAGTAAGCCTCTCTTTCCACATCAAAAAAAAAAAAAAAGGGAGGGAATTACAACACCTCACAGGATTGTTGAGAAGGCTAAAAGATTAATGCATGAAGAACTCTTAGCACAGCCCTTGGCATATGTTAAACACCCCCTACCTAGGATGTTTGCTTTTATCTCTTTGCTATATTGTTATTGGTAGGGGTATTATTATTATTATTATTATTATTATTATTATTATTATTATTTGTGTGTGTGTGACGGAGTCTCGCTGTGTTGCCTGGCTGTAGTGCAGCGGCGCGATCTTGGTTCACTGCAACCTCTGCCCCCCGGGTTCAAGCAATTCTCCTGCCTCAGCTTCCTGAGTAGCTGGGACTACAGGTGTGCCTCACTACGCCCAGCTAATTTTTGTATTTTTAGTAGAGACGAAGTTTCACCATGTTGGCCAGAATAGTCTTCATCCCTTGACTTCGTGATCAGCCTGCCTCCGCCACCCAAAGTGCTAGGATTACCAGCGTGCGCCACCGCGCCCGGCCTGTTGTCTTTATTACTCAGTAGTACGATAACGTGTAGTGAAAGACTACTATGGCTACAGTCAACAATATACAATTCCTAGGTGTCTTTAGAAGTGGGACTTATTTAAGATGAACAGTAAATTCTCTGAGTTTGATTTGTTTCATTTTTGCCACCCCCACCCCCAAACCTCATTGCTTGTAAGCTCAGAAAGCATGCCTATGCATCATTTTTGAAAGGAAAATAATGTGGATATTTAATAATGTGGATATTTAATAGTGTGGATATTTACCCATAACTGTGATACAGTAAATGTGGCAGTTTTGATAATGATGTTTGGCTTTTTTGTTTTGTTTAATGCCTGCAAAATTATCCTGCCTATGGCTCCCAGAGGCCTTTCCCATGCAGCATGTTCTATAATTATATTACTGATCTAATAAACATCTATCTCTTATTGTAATAAACTCTCTTTGTGAACAGCCTCATTAATGTGCTGAAGTAATGTACCCGGGGGTATTTCCAACAATTTCATTGTAGCTGTAAAATTAGCTGCCCTAACAGCTCTACTGGTGCAAAAACTGCCACTTCAGCTCCAGTGATTGAGTCTCCTGTGGCGCCTTGCAGATCATGAAGGCACACGAAGCAGAGCTCACAGTAAAGGCACTTTGGGGCAACCAAGTCCTATAGTGTAAAACTATAGACAAACTCATTCTAATTTAATTTTGGATCAGTCTCTGAATAAATGAACCATTAGTTTATAAAGCTGAAACTTTATTTTATGGAACTTATGCTAAATGCCTAGATAATAAAGGCTTAACTATGTCTAAGCTATTTTATGTAGACAATTTTCTTCTTTCAGTTGTAAAAATTGCCTAGTTTGTTAAGTTTCTACTGTTAGGAAGTGGTAGTTTTTATTTTATTACCCTTGCAGTTTTATTAGAAAGTTATATTCTTTTAATGGAAATAACCCTTTTAAAGAATAAATGTGTTATCTCCTATTTGTTTTCATTTAGTATATATTCTTTACCTTAATCTTATATTATTTAAGTATGAGCTCTTCAGAAAGGAAATTAGGATGAAGAGGATTTCATGTATTTTTCAATATCCTGGATTCAGTAAACAGCAATTTTAACTTCTAGGCCATATAATTCTGTAATAAACTTTTTAAAAAGAATTTTAATTAATTTTACATCTGGGATACATGTGCAGGATGAGCAGGTTTGTTAACATGGGTAAACATGTGCCATGGTGGTTTGCTGTACCTATCAACCCATCACTTAGGTATTAAGCCCAGCCAGCATGCATTAGCTATTTATCCTGGTGCTCTCCCTCCCCCCATGCTGCACCCCCACCGACAGGCCCCAGTATGTGTTGTTCCTCTCCCATTGTCCATGTGTTCTCATTGTTCAGATCCCACTTACAAGTGAGAACATGCGATATTTGGTTTTTCGTTCCTGCATTAGTTTGCCGAGGATAATGGCTTCCAGCTCCATCCATGTTCCTGCAAAGGACATGATCTCATTCCTTTTTATGGCTGCGTAGTATGTATATGTGCCACGTTTTCTTTATCCAGTCTCACTGATGGGCATTTGTGTTGATTCCATGTCTTTGCTATTGTGAATAGTGCTGCAGTGAATACACATGTGCATGTATCTTTGTAACAGAATGATTTATATTCCTTTGAGTATATACGCAGTAATAGGATTGCTGGGTCAAATGTTATTTCTGATTCTAGGTTTTTAAGGAATCATCACGCCATCTTCCACAATGGTTGAACTAATTTACACTCCCACCAACAGTGTAAAGCGTTCCTCTTTCTCCACAGCCTCTCTAGCATCTGTTGTTTTTTGACTTTTTAATAATTGCCATTTCAACTGGCATGAGATGGTAAGTCACTGTAGTTTTGGTTTCCATTTCTCTAATGATCAGTGATGTTGACCTTTTTTTCATATTTTTGTTGGCTGCATATATGTCGTCTTTTGAGAAGTGTCTGTTTATGTTTTTTCCCTGCTTTTTAATGAGGTTTTTTTTTTCTTGTAAATTTAAGTTCGTTGTAGATTCTGGATATTAGACCTTTGTCTGACGGATAGATTGAAAAAATTTTCTCCCATTCTGTAGGTTGTCTGTTCACTCTGATGATAGTTTCTTTTGTGGTGCAGAAACTCTTTAGTTTAATTAGGTCCCATTTGTCAATTTTCCTTTGTTGCAATAGCTTTTGACGTTTTTGTCATAAAATCTTTGCCCATGCCTGTGTCCTGAATGGTATTGCCTAGGTTTTGTATCGTTTTGCATTTTACATGTAAGTCTTTAATCCATCTTCACTTAATTTTTGTATATATTGTAAGGAAGGGGTCCAGTTTCAATTTTTTTCCATATGACTAGCCAGTTTTCCCAGCACCACTTATTACATAGAGAATTCTTTCCCCATTGCTTGTTTTTGTCAGGTTTGTCAAAGATCAGATGATTGTAGATGTGTGGTCTCATTTCTGAGATCTCTATTCTATTCCATTGCTCAATGTATATGTTTTTGTGCCATTACCATGCTGTTTTGGTGACTATAGCCTTGTAGTATAGTTTGAAGTCAGGTAGCGTGATGCCTCCAGCTTTACTCCTTTTGCTTAGGATTATCTCAGCTATATAGGCTCTTTTTTTGGTTTCATATGATTTTTTAAAGTAGTTTTTTCTAATTCTTTGAAGAATGTCAATGGTAGTTTAATGGGAATAGCACTGAATCTGTAAATTACTTTGCGCAGTATAGCCATTTTCACGATATTTATTCTTCATATCCATGAGCATGGAATGTTTTTCCATCTGTTTATGTCCTCTCTGATTTCCTTGAGCAGTGGTTTGTAGTTCTCCTTGAAGAGATCTTTCACTTCCTTTGTTAACTGTTTTCCTAGGTATTGTATTCTCTTTGTAACAATTGTGAATGAGAGTTCATTATGATTTGGTTGTCTACTTGCCTGTTGTTGGTGTATAGGAAGCTTGTGATTTTTGCATATTGACTTTTGTGTCCTGAAGCTTTGCTGAAGTTGCTTATCAGCTTAAACTTTTGGGCTGAGATGATGGAGTTTTCTAGATATAGGATTATGTCATCTGTAAACAGAGACAGTTTGACTTCCTATCTTCCTATTTTAATACCCTTTATTTCTTTCTCTTGCTTGATTGCCCTGGCCAGAACTTCTAGTACTATGCTGAATAAGAGTGGTGAGTGAGGGCATCCTTGTCTTGTGCCAGTTTTTAAGGGGAATGCTTCCAGCTTTTGCCCATTTAGTATGATGTTGACTGTGGGTTTGTCATAAATGGCTCATATTATTTTGAGGTATGTTCCAGCAATATCTAATTTATTGAGAGTTTTTAGCATGGAGGGATGTTGAATTTTATCAAAGGACTTTTCTGCATCTGTTGAGATAACCATGTGGTTTTTGTCTTTAGTTTTGTTTCTGTGATGAATTATGTTTATTGACTTACATATGTGGAACCAGCCTTGCATCCCAGGGATGAAGCCAACTTGATCATAGTGGATAAGCTTTTTGATGTGCTGCTGGATTTGGTTTGCCAGTATTTTGTTGAGGATTTTTGCATTGATGTTCATCAGGGACAGTGGCCTGAAGCTTTTCTTTGTTGTTGTATCTCTGCCAGGTTTTGGTATCAAGATGATGCTGGCCACATAAAATGAGTTAGGGAGAAGACCCTTCTTTTCAATTGTTTGGAATAGTTTCAGAAGAAATGGTAAATGGTACTAGCTTCTCTTTGTACCTCTGGTAGAATTCAGCTGTAAATTCATCTGGTCCTGGGCTTTTTTTGTTTGGTAGGCTATTTATTACTGCCTCAATTTCAGAACTTGTTATTGGTCTACTCAGGGATTCAATTTCTTCCTGGTTCAGTCTTGGGAGAGTGTATGCATCCAGGAATTTATCCATTTCTTCTAGATTCTCTAGTTTATTTGAATAGAGATGTTTATAGTATTGTTTGGTGATTGTTTATGTTTCTTTAGGGTCAGTGGTGATATCCCCTTTATCATTTTTTATTGTGTCTATTTGATTCAACTCTCTTTTCTTCTTTATTTGTCTAGCTATTGGTATATCTATTAATTTTTTCAAAAAACCAGCTCCTGGATTCATTGATTTCTTTGAAGGGTTTTTTGTGTCTCTGTCTCCTTCAGTTCCACTCTGATCTTGGTTATTTCTTGTCTTCCGTGAGTTTTGGGGTTTGTTTGCTTTAGATTCTCTAGTTTTTTTAGTTGTGATGTTAGGGTATTGATTTGAGATTTTTCTAGTTTTTTGACGTGGGCATTTAGTGCTGTAAATTTTCTTCTTAACACTGCTTTAACTGCCTCCCAGAGATTCTGATGCATCATCTCTTTGTTCTCGTTGGTTTGAAAGAACTTATTGATTTCTGTCTTAACTGTATTATTTACCCAAGAGTCATTCAGGAGCAGGTTGTTCGATTTCTATGTAGTTGTGGGTTTTGAGTGAGTTTCTGAATCTTGAGTTCTAATTTGATTGCACTGTGGTCAGAGAGACTGGTGTAATTTCAGTTCTTTTGCATTTTCTGAGGAGTGTTTTGCTTCAGATTATGTGATCAACTTTAGAGTAAGTGCCATTTGGCACCAAGAAGATTATATATTCTGTTGTTTGTCCGGGAGAGTTCTGTAGATATCTGTCAAATCCATTTGATTCAGAGCTGAATTCAAGTCCTGAATATCCTTGTTAATTTTCTGTCTCTATCTGTGTAGTACTGACAGTGGGGTAAAGTCTCCTACTATTATTGTGTGGGAGTCTAAGTCTCATTGTAGGTCTCTAAGAACTTGTTTTATGAATCTGGGTTCTCCTGTATCGGGTGCATATATATTTAGGATAGTTAGCTCTTCTTGTTGAATTGACCTTTACCATTACATAATGCCCTTCTTTGTCTGTTTTGATCTTTGTTGGTTTAAAGTCTGTTTTGTCAGAAACTAGGATTGCAACCCCTGATTTTTTCTGCTTACCATTTTCTTGGTAAATTTTCCTCCATCCCTTTATTTGAGCCTACATGTGTCTTTGTATGTGAGATGGGTCTCTTGAATACAGCACACTGATGGATCTTTAGTCTTTATCCTGCTTGCCATTCTGTGCCTTTTAATTGGGGCATTTATGCTGTTTTACATTTAAGGTTGATATTGTTATGTGTGAATTTGATCCTGTCATCATGATGCTAGCTGGTTATTTTGCAGACTTGTTAATGTAGTTGCTTCATAGTGTCATTGGTCTTTGTACTTCAGTATGTTTTTGCAGTGGCTGGGAATGGTTTTTCCTTTCCCTATTTAGTGCTTCCTTCAGGAGCTCTTGCAAAGCAGGCCTGGTGGTGATGAATTCCCTCAGCATTTGCTTGTCTGAAAAGGATTTTACTTCTCCTTAACTTATGAGCTTAGTCTGGCCAGATATGAAATTCTGGGTTGGAAATTCATTTCTTTGGGAATTATGTTGAATATTGGCCCCCAGTCTCTTCTGCTGAGAGGTTATGCCATTAGTCTGATGGGCTTCCCTTTGTAGGTGACCTGGCCTTTCTGGCTGCCCTTAACATTTTTTTCTTCATTTTGACCTTGGAGAATCTGATGATTATATGTCTTGGGGTTGAAATGGTGGAATATCTTACTGGGATTCTCTGCATTTTCTGAATTTGAACGTTGGCCTGTCTGGATAGGTTGGGGAAGTTCTCTTGGATGATATCTGGAAGTATGTTTCCCAACTTGGTTCCATTCTCCCCGTATCTTTTCAGGTACCCCAGTCAGTTATAGGTTTGGTCTTTTTATGTAATTCCATAGTTCTCAGAGGTTTTTTTTGTTTCTTTTTATTATTTTTTCTCTAATCTTGTCTGCCTGTCTTATTTCAGCAATATAGTCTTCAAGCTCTGAAATTCTTTCCTCTGCTTGGTCTATTTGGTTATTGATACTTGTGGTTGCATTGCGAAGTTCTTGTATTGTGGTTTTTCAGCTCCGTCTGTTCATTTATGTTCCTCTGTAAGCTGGTTTTTCTGGTTAACAGCTCCTGTAATGTTTTATCATGATTCTTAGCTTCTTTGCATTGGGTTACAACATGCTCCTTTAGCTCAGTGAAGTTTATTATTACTCACCTTTGAAGCCTACTTCTGTCAATTCCACCATCTCAGCCTCTGCCCAGTTCTCTACCCTTGCTGGAGAGGTATTGCGATCATTTGGAGGAGAAGAGACACTCTGGCTTTTTCAGTTTTCAGCCTTTTTTTTTTTTTTTTTTTTTTTGATGATTTCTTATCTTTGTGAGATTATCTAGCTTTGATCTTTGAGGCTGCTCGCCTTTGGATGTGGTTTTTGTGGGGAGTTTCCTGTTGATGCTGTTGTTGTTATTGCTTTCTATTTGTTTGTTTTTCTTTTAATAGTCAGGCCCCTCTTCCATAGGGCTGCTTCAGTTTGCTGGGTGTCCACTCCAGACCCTATTTGCCTAGGTCCCTCCCACACCTGGAGGTGTCACCAGTGGAGGCTCCAGAAAAGCAAAGATGGCTGCCTGCTCCTTTTTCTGGAATCTCTGTCCCAGAGGTGCACCAACCTAATGCCAGTTGGAATGCTCTTGTATAAGGTGTCTGGCAACCTCTGTTGGGGGCTCCTACACAGTCAGGAGGCATGGGATCTGGGACCCACTTAAGGAAGCACTTTTGGTCCTTCTGGTGGAGGAGGTGTGCTGCACTGGGGGGAATCCCACTTGTCCAGACTGCCCGGATTCCTCAGAGCCAGCAGGAGGAAAGACTAAGTCTGCTCATCCTAAAAGACCATGGCTGCCCCTCCCCCCAGGGGCTCAGTCCCAGGGAGATCAGGGTTTTGTCCCCAAACCCCTGCCTGGAGTTGCTGAAATTGCTGCAGGGAGGCACTGCCCAGTGAGGAAGGATAGGTCAATCTGGCCACTATATGCCACAGCTGCTGTGCTGCCCTGTGAAGAATTCCTCCTGGATCCAAACCATCTAGTATCTCCAGCACTGGCAGGGGAAAGATGGCAGACTGGAGCTGCGGTGATGGTAGCCACCCCTGCCCCTGGGAGCTCAGTTGTCTTAGGCAACAGGCAGCCACAGTGATGATGACCACCCCTCCCCACAAGAACTCCGTAATCTTAGGTTGTCTCCAGCCGAGTGGCCACTGAAAATCTATAAACTCTGTGCTTGGGGCCCAAGGCCCTGGTGGTGTTGGCTCATGAGGGGGATCTCTTGATCTGTGGGTCGCATAGATCCATGGAAAAAGCATGGTTTCCCGGGCAGGGTAGCATGATCACTCACTGCCTCTCTGGCTGGGGGTGGGAGCTCCCTTGCCCTGTGTGGCTCTCAGGTGGGCTGTTGTACCACTCTGCTTTTCCTCACTCCCCATGGGTCAAGACAACCGCGTAGTCAGTCCCAGTGAGAGAACCTCTATACCTCAGTTTTTGGTGCAGGATTCACTTGCTGTTTACATTCTTCTTGGTGGGAGCCTCCAACTGCAACTGTTTCTATTCGGCCATCTTGGCCCCTCCTCTGTAAGACGCTTTTGAATCTTATAACCAAAAAGCCAAATTTTCAAGTTTCTTTATTCCTCATTTGATGGTCATAGGAAACCACGATGCTCTATTATTAGAGTTGTTAAAGGCAGCCTGAGCCCGTCCTATCTTTTCCATTGATTGTAGCAAGTCTTGGATTTGACCACTAAATGAGGGTTATTACACAGGATGCCTAGCAAATTTTCCCTTTTTTAAATTTTAGAGGTAGGAAAGACAGATTTATATCACACATTTGAATTAGAAAACGTACCATAAGCACATTGTAACAATTCAAGCAATATAGAAGTGATTAAAGTAAAACGGAAGTCTTCCTCTGTCGTGACTCCACCCCCAGTGTAACCCCTGTTTACATTTGGCATGTGTCCTTGCATCCTTTTCCCTGCTTACTGTCAAAGCACTTATCTCAGTGATTTTCTTTCTTTGGTTTTTGCTTTCATTTGTAAAAATAGGACCATACACAAAATAGTATACATATTTTGTAACTTGCTTTTATTTTTATTTATTTCAATATTATGGACATCTTTTCCAAGTCTGTACTTATATGTCAATCTCATTCTTTTTAATAGCATGGTATTTTATAGTATGAATGTACAATGGTTTATTTGATTCAAACATCTTCTGATGGATGGCCATTCAGATTGTTTCCAGTTATTTTCCATTATAAATGTAGTACAAAACACATGTTTGTGTAGTACTTCTGAATTTCCTTTGATTAGATAAACTCCAGAAGTGAGATGGTTAGATATAAACACGTTTTTATTTTATAAGTACTAGTTACCATATAACTTCTCAAAAGATTCTAACAGTTTATACTCTAATTAAACAGTGTATAAATGTACTTGCTTTTCTACATCTTTACCAGCACTACATTTTCTGAGTCTTTAAAATTTTTTGTCCATTTGATAGGTAAAAATGACGTATCACAAACTTTCAATTTGGACTGCGGCTATAGCAGTAAGAAAAAAAAGGAAATACAGGCATATGAATATGTGTAACATTAAGGCATTAAATGTGGAAATATAGAGAAGTAGATGATTTTACAGAAAAGTATAAATTATCAAAATTGACATCAGAATAGATAAAAATATCAAACTTAAACATTCTTAAAATGTGATCATCTAATGATTTAAGCATCTCACCTTCTATTTAAATAGGAATAGGAATCTGCAAGGTGTAATTTCACCACAAGCAGGTGGAAAAGAAAAGATCCAACAAAGAAATCTTACAAGTATTTATAGCCTGTAGCAATTCAAAGATGTGAATATAAATATCACCAAAGCAAACACTGTTAAGTAAGACAACCAATCAGAATTTTTTGTTTTAAAAGACAAATGTTGATTTCACAGGACATGATCACCCTTTCTGCCTTCTAGGTATCTTACAAGACTTCTTTATTAGAAATAACACTTTCAAGGACTATTTATGACACAGAATATAATCTCCTTTTCTGTAGCTGCAGGGAAAGAGGAAACATTTTTCTCTTTATTATTCTGCTAAGATTTCTTTCACAAGCAGTTAGGAGGGCTGCCAGTTTAAAGGGTAAATACCAGAATTCCATTAGTTCTTATCAAAAGAAAAAAAAAATCTTCTAATATGAAAAAACAAACAACAAACAAGTGGATCATTGTGATCTGATATTTTGCATCTACAAGATCTTTAATTAGAATGTTGTCAAGCTTAGATGGTTTTACGTGTGCATTCAAAATTTTCAAGAAGTAGACAACTCCTGTGCTATCTAAATGATTTGGAGTGTAGAGAGAGTTAAAGCTTCCTGGTTCATTTTCATGAAGCTATAATAAGTCTCATACCATAACCTACTTTAAAACAGCACAGAACAATTGAAGAAAACTTTCATTTAGGAATATAGGCAAGAAAATCCCCTCCCCACAAAAAAGAAAATTAAATCTAGCAGTACATTACTTAATATAACCAAATAATATTTGATTCTGGAATTCAGGAATAGTTCAAGCACTAGAAAAACATCATCTAATATTTTAAGAAATTGAAGGCGAACAAAAACATGATTGTAATTATTGATGCTAAAAAGTTCAGCTAGCAATTCTTCCTTTTTTAGAACTCTATTTAAGATAGAGTGAGTCTCCCAAACATATTGAAGGTTATTTTCTTAAAGTCAATAGTAAACATTTTAAATAAAGAAACTCTAAATGCATTTTCATTAAAATTGCAAGAGAAGAATGCCACTACTAGTCAACAGTGTTGGGGAGGGTGCAGGCAGTATGATACAGGTAATGCTGTAAGATGAGAGAAATAAATCTGCAGTCTAAAATCATTATTTGCAGTTAATAAGATTGTTATACCTAGAAAAAAGAAATTACAACAAAAAATTTGTTGTTACTAAAGAGCATATTTTAGTAGGCAGGTATTATATAATACACAGAAATTAATAGCTTTTCTTTTCTTTTCTTTTCTTTTTTTTTTGAGATGGGGTCTCACTTATTTGTTTCCCAGGCTGGAGTGCAGTGGCGTGATCTCAGCTCATTGCAACCTCCGCCTCCCAGGCTCAAGCAATTCTTCTGCCTCAGCCTCTCAAATAGCTGCGACTACAGCCATGCACCACCATGCCCAGTTCATTTTTGTATTTTTAGTAGAGACAGGCTCTCGTCTTGTTGGCCAGGCTGGTCTCAAACTCCTTACCTCAAGTGATTTGCCTGCCTCAGCTTCCCAAAGTTTTGGGATTACAGGTGCAAGCCACCGCGTCTGGCCGGCTTTTTTTTTTTTTTAATAATACTGACATTAAATTGAAAGAACCAGGCCGGGCACGGTGGCTCACACCTGTAATTCCAGCATTTTCGGAGGCCGAGGGAGGCGGATCACCTGAGGTTGGGAGTTTGAGACTAGCCTGGCCAACATGGTGAAGCAGAATCTCTACTAAAAATACAAAAATTAGCCAGGCATGGTAGCTGGTGCCTGTGTAATCTCAGCTGCTCGGGAGGCCAAGGCAGGAGAATCACATGAACCCAGGAAGTGGAGGTTGCAATTAGCCGAGATTGCACCACTGCACTCCAGCCTGGGTGACAGAGTGAGACTCCATCTCAAAAAAAAAAAAAAAAAAAAAAAAAGAAAGAACTGGAAAACTGAAAAATCCCTTACACAGAAGTGTG
Source organism: Homo sapiens (assembly GCF_000001405.40). Taxonomy (NCBI): domain Eukaryota; kingdom Metazoa; phylum Chordata; class Mammalia; order Primates; family Hominidae; genus Homo; species Homo sapiens. The sequence goes on along the minus strand of NC_000003.12, from coordinate 41,420,433 downwards.
AAATCATCCTATAAAATGGCCAAAAATAAAGGTAACAAGAAAATACAAGTCATGATTACTTGTACATGATAACTATAGGAAAAATTTGAAAACATAAAATATGATGTAAATGAAATCACAGATGTGCCAGGTACCTGGTGGGAAGACTATCATTAAAAATATTAATTACTCCAAAATTAAAATATAAATTTAAAGTAATTATAATCTCACCAACCTTTTCTTTTAAGTGTATTAAAAACGATCCTACAAAATAAATGTGAGAGACTAACCAAGAAAATTTTTAACAGGAAGGCCTCTTTTTGTTACTCTTTTTTTTTCCTTACATTTATCTCCTGTCTCTCACAGGTCCTCTTTAGAGAAAAAAAGAGGAACTCAAAAAGGAATAAACTTACGTTAATGAAGAGAAAGGGGAAAAGGAAGTCAGTGGCAGATTAAGATTTCAACCTACTTCTGGGAGACAGGAGGCATATGGAAGCCTTTGGCACAGGGCGGAGGAAGCCCAGTGCCAAAACACCCTGTGAGGGGTCACAGTGGCGGTGGGCAGTGGCTTCCCCACAGAAACCCCGCAGCACCCCTGGCCTCAGGAAGAGATGGAAAGAGGCATTTTCAGAAGTCTATAAGGAACAGCTCTGCCATTTCATCCTTCTTATGCCCTTCCTCAGTTTACTGCATGCCAGAGAACAAGCAGCCCAGCACGTACCCCCGGGCCTTCACAGTGATGCCAGCACTTTGCTCCAGTGAAGTTGAAGCTGAGCAGAAATCAGATAGTACCCCAGAGTAAAGCAGTCCTGAGTTTCTGCAGAGTGCTGGTGGTAGAAATGGTGAGGTTTCCCTAAAGAGAAACTTTCCAAGCTCCACCGCCACCACTGCAGGGCGGTGTTACCACCTCTCACCACAAGTGATGTCATTCAGCTGCTTGCTTTCCATGGTGTCTATGCTTTGAGGATTTCCAAATTTGTATCTTTAGCCATGACCTGTCCCCTGAACTCCATTCTTGTAAATCTACTGCCTAAATAATACCTCCACGAGAGTGTCTGAGTCAGTGGTGATGTGAGCCATAGGATGGTGATCTAATTGACCTTTTTGCAGGCTCCATGTTATCCTACTCTCCTCTCTGACCTCGTTTTCTAGCCTCTCCTTGTACATTCAGTGAGTCATGCTGCCTCCCTGCTGGTCCTCAGAAACACCGAGCACACTGCTGTCATGGAGCTTTTTTTTCCCCCAACATTTTTATTATGAAAGTTTTCAAACAGAAACGCTGAAAGAATTGCACAGTAAGCACATATATAATTGCCACCTGCATTGTTTAACAGTTTTCTACATTTATTTTATCATTTATCCATTTATCTATCAATCTATCTTACTTTTTGATGCATTACAAAGTAATGCCACAGGACTTATGAACTTGGTGTTCTAACCTCGTAAGACTCTTTCCTCCAACATTCACATGACTCCTTCCCTCACTTGCATAGGCTGTCTGTCCAAAGAACACTTCTCAAAGAACCCTTTTCTAACAACTCTGTGTAAAATGGCCTGACATTTTATAATGTGCCCATTCATGCACTGTCTGCCAGCCCCTCTAGAGTGAGAGCTCCAGGAGGGAGGGGCTTCACCTGTGTGGTCCACCTGTTCCTTTAGCATCAGGACAATGCCTGACTCATAGTAGGTGCATTTGGCAGAGACTTCAAGTTCTCCACCAATATCCATTCTCCTGTGAATACTGTAGGGACTGCAAAACTCTACCTCATCCTCTTAGGGTCCTGAATGGTCCCAAGAATTAAATTGACATGAGATAGATTAAAAGCATACACATTTCTTTAGAATAGGTTTTTACATGGCATGGGAGTTCTCATAAGGAAATGAAGACTAGATTAGGAAATGAAGACCAGAAAAAGTAGTTAAAGCAGTCACTTATATACTGAACTGGACAAAGAGTAGTACAGTTGACCCTTGAACAACACGGGTTTGAACTGTACAGGTCCACTTCTACGTGGACTTTTAAAAATTTTTTGGAAAATTTTTTGCAGATTTGTGACAGTTTGAAAAAACTTGCAGACAAACTGTGTAGCTTAGAAACGTGCCCCCCCCCCCGCCAAATTAAGAAAAAAAGTATGTCATGAATGTTTAAGATACGTGTAGTACTAGTCTATGTGTCAATTGACTGTTTATGTTATCAGTAAGGCCTCCAATCAACAGTAGGCTATTAGTAGTTAAGTTTGGGGAAGTCAAAAGTTATATGCAGATTTTGGACTGTGTTAGGAACAGAGGGTTAATGCTCCTAACCCTGTGTTGTTCAAGGGTCAACTTATAGTTGTGAAAAAGCGATAAGGCAAAGGAGCTTGGACTAAGGTAGATTATTGGGTATGGAAGTAGCTAGGAAGGTAAGGGTTAATTTAACAAGGCTTGTTAGAACAGAATTCCCTTAGTCTCAACTTTCTCATTCTTGATGATAAAAATGTATTATCTTTTGCATGGGAATTTCATCTCCTGCTTTTGAAAAACAGCACGAAGGTCAGAGTGATCTTTTTGCACCTGCTGTTTTTCAAGTGGCTTTAACTTAAATAGACAGTATACCAGAGTAGTTAGTATGTTTTTAATTCTTTCAACAGCCAGAATAAAAACTACATTTCCCAGCCTCCCTTTTGCCTTGACGTGACCATATGACTGTCCATAGTCAAGCCAGTGAGAAGCGAACAGAAGTGATGTGTGTCAGTTCTGGTATCAGCTCTTAAAAGGACTGCATGTGTGCTTACCTGCCTTTTCTCTTGTTCCTGCTGCCTAGATGGGAGGAGCCTCTGTATACCTCAAAAAGTAACAGGCACCCAGGGTTTGCAGAGTCAGCCTCTCTGCATTAAGTACAATCAGTTATCTGCCTTCTTGGAGCTCTCCCAGGGGGAGCCTTACTGCTCAGAGATGTGTTTTCCCCTATACTAGGCTAACCCCAGCCTTCTGTGAGCTCTTCATACCTGGTCACAGCCTCCTCCAACCCCATATCTCTCCTCAGAAAGCTACCTGTGTCACATTTTCCTCCCTCTTTCAGGTGTTTCAGCTATGTTTTGTCACCTTGTCTTGCCTGAGCTTCTAGACATATTCCCCTTCCTTTACCAGGCTCTCTTCCCTGAGAGTTTCACTGATGATCTCTCCTTACTAGACCCCCAACATCCTTATCTTAGCTCAGTTACTAGTAGAAAGCTTTTTCTTCCTTCCAGAATCACGTCTAAGTCTGATGCCTCTGGAGTTTCTCCTGGAACAAGTGCTGTGCAGAACAGAATGCTTCACTGCATCAACGTATGCTTCACTCTTCACTGTCTCTCACGTGCGTAGAGGCAGAAGAGAGTGGGCTTCCAGGTGGTCACTCCTTGGCCCCCAGTAGCTTCCTGTTAGCTCTAATGCATTCTGCGTCTTCACATGGTGCTCCTCAAGGGCTGTACCATGGCATCCTTTTGGTAATGTTCCTATCACATGTACATTTCAGTGCACTTTCAGCTGAGCAGAGGATGCCCATCAGGGTGTCCTACCCCCGACTCTCCTTCATGAAATGCTTTAATTCCTTATTCTAACTCTAGTCTCTTTCATGCCCAAATGCTGTCTCATTTGGACAAATTTGGGTCCCCCTTTCTCCCTCCTTTTCCTCCTGGGTAATTAAAGTAGGTACATTGGTCACGTGTTTCCCTGTTTCACATGGGGCATTTCAGGCCCTGTGTTGCAGCTCTGTCTTTCCCACAGGCATCCCTACTGCCTTACTCAGGCTGTGTTTCCTAATAATTTTATTGTGGATCTCTTTTCTCCTTTTCTTTTTCCTGCCAGCACTATAGTAAACCTCTGTAGTATCACTAAGTATTGCCTATGTCACTATGGAAATTTGATCATTTTTCTGTTGTAAAGTATTCAAAGGGAAGAGCCACTAGAAGCAAATAGTTTTGTTTTGAGGGGTATAGCAGTTGAAAAATCAAATGCTTCAAAGAGGCCTTTTGTTACATGACGGCGTCATTCTAGGCATGAAGAAATTGGGAGGGTGAGGACCCAGGAGAGTCCCTGCCAGGTTAAGCTCTGCTCAGTGCTTGCCACAATGTAATGAGGACCTGTGGTGGTCACTTCTGATTTTACAGAAAAAAATAGGAAATACGAGATTTTATGTGAAATATTCCAATTTTTAAATGTTGGAAACTGATATTAAATCTTTAAAAATACCAGACCAAGTAAAACAAGTCTGTGGGGACAAATTTGTCCCAGGGCCTACCAGTTTACATCTTCTCTGTCAGGTCTTGAAACTCTTGTCCTAGACCCAAATCCTTTTATTTATGTGTTTAACACAGTGTTCCTATTGTTACTGCTGTATCAGCGTGGTCATTTCTATAGAAATGTGTGACTTCTCAGTGTGATTTTATGAAGATCGTATAGCCACATTTTTTCCTAGAGGGGAGTTACTTTATGAAAGTCATTGGAACAATAATGTTTGACATATAAAAATTCACATCATTTGCATTACTTGAGGGTATCTCTCTTTTCTCATTCTTCTTTTGCTCCGGATCACTTGCCATTGGGGTCTTTTCACTGACACACTTATTTGGCACATTATTTGCTGGGTGCTGTCTACCAGGTACATAAGACAGGCGGAGAGTCGGCTTCCATGGGCTGAGACAAATGAATAGACATGGTCATTTCTAGGAGTGACGAGTGATCTGAATAGTGAAGAGGAAGAGGTCTTACTGCATTGAAGAGTGGCTTTGGTGTTGGGAAAGGCAGAGTGGGAATAAGATGAAGATCTTTATATTAGGAGGCCAGGGAAGAACTCTCTTAGGAGGTGACCTTTGAACTGAGCCGTGATTTATGTGGAGGCACCCTTTTGAAAATAGGCAGTGAATACCCCAGGCAGAGGAGATTGCAGATGCAAATACCCTGAGCGGCACCGTGCTTGATAAGTTTAGAGGAGTGAGGGAAGGCCAGTGTTTAGGCTTAATGAGCAAGGGGCAGAGGTGGGGTGCTGGTGAGATGGGGAAAATGGATTGTAGGGGCACAGGTTTGTAGGGGCACAAGATTGTAGGAGCATAGTGGAGCATTGGTTACTTCTTGGGTGGCTGTCTCAAACCCATGTCTCTCATCCAGTGGTGACAGAATCCACCTGAATGTCTAAAGTAGGGAGAGCAGAAAAGACAGGATCAGGCCAGAGCTTTTCTACAGAACTCAGCATCCTAGCATTCACTGTTAACACATTTATCCTCTGTGGTTTCCGAAACCTTGCTGCTTCAGTAGAATTGTTTAAATCTCCTATTTTGACTTTTTAAATGAGTGATGCTTTCCGCTTCTTTTGTTATTGACATGAAACTGTCCGTTCATAATGTACATGGAAAGAGCCTTAGGAAAGTTAATTAGGGCAGTGCAGGAGGCCCAGAAGGCAAGGTTGAGCTTACCTATCTGTGATTTTCAACTTGTTTTTACATTTCTTTTTTAACACCCTGGTACTCTATTCTGTGATATGTGGACTCAAAACTAAATTAGTAAAAATGGTGGCAGGTTTTCTGCCTTCTAAATTCCCACATTTAAAAATATAGTGTACCTGGGATCAAAGGAGACCAAGTATCCTTCTCAAGAGAAAGGGGACGGTGTCAAGGCCCTGCGCAATAGTGTTTCCTTGAGCTGTGTCATCTGGAATTACCACCATTCATCAGCTTAATGATATTTTCTGCTGCCTCTTCAGCTGAGTTTGGGCAGGAGTGATATATGAAAGTGAAGTGGAACAGTATTGGTGGCCTAATGGGAAATCTTTTGTTAAAGGTGTCCTAACAAAATAGACGAGTCTATTCTTCAAGTGCTTTTTGGTAGTATAAAAGTAAGTGATTATTTTTTTCTTTCTTGGCTAGTTAATATCTTTTCTGAAAGTAAATATTTTTCATATACTTTTTGACAAAGCACTGAACCAGGCATTATTTTTAAAATAGAATATAAAATGTGAAAGATTTTGAAATGCATTATATTGTGTAGATTGGATAACGGAAAGTAAATACAACACAACTGTGATTTTAAATTGTTGTAAAACAGTTTTTAAAATTCAAATGTAAGTTTACTATGAAGTATTTCCAAGTTGTATGTGTGTATTCACTTATATATCATCTCTCCCATAAAGCATTTGAGGTGGCTAATAAGAGTGCTTGCAATAAAGTTAGGTTTGACAGAAAATACAAGATGCCGAATGGATATAGTTTTTTGTTTGTTTGTTTGTTTGTTTGTTTTTGAGATGGAATTTCGCTCTTGTTGCCCAGGCTGGAGTGCAATGGCACGATCTCTGCTCACCGCAACTTCCGCCTCCCAGGTTCAAGCGATTCTCCTGCCTTGGCCTCTCGAGTAGCTGGGATTACAGGCATGTGCCATGCCTGGCTAATTTTGTATTTTAAGTAGAGACGGGGTTTCTCCATGTTGGTCAGGCTGGTCTCGAACTCCTGACCTCAGGTGATCCGCCTGCCTCGGCCTCCCAAAGTGCTGGGATTACAGGCGTGAGCCACTGTGCCCAGCCCCAAATGGACGTACTTATACTAAAAATGATTTTTTTATCTGAAGTTCAAAGGTATCTGGGCGCTCCTTTTTCTAAGTCTGGAAACCCCAAATAAAGTGGGAAGCATGAAGAAAGCAATGGAAATAATATAGGGTGAAGTTTCTAGAAAAAGGAGTCTAATATAATTACCAAAGTTGGGCCATAGTTTTGATTTGGGGAGTTCTGGTTCCCAGACAAAAAAGAAAATATAATTATTTATAAGATGTACATTGCCCAGAAAGGAGGAGGAAAAGAAAACAAAAAAGACGGTTCCATGGGGCAAGAAAGATTTTCTGGTTAAGGGTTTGAAAGAATACTTTTTTATGGATCTCCATTAAAGGTACACTTTGTGATGAGGAGGGTAATGGTGGTAATATCTACTTTTTATTGAGCATTTTATTAACTAGACAATGACTTTTGAACTATTTTTAATTTAGATGAAGTCAGTTTTATCAATTTTTCCTTTTGTCATTCATTCTTTTGCAATTATGCCTATTAAACCTTTCCCCAATCCAAGGTAAAAATATTTTCTCCCATGTTTTCTCTTAGAAATTTTATAGTTTCAGCTTTTATATTCACGCCTGATATGGCTTGGCTGTGTCCCCACCCAAATCTCATCTTGAATTTTAGCTCCCATAATCCCCTCATGTTGAGGGAGGGACCCAGTGGGAAATAATTTAATCATGGGGGCAGTTTCCCCCATACTGTTCCCCTGGTAGTAAGTCTCACGAGAGCTGATGGTTTTTTAAGGGGAAACCCCTTTCACGTGGCTGTCATTCTTCTCTTGTCTGCTGCCTTGTGAGATGTACCTTTCACCTTCCGCCATGATTGTGAGGCCTCCCCAGCCATGTGGAGCTGTAAGTCCATTAAGCCTCTTTTTCCTTATAAATTACCCAATCTCTGGTATGTGTTTATCAGTAATGTGAGAACAGACTACTACAAGGCCTTTTATCCTTTTCCAGTTTATTTTGTTACATGATGCAAGGGCAAGGTAAAAGTGTATGGCTTTGCATATTTAAGCATTTTTTGAAAATGTATTCTCTTGGCCAGGCACAGTGGTTCATGCCTGTAATCCCAGCACTTTGAGAGGATGAGACAGGTGGATTACTTGAGGCCAGGAGTTCGAGACCAACCTGGGCAACATGGCAAAACCCCGTCTCTACTAAAAATACAACAAATTAGCTGGGCTTGGTGGTGCATGCCTGTAATCCAGTTACTTAGGAGCCCGAAGCATGAGAATCACTTGAACCTGGGAGGCAGAGGTTGCATTAAGCAGAGATTGCGACACTGCACTCCAGCCTGGGCAACAGAGCGAGACTCTGTCTCAAAAAAAAAAAAAAAAAAAAAAAAATTCAACTGCATTGCCATTGACCTTTATCAGAAATCAGTTGACTTATGTGAGCCTATGGGCTCCTCCTCAGATTTGCTTTGGCTATTCCATGTTCTTTACATTTCCATATGAAACTTTGACATGGCTTGTCAATTTCTACCAAAAAAAAAAAAAAACTTGGGGGATTTTGTATTGAGATTGTGTTGAATCTACAAAGTAATTTGGGGAAAATATTGGGAACAACATCAAGTTAACTAATGAACAAGGTATAGCTTTCCATTTATTTAAGTCCTTTTTACTTTCAGCAATATTTTGTATTTTTCATGCACATGTCCTTCATCCTGTGTCAGATTTATCCCTAAGCATTTCAAATTTTTTTATGCTATTATATTGGTATTGTTTTAATTTCAATATCTGATTGGTACTTACGTGAAAATTGCAATAGATTTTGTGTTTTTTTCCTTGAATCCTGCAACTTTGTTAAACTCACTCGTGGACTCCAGTACCTTGTTTGTTAATTACATCTGATTTTCTACATACAGGATCAGACTTACGCAAATAAAGTTACTGTATTACTACTTTTCCAATCTGGATGCCACTGGGTGGAGCTTCAGGTAGGGGGTGTGCTGATTGCATTGGCCAGAAATTTCCAAACAGTGGTGAGAGGAGACATCCTGTCTGTCTTCGTAATTTCAGGGGAAAGCATTCAGTCTCCTACACAACCTTTATCAGGTTGAGGAATGTCCACGAAAAGAGGGGCGGGGGAGGCTTCCAGGTTATAGGTAGATTTAAAATTTTTCTGATTGGCAATTGGTTGAAAGAGTTATTATCAATAGAAAGGTTGCTGGGCACGGTGGCTCATGCCGTTAATCACAGCACTTGGGGAGGCCAAGGCAGGTGGATCACCTGAGATCAGGAGTTCGAGACCAGCCTAGCCAACATGGTGAAACCCTGTCTCTACTAAAAATACAAAAATTAGATGGGCATGGTGGCACCTGTAATCCCTGTAGTCCCAGCTACTTGGGAGGCTGAGGCAGGAGAATCACTTGAACCCCGGAGGCAGAGGTTGCAGTGAGCTGAGATAGCGCCACTGCACTCCAGCCTGGGCGACAGAGTGAGACTCTGTCTCAAAATAAAAATAAAAAAAAAAAAAAGAAAGGAATGTCTGGATTATGATAAGAGGTTGTGGAGAACAAAGTTTTAACATGCAGATAAAGCCTCTAAGTAGCAGGCTTCACAGAGAATAGATTGTAAATGTTTCTTATCAGACCAAAGGTATGTGTTGATGTTAATGCTGGAGGTATAATGAGGCATGTCTAGACCCCCCACTTCCCTGAACCAGTCTTTCAGGTTCAATTATAGAGTGCCCTGGCTGAGGATGAAGACCATTCAGATGTTCGAGGGACCTTAGGATTTTGTTTTTGATTTACAAGAAGTTCCCTTCTACCCCTAGTTCACATTGTAAATAGATGTTGGATATTGTCAAATACTTTTTCTATTGAGATGATCTTGTGTTTTGGGGTACATTGTTATGGGTTAACTTGTGTCCTCTGGAAAAGATAAAGTCCTAACCTCCACTCCTGTAGAATATCCTTATTTGTAAATAGTGTTTTTGCAGATATAGTTAAGATGAAGTTATACTGGAATATGGTGGGTCCTCAATCCAATATGACTGGTGTCCTTTCGAGAAGACAGCCACGTAGAGACAAAGACACTTGGGGGAATGGCATTTACTTATGCTGTCTTTGTCTAGTTTTGTTTCATTTTTCCCTGTCCCTGGTGGTAGGTGACTGTCTAGTTTGGGTATCAGGACAATGTTGAACTCAGAGAATGAATTAGAAAGTATTTTTCCTTTTCAGTTTTCTTGAAGACTTTGTGTACAATTAGCATTTTTTATAACAGTTTTATTGAGCGATAATTCACATACCATAAAATTAACCTCTCAAAAGTACATAATTCAATATTTTTGTATATTGTGCAACCATTATCTAATTCCAGAATATTTTCATCATGCCCAACAGCAGCCTCATACTCATTAAAAGTCATTCCCCATTCCCTCCCCTCTACAACTCTAGTCAATCACTAATTTACTTTCTATTTCTATAAACTGGCCTATTTTGGGTATTTCATATATATGGAAATATATAATTTGATTTTTTTGTTCTCTTAGCTGTATGTTTTCAGGATTCTTTCATGTTTATAGCACGGATCAGTGCTTCATTCCTTATTATTCCTAAATAATATTCCATTATATGAGTGTATCGCATTTGTGTATCCATTCATCAGTTGATGGACATTTCAGTTGTTTTCACTTTTTGGCTATTATGAATAACATTGCTATGAACATTTGTGTACAAATTGTTATGTAAACATAGACTTTCTTTTTTTCAGTATATACCTGGGAGCTGGGTCATATAGTAAATCTGTGTCTAACTTTTAAAGGAACTGGTTTCCAGAGTGCCTCCACCATTAACATTTCCACTAGCAGTATATGAGGGTTTCAGTTTCTCCACATACTCACCAACTGCTTGTTACTGTCTGTGTTTTTGATTGTAGTCCTTCTATGGAGTATGAACTGATATCTCATGGTGGTTTTAATTTGCATTTTCTTTTCTTTTTTTTTTTTGAGACCGGGTCTCGCTCTGTCACCCAGGCTGGAGTACAGTGGCGTGATCTCTGCTCACTGCAACCTCTGCCTCCTGGGTTCAAACAGTTCTTCTGACTTAGACTCACAAGTAGCTGGGACTACAGGTGTGCACCACCATGCCTGGCTAATTTTTGTATTTTTAGTAGAGATGAGGTTTCACCATGTTGGCCAGGCTGGTCTCAAACTCCTGACCTCAGGTGATCCACCTGCCTCGGCCTCCCAGAGTGCTGGGATTACAGGTGCGAGCCACTTTGCCCAGCTGTTAATTTGCATTTTCTTGATGACTAATGCTATTTAGCATCTTTTCCTGTTCTTATTGACTATTTTCATACCTTCTTTGGAGAAATATCTGTTAAAGTCTTTGCTCATTAAAAAATTGGATTATTTTTAAAATTAGTGAGTTGTAAGAAATATTATATATCATGTATATACAAGTCCCTTATTAGGTATCAGATTTATAAAATATTTCTCTTGTGGGTTGTCTTTTTACTTTCTTGGTTATATCCTTTATAGCAAATCAGTTTTAGATTTTGATGAAGTCTAGTTTATCTATTTTTTCTTTTGTTGCTTGTGCTGTTGGCATCATACATAAGAAAGCATTGTCTAACCTAAGGTCACAAGACTTGCTCCTGTGTTTTCTATAAGTTTTATACATTATTTATGTATTTTTTTGAGATGGAGTCTTGCTCTGTTACCCAGTCTAGAGTGCAGTGGCGTGATCTCCACTCTCTGCAACCTCCGCCTCCTGGGCTTAATCCATCCTCTCACGTCAGCCTCCTGAGTAGTTGGGACTATAAGTGTGTGCTCCCGTGTCTGGCTAATTTTTGTATTTTTTGTAGAGATGGGGTTTCGCCACGTTCCCCAGGCTGTTGTCAAACTCCTGGGCTCATGCAGTCCACTTGCCTTTGCCTCCCAAGGTGCTGGGACTAGAGCACCCAGCTGCATTTAGCTCTTACATTTAAGTTTTGATCCATCTTAAGTTAATTTTTATATATGGTGTGATGTGGGGTCCAGTTTCATTTTTTTATATGTCCAGTTGTCTCAGCACCATTTGTAGAGAATACTATTTTCCCTCTATTGAATTGTCTTGGCACCATTGTTAAAACCAATTGATATATATGTAAAGGTTTGTCTGGGCTCCTAATTCTATTCCATTGGTCTCTAGATCTATCTTATGCCAGTACCACATTTGTTGGATTACTGTTGCTTTGTAGTAAATTTTAAAATTAGGAAGTAGGAGTCCTCCAACCATGCTCTTCCTTTGTAATGTTGTTTTGGCTATTCTTGGTTCCTGGCATTTCCATATGAATTTTAGGATCAACTTACCAATTTCTGCCAAACAAGACAACTATAATTTTGATAGAGAATGCTTTGAATCTATAGATCGATTTTGAGTGTGTTGCCATCTTAACAGTGTTTAATCTTCTGATGTATGAATGTGGGAAGTTTTTTCATTTATGTAGACGCTCTTTAATTTTTTTTTTTTTTTTTTTTTTTTTTGAGATGGAGTCTCACTTTGTCACCCAGGCTGGAGTGCAGTGGTGCGATCTCGGCTCATTGCAAGCTCCACCTCTTGGGTTCACGCCATTCTCCTGCTGCAGCCTCCCCAGTAGCTGGGACTACAGGCGCCCGCCACCATGCCCAGCTAATTTTTTTTATTTTTAGTAGAGACAGGGTTTCACCGTGTTAGCCAGGATGGTCTCGATCTCCTGACCTCGTGATCCGCCCACCTCGGCCTCCCAAAGTGCTGGGATTACAGGCATGAGCCACCGTGCCTGGCCTAATTTTTTTTTATTTTTTGCTACTTTTATTCCTAAATATGCCATTTGTTTTAATGCTATTATAAATGAAATTATTTTCTTAATTTCAACTTCAGATTGTTCATTGTTAGTGTATAGAAATACAATTGATTTTTGTATATCGATCTCATACCCTGCAACCTTGATGAACTTGTTTATTTGTACTAAAAGTTCTTTAAAGGGTTCCTTAGGATTTTCTGTGTATAAGATTATATCTTCTGCAAATAGAGTTTTACTTCTTTTTCAGTGCTTTTTATTTTTCTTATTTATTTTTCTAGCTAGAACCTCCATTATAATGATGAATATGGGAAGAGTGGACATCTTTCTTTGTTCATGATCTTAGGGGAAGGGAGTTCACTCTTTTGCCAGTGAGTGTTAGCAATAGGTTTTTCATAGATGTCCTTTATCAGTTGAGAAAGTTCCCTTCTGTTCCTAATTTGTTGAATGTTTTTAATAGTTAGTTTTGTGAAATGCTGCTTTTGTGACTATTGAGAGGATCATGTAGTTTTTGTTCTTTATTCTATTGCTATTGCATAGAACATTGATTGATTTTCACATGTGAAACTAATTTTGAATTCCTAGGCTAAATCCCACTTGGTAATGGTCTATAATACTTTTCATATATTGCTGATTTGGTTTGCTACTATTTTGTTGAGGGTTTTGGCATGTATATTCTTAAGGGCTATTGGCCTATAGTGGGTTTTTGTTGTTATTGTTGTTGTTTTTTGTACTATCTTTGTCTGGTTGGGGTATCAGGGTAGTACTGACCTCAGAGAATGAGTTCAGAAGTGTTCCCTTTTTCTTAGTTTTGTGGAAGACAGTGTAGAATTGGTATTACTTCTTCCTTAAATGTTTGGTAGAATTCACCAGTAAAGTCATCTGGCTCTGGAGTATGTTTGTTGTTGTTGTTGTTGTTCTTTTGTAGGATGGTTTTTAGCCATAAATTTATTTTCTTTAATTGATAATGTGCTACCCAGGTTATCTGTTTCTTCCTGATTGAGCCTCGGCCTGCTTTCTTCTCTCTGTTACTTTGTCTTATCAACTCTAGCTGCCTTGTCCTATAAACTTGTCCTATCAACTCTAGCTGTCTTTCAGGACTTTTTGCTCTGTCTCCTCAACTTAAGGAATCCACTGGGATCCCCCTCTGTTGTCCTCCCTGCACATAGGCCTGGAAACTCGCTCAAGTCTCTAATCTGGGAAAATAGGAGACCTCTCACCCTATTTGTGTCCCATCTCTTAGGGACAACCGTTCTTCATTATCTTATGTCTAGTGTCTTAAGAACCATTGCTTCATGCATTTGTATGCTAGTTTGTTGTTTCAGGCAGTTGGGTGTACCCTTCCCTGTTATGCCAGGGAAACTATTAATAAATCAGGGAGTAAAATAAATTTAATGGTCATCACTGGAAAAATAGAATGTTCAAGTAACCCACAGGAAAGTAGAAAAAAGAGAATGAGCAGAATGAGAAACAGGAAACAGAAGACATAATAAAATTGCACATTAGACTTAAGCCCTAGTCCCCCAATATTTACCTTAAATGTAAATGGTCTAAATGCACCAATTATAGGACAGAGATAACTGCCCAATTTACAGATTCAACGCTATTCCTATCAAGCTACCGACATTTTTCACAGAACTACAAAAAGCCATTCTAAAATTCGTATGGAACCAAAAAGAGCTCAAATAGCTAAAGCAATTCTAAGCAAAATGAACAAAGCTGGAAGTATCATATTAACCAACTTCAAACTATACTATAACATTACAGTAACCAAAACAGCATGGTACTGTTAGAGAAACAGACACATAGACCAATGAAACAGAATAGAGAACCCAGAAATAAAGCTGCACACCTACAGCCACCTGATCTTTGACAAAGTCAACAAAAGTAAGCAACAGGGAAAGGACTGCCTATTTAGTAAATGGTGCTGGAATAGCTGGCTAGCCATATGCAAAAGAATGAAACTTGACCACTATCTTTTGCCATATACAAAAATTAGCTGAAAATGGATTAAAGATTTAAATGTAGGACCTCAAACTGTAAGAATCCTAGAAGAAAACCTAGGAAACACCCCTCTGGACATAGGTCTTGGAAAATAATTTAGGACTAAATCCTCAAAAGCAATTGCAACACAAACAAAAATTGATGGACAGGACCTGATTAAACTAAAGAGCTTCAGTACAGCAAAAGAAACGGACAACCTAGAGAATGGGAGAAAATATTTGCATGCTTTGTATCTGATGAAGGTCTAATATCCAGAATCTGTAAAGAACTTAAACAATTGAAAAAGCAAAACAAAAAACAAACAAAAAAAAAACTCATTAAAAAATGGGCAGAAGACTTGAACAGACATTTCTTAAAAGAAGACATACAAGCGGCCAAGAAGCATATGAAAAAGTGCTCCACATAATTAGTCATCAGAGAAATGGAAATCAAAACCACAATGAGATACCATCTCACACCATTCAGAGTAGCTGTTATTAAAATGTCAAAAAACAGACGCTGGTGAGACTGTGGAGAAAAGAGGATGCTTATACACTGTTGGTGGTAAAGTAAATTAGTTCAGCCATTGTGGAAAGCCATTTGGAGAATTCTCAACTTAAAGCAGAATTACTGTTTGACTCAGCAGTCTCATTAGTGGATATATATCCAAGAGAAAACAAATTGTTCTTCCAAAAAGACACATGCACTTGTATGTTCACTGCAGCACTATTCACAATAGCAGAGACATGGAGTCAACCTAGGTGCCCATCAACAGTGGATTGGATAAAGAAAATATGATACATATACAGCGTAAAATAATACACATCCATAAAAAAGAATGAAATTATGTCCTTTGCAGCAACATGGATGGAGTTGGAGGCCATTATCCTAAGTGAATTAACACAGGGTCAAAACCAAATGCCTCAGGCTCTCACTTATAAATGGGAGCTAAACACTGGGTATTCGTGGACATAAAGATGGCAAAAATAGACACTGGGGACTACTAGATTGGAAAGAAAGAGAGGGTGGCAAGAGTTGGAAAACTAACTATTGAGTGCTATATTCAGTACCTGGGTGACGGGAGCAATGATACCCCAAACCTTGGCGTCATGCAATATACCCAGGTAACAAACCTGCAAATATAACCCCTGAATCTAAAATAAAAGTTGAAATCATTTTTTAAAAATATAGATGATTAGAGTTCTTAGTCCATTTTGTGCTGCTATAACATAATACCAGAGGCTAAGCAATTTATAATGAACAGAAATGTATTGACTCACAGTTCTGCAGGTTTGGAAGTCTGAATCAGGTAGCTGGCATCTGTCAAGGGCCTTCTTGCTGTGTCATAATATGCCAGAAGGCATCACATGAAGGAAGTGCAAGAGGGCGAGAGAGAGAGCCTGAGCACATGCACATATGCAGCAGGGAGCCCAAACTTGTCCTTTTATAAGGAATCTAATCCTGTGATAATGACTCTACTCCCTCTGTGGCAGAATTAATCCATTTATGAGGGTAGAACCATCATGGCTTACTCACCTCTTAAAGGTTCCACCTCCCAACACTGTTGAACTCGGGGGTTAATTTTCCAACATATGCTTTTTGGGGAACACATTCAAACCATAGCAGAGTAACAAAACATGATCCAACAGCATGCTATCTACAAGAAACCTCAAATATAATGATATAGGCAGGTGAAAGTAAAAGGAAGAAAAATGTATATCATGAAAATATTTTTAAAAGCAGGAGTGGTTATATTAATATCAGATAAAGTACACTTCAGAGCAGGGAAAATTACCAGAGGCAGAGAGGGACATTACCTAATGATTAAAAGATCTATCCACTGAAATGACATAACTATTTTAAATGTATGCATTCTAAACAACACGACCTCAAAATACATGAAGCAAAAAAAAAAAAAAAAATGATAGAGCTAAAAAGATAAATAGACAAATCAACAATGATAGTTGGGGCTTTCCCACTTAGGAATTAATAGAACAACTAGACGAAAAAATCAAGAATATAGAAAAATTGAACAATACACTCAACCAACAGAATATAATTGATAGAGAGCACTTCACACAACAACAGAATACGCATTTTTTTTTCCAGTGCCCATGGAACACTCACCACTAATAGACTGACTCCTAGGCCACCAAAGCAACTTCAAGAAATATTAAAAGAATTGAAATAGTATAGAACATTGTTCTCTAATAACAATAGAATCAAACTAGAAATCAATAAGAGAACGACAATAGGAAAATTTCCAACATTTAAAAAGTAAACACACTGATAACTCATGGGTCCAAGAGGAAGTCACACAGGAAGCTTTTTAAATGCATAGAACTGAATGAAAATGAAAACATATCAAAATACGTAGGCTACAGCTAAAAGCTGTCCTGAGAGAAAAATTTGCAACACCAAAAGCTTATAGACAAAAGGTGTAAAAGGGAAAGATTTTAAATCAATAATCTAAGTTCTCACCTCCATAAACTAGAAAAATTGCAAAGCTAATCCAAAACAAGCAAAAGGGAAGGAATTATAAAGATCAAACCAGAAATCAATGAATTTGAAAACAGGAAAACAATACAGAGAAATCAATGAAACAAAAAGCTGACTCTGAAAAAAAATCAGTACAATTGAAAAACCTCTATCCAACTGACAAAGAAGAGAGAAGACAGAAATTATCAATATAAGGGATGAAACAAGAGATGTCAGTGTATATCTGCAACCATTTAAAGAATAATAAGGGAATGCTGTGAACAATTTTATGTTCATAAATTCTGTAACTTGGAAGAAATGAGCCAATTCTTCCAAAACTACCAGAACTCAACCAACATGAACACTTGAATAGTCCTATAATCATTAAAGAAATTGAATTTATAATTTAATACTCCTAAAAAGCAAACTCTGGGCCCAGATAATTTCACTGGAAAATTTTACCAAACAATTACAGAAGAATTAAGTATCAATTTTATATAATTACTTTTTTTTTTTTTTGAGACGGAGTTTTCACTCTTGTTGCCCAGGCTGGAGTGCAATGGCATGATATTGGCTCACCACAACCTCTGCCTCCCAGGTTCAAGAAATTCTCCTGCCTCAGCCTCCCAAGTAGCTGGGATTACAGGCATGTGCCACCACGCCCGGCTAATTTTGTATTTTCAGTAGAGACGGGGTTTCTCCATGTTAGTCAGGCTGCTCTTGAACTCCCAACCTCAGATGATCCGCCTGCCTTGGCCCCTCAAAGTGCTGGGATTACAGACATGAATAGAAGAGGGGACATTTCCCAACTCATTTTATGAGGGTGATATTACCCTGATACTAAACTAAGACAAAGTCCTCTCCAAAAAAGACTACAATCAGTATCTCTTGTAAACACAAAACTCCTCAGCAAAATATTAGCAAATTGAATACATCAATGTATAAAGAGAATGAGCAGAGCAGAATTTATCCCAGATGTGCAAGGCTTGTTTAACATTGAAACATAAATTAATGTATTTTACCATATAAACAGGTTAAATATTAAATATTACACGATCATATGGATTGACACAGAAAAAGTAATTGACAGAACCACCAGCACTTATTCATGGTAAAAAGTTATCAAACTAGGATTAGAGGGGGAATCTTCCCAACCTGATAAAGGGCATCTATGAAAAATTTACAGCTAGCACCATACTTAATAGTGAATTACTAAATCCTTTCTCCCTAAGATTGGGTACAAGGCAAGAGTGTCTACTCACACTAATCTCATTTAACATCTTAGTGGAGGTTCTAACTAGTGTAGTGTAGGGTATGGAAAGAAATAAAAGGAATACCCGTTGGAAAAGAAGAAATAAACCTATCTGTATTTACAGGTGACACAATTATCTATGTAGAAAATGCCGAAGAATCTTGAAAAAGACTCCTAGAATTAATAAGTGAGTTCAACAAGTTTTCAGGGTACAAGATCAATAAACAAAATTCATCAAAATGTATACATTAAATATGTGCAAGTTTTTGTATATCAGTTATACCTCAGTAAAAAATCAATTTTATTTCTGTATACTAACAATTAATAGATTCCAGAAGAAACAAGAGTATGACGTGACCATGGGGAAGCAAAAGAAAACAAGGAAGTTTGCAACCATGAAGTGAATGCTTAGTCTCAGATCAAAGGCTTAAAGAAAAGGGTAGATTAAAACCTAAAAAGAAAGAAAAAGATCCTAGTGTGCTAAAGGAGAAGTTCCTCAACAGCATCCCTGTTTATTTTTCCAGTATATCACACAACTGGGCCCACCTTACTACATCCTTGTCGATAGCAACTTCATCAACTTTTCCATTAAAGCCAAACTGGACTTAGTGCAGTCAATGATGGACAGTCTGTATGCCAAATGTATCCCTTGTATAACTGATTGTATAATGGCTGAAATTGAGAAATTGGGGTGGAAGTATTGAGTGGCTCCAAGGATCATCAAGGGTCCAAGATTTGAACAGTTACCATGCACACACAGAGGAACCTACGCAGAAGACTGCCTAAAACAGAGAATAATTCAGCATTGTCACATTGTTGCCATGGTTGACCAGAGACCCTAAAAGAGGAATCCATAAGATTCCTAGAGTTCCTATCATGTACATTTCTAACCACCATAGATACAACACGGAACTGATGTCAGATGATTATGGAGCCCCTTGGTTCTAATTCTTACAAGACAAAGTTCCTCTGCCTTTCTCTTGTTACCAGTTCATTAAACATGCAGTACCATAGGACAACAATAGCCTTTCCAAGAATGGTGCTGGAGCAATTGGATACACAGTGGCAAAACAAAACAACAATAAAATCCTTTACCTAAATCTCATATTTTATATAAAAACCCAAAATTAAGTGGATTAAAGATGTAAAATATAAAACTATAAAACCTTTAGAAAAAAATATAGGAGAAAGTCTTCAGGACACGTGTTTCAGCAAAGAGTTTTTTGTTCTTGCCACCACAGCACGATTGCTAAGAGCTAAAACCAGTAATTGGACTTCATCAAAATTAACTTTTTTTTCTCTTCAAAAGACTCAGTAAAATGGATGAAAAGGCAAGCTACAGACTGGGAGAAAATATTTGCAAAACTATATATCTAAGGCGTATCTAGACTATTTAAAGAACTTTCAAATATCAAGAATAAAGAATCAAACACCCAATTAACAAAGGGCAAAAGTCATGAATAGGTGATAAGATGTTCACTATCAGTTGCCATTAGGGAAATGTGAATTTAAACTACAATGAGATACCACCATCTATCTAGCAGAGTGGCTAAAATAAAAAAATAGTGATAACACTAAGTGCTAGGGGAGATGCTGAGAAATTGGATCTTTTGTACATTGATGCTAGGAATGTAAAAAGGTAAAACGCTACAGCTGCCTTAGAAAACAGTTTGACAGTTTCTTAAAAAACTAAATATGAGTCTCCCATACAACCCAGCCATTGTACTCTTGGGCATTTATCCCAGAGGAATGAAAGCTAATGTTCACACAAAAACTTGTGTAAATGTTCACAGTAGTTTTATTTGGAATAGCTCCAAATTGGGAACAACTCACATTTTCTTTATGGATGAGTTAAACTATGGTACATCTATGTCATGGAATAGTACTCAGTAATAAAAAGAAATGAACTATTGATACACAAAAATTTGGATGGATTTTAAAGAAATTATGCTGAGTGAAGAAAACCATATATACAGTGTGATTCCATGTATGTAACATACTTGAAATGACAAAATGGCAAACCGGTGTGTGGTCACCAGGGGTTAGGGATGGAGGAGAGTGGGTGTTGGCTCTTACTATAATGGGATCCTTGTGATGGAACTCTTCTTTTTCTTGGTGGTGGTGGTTGTCACCAAATCTACACATGTGATTAAGTTACACAGAGCTAAATACAATATGTACAAACACACATACACAAAAAGATATAAAATTAGTAAAATCAGAATAAGGTTGATGGCTAAGGTTCTAGCTGTGATATTGTACCATAGTTATTATACAAGATGCTTCCATTGGGGAAACTGGGTGAAGTATATATGGAATCTCTCTGAATTGGTTCTTACAACTGCATGTGAACCTACAAACCTACAAATATCTCAAAATAAAAGTTTAATTCACATGCAAAAGAATAAAATTGGATCTCTACTTACACCATATATAAAAATTAACTCAAAATGCATCGAAGACCTCAAAGTAAAAAGCTAAAGCTATAAAGCTCTTAGAAGAAAACATGGGCGTGATTGGGTATGGTGGCTCTTGCCTGTACTCTCAGCACTTTGGAGGAAGACAAGGCAGGAGGATTGCTTGAGCCCAGGAGTTCAAGACTAGCTGTGGCAGCATGGTGAGACCCGTCTACACAAAATTTAAAAATTAGCAAGGTGTGACAGTGCACCCCCGTGGTCCCAGCTATTCAGGAGGCTGAGGTGGGAGGATTGCTTGAAGCCAGGAGGCTGAGGTGGGAGAATTGCTTGAAGCCAGAAGGTTGAGGCTGCAGTAAGCTATGTTTATACCACTGCACTCCAGCCTGGGTGACAGAGAGAGATGCTGTCTCCCAAAAAACAAAAACAAAAATAAAACATTCTTAGATATCTGTCACTGAAATCATACATATACCCAAGTATAAAAAAAAAGTTAGAGTTTTCAAAATTAAAAATATTTTTTACTTCAAAGGACAGTATCAAGAAAGTCAAAAGACAACTTGCAGAAAGGAAAAACCTTTTAAATTATGTATTTGTTAAGGGACTTGTATTTAAAATATATAAAGAACTCTTAGAACTCAACTATATAAAGACAAATGACCTATTTTTAAAATGGACAAAGGGTCTGCACAGACATTTTTCCAAAGATACGCAAATGGCCAATCAGCACATGAAAAGGTACTCCACATCATTAGCCATCAGGGAAGTACGTCTGAAAACCACAATGAGTTACCCCTCTAGACCTACTAAGATAACTGTAACTAAAAAGACAGATAATAACAAGTGTTAGTGAAAATGGAAATTTCATGCATTGCTGGTACAAGTGGCAGCTTTGGAAAACAGTCTGGCAGTTCTTCAAAAGGTTAAATATAGAGTTACTATGAAGCGGGTCAGTAGGTAAAGTTACAATTAAATAGGAGGAATATGGGTATGTCCTTTCACTGCACTATAGTTAATAATAATATATATTTCAAAATAGCTAGAAGAGAGGATTTGGAATGTTCTCACCACAAAGGATATATGTATGAGGTAAAGTATATGTTAATTACCCTAATTTGATTATTACACATTGTATATGTGTATTGAAACCTCACACTGTACTCCATAAAAATGTATAATTATGTGGCAATAAAAATAAAATAATAAAAAAAACTTTTTAAAAAGAAGAATATAGGACCTTCTGATTTTGTGCTGTTAGCTTTGTTTGAGCAACTACATACACTTTGAAAAAGATGCATTTAAAAAAGTATTTAGGCCAGGCGCAGTGGCTCATGCCTGTAATCCCAGCACTTTGGGAGGCTGAGGAAGGAGGATTCCTTGAACCCAGGAGTTCAAAACTAGCCTGGGCAACATAGGGGGACCACGTCTCTACCAAAAAAAAAAAAAAAAAATTAGCTGGGCATGATGATGGTGTGTGTCTTTATTCCCAGCTACTCAGGAGGCTGAGGCAGGAGGATCACTTGAGCCCAGGAGGTTGAGGCTGCAGTGAGTTGTGATCATACCACTGCACTCCAGCCTGGGCAACAGAGTGGGACCCTGTCTCAAAAAAAAAAAAAGTAAAAAAGTATTCAGCAGACTACTCAGGCTGACACCCCCATCAAGCCAAATTTTACTGTGTTTTTTTTGAGTACTAATACCGTCTTCAAGGAAATTTAAATAGTCTTATTTGTTAATTTTCAGCTTCCTAATGAAGATCCTGAGATTTTTGATGTTTCATCCAAGTGCCTGTCTATACTGGTTCAGCTGTATGGAGGGGAAAACCCGGACAGCCTCTCTCCTGAAAATGTGGAAATTTTTGCTCATTTACTGACATCCAAGGAGGACCCAAAGGAGCAGAAGCTTCTGTTAAGGATTCTCAGAAGAATGGTGAGTTCACACAGAAACCGGGGACACTGTGGGTGGCTTTGCTGGCAGCGACATGGACAGTGAGTAGCCATTTCTTGGACCTAATTTCAAATTTACAGAGAATTTGCAAGAGTTGTCAAGAACTCCCAGTCACCTTTCTCCTTAATCACCTGTTGTTGACATTTGTCATATACTGTTTATCTGCATATATACATACTTTTTTCTGAACCATTTGGGAGTAAGTTAGAGACATTGTGCCTCACACTCCTTAACATCTAAGTTTGTATTTCCTAAAATAAAATTGATATTCTGTTACTTAAGTAATCAAAATCAGGAAGTTTAACACTGATAAAATTCCTTTACCAGTCTTCTGTCCATATTCTAGTTGGGTCAGCTGTCCCAGTAACTTTCATAGCCTTTTTTCTGGTGTAGGATACAGTCTAGGATTATGTATTTTGGTAGACATGTGTCTTTAATCTGGAATAGTCTTTCAGTCTTTGTCTTTCATGATATTTTTGAAGATTATAGGCCAGGTATTTTGTAGCATCTCCCTGAGTTTGGGTCTGTTTGATGTTTCTTCACGATTAGGTTTGTTAGTACTCTAGAAGTAAATTGGTCCTTCTCAATCCATCATATCCAGAGGCTTTTGGTGGCTGTTTGCCCCTCACTGGTGGTATTAATTTTGATCACTTGGTTTAATCAATGTGTAGTTAGTTATTATTATTTTGTAGTAGTTGCAAAATGGAAATTTTCTCATCCCCAACATTTATAACTCCCAGCATTCCACTGTAAGGAAAAACTTTCCCTTCTGCTTCACTTATTTTATTTAAAAATGCATATATAGCTGACGTCTATTTGAAAGTGCTTTTGAAAACCTATTCTCTTTCTACAGTAAATCTTTCCCTGCTGATTTTGAAGGCCACTATTTACAGTAGCTAGTGTTGAAGTTAATAAAGGATGGGGGTTCTGTTCACCTATCATCTTCTGGTTTGTCAGTCTGTGTTCACTTCTAGATCCTAATACCTTGAGGTATCCTTTGGCAGGTGGAGGCTGTGGATGTTCCAGAGATGTACTCAAAATGACTTGCACCAATTTGATAGGTAGACAGTTGCAGCGAGTGACCCAGCTGAACCTGTATGACAGGTGATGGGTGACAGAACTAGAAGGGAGATAAACAGATTGACTCCTTCACTGCCATATTGTGCTTTTGTATGGGTGTGACTCCCCCCCAACCCCAAAACAAGACTTACTAATCTCAGCAGAGTCACTACCTGAATTGCAGGATTATGATGGTCTAGTTCAGTTCCCCAAGTGTGGGATGAATACTTCTGAGGACAGTAGGTCTTGGAGATGGTACATCAGCCTAGCACTAGATGATGTGGAATCACGTAGTGAGGCAGTTATTTCATTTCCATTTTCTTTTGGACTTTCTGGTTATTCAAGGCAAAAGCCTCAGTTGTTGTGTCTTTAACACCCCTCTAATCCTTCAGAATTTCCCTTTTTAACAGAGCAGGCCTCTCAAGCTCTCATCTTTTACAGTGGAGATGTTTCTTTAAAAAATTACTTTATGTAAAGAAAAAGGTGAGTCAATCTGAAGACAAGTACTAGAGACTATAATAATACAAGTGATCTGTAGATATGGCAAAACTGTGAATATGGTAGAGAATGTCAGAAGCTTGGAAAATATTGGTCTGATATCTGATATGGTTAAATTTTGTAGGGATCTACAGTCTCTTTGAAACTCAGGATCAGATTTTTTTTTTGAAACTTAGAAATTTCAGATCTTTTTGGCATGGTACTTATACCGTATATTATATGATGCCCATAGGAGACACTCAGGCAATGACATCATAAGCACAGTAATATTTCTGTGGCAAAATGTATGAATATTTACACCAGGCAGGGGTAAATAAAGACCAAACATGGGCTCCTGTGAGTTCAGGATTTTGCTACCGTATGTGTTTTTGAACAAAACTTACGAAAAAAAGTTTGGATTTTCAGAGCTTTCTAGATTTTAGAATTGCAGATATTATGGAAATAAGTTATGTTATTTACTAAAACACTGATCAAATTAATCATACAGATTAATTAATAAGACCCCAACTTGGTCAAAATCAACAGATTCTACCATCTTTTAGTTTGCTTTACTATTTAAAATGGCTTCTTTATAATATCTGACCTGCCTTATAGGGCCGGGTAGATTTTGTTTGTGGAAGAAAAGTTGAATCCAAGTGATTTTTACCTTTGTATGCAAAAACAGAAGTTGATGCTGGTGCTGCTCATCTATTTTCTTTTTATTGTGGTAAAATGTATATAGCATAAAATTTATCACTAGAATTATTTTCAAGTATATGGTTCAGTGGCATTAAGCATATTCACATTGTTGTGCAACCATCACTATTATCCATCTCCACAACTTTTTCATCTTCCCAAACTGAAACTCTGTGCCTATTAAACAATAACTTCCCACTCCTCCTTCTCCCAGTGCCTGATAACCACCATTCGACTTTCTGTTTCTATGAATTTGACTACTCTAGGTACCTCGTACGAGTGGAATTATACAATATTTGTCCTTTTATGTCTGGCTTGTTTCACTTGGTATGTGGCTTCAAGGTTAATTCATGATGTAGCACGTGCTAGAATTTCCTCCGTTTTTAGGGCTAATAATCCATTGTGTGTGTATACCACATTTTAAAAATGTGTTATCCATTGATGGACATTTGTGTTGTTCCACCTTTTCTGTCCCATTTATTGATTTTTTAAAACTTATCTCTGTTATTATTAGGATTGGCTCATGAAGTTTTCAGTGAGTTACAATCCACGGCTGCCCCAGATTTGGCTAATGGGAATGGCTTTTGGATGTCTGCTATGTCATTTGACATTCTCCATCTTTTTTTTTTTTTTTTTTGGAGTGCTTTCAATCATAATGTGATATTCCAGGCTCATGTTGTATTACTGCTGCAGCCTTGGAATCAGGCATTTCTCCAAGAAACTGTGGAGCCTTTCTGTGTGGTGATTAGGAAGTAAGATGCAAAAATGTTCTGCATTGGGATCACAACAACTGTTTGCTTAGCAACAATAACAGAAATAGCCTGGACAGTCCCAAGAGTTAAAATATACTGTTTTCTACCCTCTTCTGGAGGGTACCTGTGAAGGTCACTCTAACTCTTTGATGTCTCTTCTTTAGTTGTTCAAGAATGCCCATAATGTTTACAGGCCTGCCATCTGTGATAAATGCCTCAAAATCTTCCGAAAGCTTTCTAGTTTACCCTGGGTCAGTCAGTGTTGGGCCAAGTCATATAAAACATACAATCAGAGATTCTAGGGGCCCCAGTCAACTCAGTTGTGGTCTTGAACTTGCCCATCCTGAAGCTCAGTTCTAATTAAATGGAATACAGATGGCCTCCAATTTGCCAGGGTTCAAATTCGGATTTCTCAACTTTGCACTGGTGCAAAACTGATGCTCATTTAGCAGAAAGTATATTTCAAGTACCCATACGACCATTCTATTTTTCACTTCCAATATGATCTTCAATAAATTACGTGAGATATTAAATATTACAAAGTAGGCTTTGTATTAGATGATTTTGCTCAATTGTAGGCTAATGTAAGTGTTCTGAGCACATTTAAGGTATGCTGGGCCATGATGTTTGGCAGGTTAGGTGTACTAAATGCATTTTCGACTTACATTATGATGGGTTTATTGGGAAGTAACCCCATCTGTACTGAGGTTAGTACACTTGGAGAGAAATAGCAGCAGGTTACCCAAAGAGGAGTGTGATACTACCTGTCTCATGCTTCTGGACTGATTTAGTCCGTCTTCCTCTTTGTCCTTCTGCTGTCTGTTTTTAATTCTCTGGCAGCCATTGTTTTGTAATTGTTGGCCTACTTTCTGTTCTTATCTTTACATTACCCTTGTTCCTGGGTAGTA
Organism: Homo sapiens; assembly: GCF_000001405.40. Taxonomy (NCBI): domain Eukaryota; kingdom Metazoa; phylum Chordata; class Mammalia; order Primates; family Hominidae; genus Homo; species Homo sapiens. The sequence goes on along the minus strand of NC_000003.12, from coordinate 41,394,168 downwards.
ATGTGGTCGGTCTTGTTATTTGTTGTTATCTTCAGAATGTGATGGTGTCTGACGTGTAAAAGTTGTTCATCAGTTGTTGGTTACTACTTGTGGTAGTCTCTGTGTTAGAATTTTTGGTACATTAAGCTCCTTTAATCTTGACAACATCCCTGGAGATCAGCTCCAGTGATTGTTCCCAGATTATTACCATTTTATAGGTTATAAACTAAGGCTCAAGGAGCTTAAATAATGTTCCCAAGACCACCAACTAGGAAATGGTAGAGCTGGTATCAAGCCCAGGTTGGATTGCTCCAGCCCATCCTCCTTCGAAGTAGCTGGCTCCAGGCTGCTGCTTTGCCAAGGACTGATCTGAGTTCTGCAGGCATTTGTCAGGCAGAATTGGACTGAACTTTGATCCAGACAGGACCTGAGAGATTCATTCTTTTATTCATAGAAAAACAAGTAATAGAGTTATGACTATGTGCAAAGCACTGCACCAGGGATAATGAAACAGTAAGACATGATCTTGCTGCTCCCTGCCCTCAGGGATCTCTAGCCAGAGAGACATGGAAGCAACCAGCTTCATTACAAAGCAAAATCCAATCAGTGCTATGGTGGAGAAGCCAAGAAAGTTCCGACGGAACAGTCATTTTGGGGAGGAAGTTGGCAAGACATGATGTTTAAAGTGAGTATGGAAGAATGTGTTGGTATTCTACACACTGAGCAGGAAGAAGCACATCCTGAGCAAAGACCCAGAAATCCATGGAGCCAGATTGGGAAGACATAAGACATGGGCCAGGAAAAGCCAGAGCTTTACTAAACATGAGCTTTAGGAGCATTTAGAGTTTAGACATTGTTGATGGAATTAAGGAATTCTGGTCTCTGAAACAAACGGCTGCTGGCAGCATCTTAATTGAATTAGTTTTCCTTACTGTGGAATGAAACTTTACCATAGTAGCTATCACAGAATAGGTATTTAGTATTTACTGAGCTGAATAAGGAATGTTCATAAAATACAGCGGTTTTGTTATTGGCAGTTCACTTGTGGTCTTCAGTCCATATTGGGAGCTCGTGTTAGTACTTTGCAGACACATATAGGTCAGACTGAGAAGGACCATAAAAGACATCTAGTTATCCCATAGTCTGAAGCTTCAGTCTTCTCCACACAGCCCTGCCAAGTTTCTGAAGACTGCATGAGATTGGATATGCATATGGATAGAGGACAGGAGCTTGAGTGATATAAGGAACACGAGCAGAAGTTTCCTGTGACTTTGGGGAGACCCAACTCTCAGGCTTGGCTCACTGGAGCAGAAGAATCAGATTCCATAGAGAAACAGAGGCAATCGAGATTTATTACCTGGTGCCAGTAATTGGATTAAGGAGGCCTGACAAATGCATTTTCTTGACCATAAGAAGTTAAGGAGGAAAAGACAAGCTCCCTGAGGACCTAATCAGAGGATATTCATTAAGTACACACTCCCACCAGGAGCACATCTAAAAAGAAGAGTATTCTAAGCTGGTGGGGTCATCTCTTTTAAAGCCCTGATGGGAAGAGTAGCCTCCTGTGCCCAAAGCTGAGCGAGCCTGGGTGGATTCAGAGAGGGCAAGCCCAAGATATGTTTGACCCCATAATTTACAGGTAATGAGCATGTCAGTGACTGGTAAACCATGGTTGTTAGAGAATCATCTTGGGGAATAATGTAGCAGATCCCTCCCTATGAATCACAGAAAGGGCCCTGGATTCTTGACATTTCTGTTTAAAGTCCCAATCTTGTGACAATTACTTTCTAAAACTACAGTTTTCACTAACAAAGAAATAGGATGTTTAATTTCTGTTAATGGAGATGGGATGTGTTTTGCCTCTAGGGTGCTCTTTCTTATTTAGTCTGTATTTAGAACATCCAGAGAATGTTGAAGAAACCTAACGATTTAATTATCTGCTGTAATTGAACAGGAAGTTGGGAGGTTTTATAATTATACTTCCTGCTTTAGCTTTAAAAATGTGATGGAAATCCTTCAAGTGTCTCCCAAGTTTACCTTTCCCTTAAACTGGATATCAATGGGAGTTTTCCCAGGGCAATGATTGTAGATTAGCTACTTGTCTTTTAATTAAAGCTAGCTTACTCCAACACTCAAAATATTGACTACACATGAACCACCACAGATTTGTTCTGTGCCTAAAATTGGCTTAAATATATGCTATCGACTACTCTCTGAAAGCAGAAAAATAGTCCATGGAAGGGTGACTATAATATGCTGATGTTACTAACTCCCTGTCACCTTCTCACCCGTCTACCTGGTGCAGCAGAGGTGGAAGGAATGTGATTTGCAATAACTCTCTGAAGATGAATAGCATTAAGGATATGTTACAAATATCTATTCCATGAAGAATCTTTACCCTGTGGTCTTCAGAAAGTCTTGCTGTGCTCACCATCATTTTCCTTCTGATTTCTCATATAGGTATCGGCCCTTCTCATTCCACATGAGAACAGACGTGTTCTGTTGCTGAAAATGAGTGTAATATAGCATTTCCTTATGTACAGAGTCATTAAAGAGACCAGATGAGGAAACCAGGAATTCTGCAGCCATTCTTTTAATATTTTAGTACCAGGTTGGGTTGTAGAACTTAGAATCAGAAGAGGCACTCTTTCTACTAGATAGAAAAGTAAAGAAATATTCCTTGAGGTATAATAAAAAGGTAAAATTATACCTCTCTCCCTCCTGTCTTATTTTTCTTGGGGTTAAGACCTTCCATTCTTGACTTGTATTCTTAAAGGAAAACAGAATGGGGATTGATGTAAAACCAGTAAAATTTCTAAGAGAAACACTGTGTACCCAAATGAGTTAAAAGTAAATTCAATCAATTTTATATGCAATCTGGTTTTTTAGAAGATTTCCTAAAACCATGAGAGGATGCTCTTAAGCGTTTCTGAAAGAGATCTTTTCTTGAATCCATACACACTCATTTGTAGTTCCACTGGATAAGCATTCTCTGCCACTGATTGCCATAGGGTTTGCAAGTTAATTTGGGAACTTTTTGAATGATTTTGTTGTATCTGTCCAACAAAGAAAAGAAACATGAATGGACCTGGACGATAAATATGTTAAATGAAATAAGCTAGGCACAGAAAGATAAACATTGCATGTTCTCACTCATATGTGGAAGCTAAAAAAAGTTGCTCTCATAGAAGTAAAAAGTAAAACAGAGAGTTCTAGAGGCTGTGAAGGGAAGGGAAGGGGGATGGGAGGAAGGATAGGGAGAGATTTGTTAAAAGATACAAAATGAACTCAGCTCTGCACCAAGCAGACCTAATAGACATCTACAGAGCTCTCCACCCCAAATCAACAGAATATACATTCTTCTCAGCACCACACCGCACCTATTCCAAAATAGACCACATAGTTGGAAGTAAAGCACTCCTCAGCAAATGTAAAAGAACAGAAATTATAACAAACTGTCTCTCAGACCACAGTGAAATCAAACTAGAACTCAAGATTAAGAAACTCACTCAAAACCGCTCAACTACATGGAAACTGAACAACCTGCTCCTGAATGACTACTGGGTACATAACAAAATGAAGGCAGAAATAAAGATGTTCTTTGAAACCAACGAGAACAAAGACACAACATACCAGAATCTCTGGGACACATTCAAAGCAGTGTGTAGAGGGAAATTTATAGCACTAAATGCCCGTAAGAGAAAGCAGGAAAGATCCAAAATTGACACCCTAACATCACAATTAAAAGAACTGGAAAAGCAAGAGCAAACACATTCGAAAGCTAGCAGAAGGCAAGAAATAACTAAGATCAGAGCAGAACTGAAGGAAATAGAGACACAAAAAACCCTTCAAAAAATCAATGAATCCAGGAGCTAGTTTTTGAAAAGATCAACAAAATTGACTGTTAGCAAGACTAATAAAGAAGAAAAGAGAGAAGAATCAAATAGACACAATAAAAAATGACAAAGGGGATATCACCACCAATCCCACAGAAATACAAACTACAATCAGAGAATACTATAAATACCTCTAAGCAAATAAACTAGAAAATCTAGAAGAAATGGATGAATTCCTCGACACATACACCTCCCAAGACTAAACCAGGAAGAAGTTGAATCTCTGAATAGACCAATAACAGGATCTGAAATTTAGGCAATAATTAATAGCTTACCAACCAAAAAGAGTTCAGGACCAGATGGATTCCCAGCCGAATTCTACCAGAGGTACAAGGAGGAGCTGGTACCATTCCTTCTGAAACTATTCCAATTAATAGAAAAGGAGGGAATCCTTCCTAACTCATTTTATGAGGCCAGCATCATCCTGATACCAAAGCCTGGCAGAGACACAACAAAAAAAGAGAATTTTAGACCAGTATCCCTGATGAACATCGATGCAAAAATCCTCAATAAAATACTGGCAAACCGAATCCAGCAGCACATCAAGAAGCTTATCCACCATGATCAAGTGGGCTTCATCCCTGAGATGCAAGGCTGGTTCAACATAGGCAAATCAATAAACATAATCCAGCATATAAACAGAACCAAAGACAAAAACCACATGATTATCTCAATAGATGCAGAAAAGGCCTTTGACAAAATTCAACAACCCTTCATGCTAATAACTCTCAGTAAATTAGGTATTGATGGGACATATGTCAAAATAATAAGAGCTATCTATGACAAACCCACAGCCAATATCATGCTGAATGGGCAAAAACTGGAAGCATTCCCTTTGAAAACTGGCACAAGACAGGAATGCCCTCTCTCACCACTCCTATTCAACATAGTGTTGGAAGTTCTGGCCAGGGTAATCAGGCAGGAGAAGGAAATAAAGGGCATTCAATTAGGAAAACAGGAAGTCAAATTGTCCCTGTTTCCAGATGACATGATTGTATATCTAGAAAACCTCATCGTCTCAGCCCAAAATCTCCTCAAGCTGATAGGCAACTTCAGCAAAGTGTCAGGATACAAAATCAATGTACAAAAATCACAAGCATTCTTATACACCAATAACAGACAGAGAGCCAAATCATGAGTGAACTCCCATTCACAATTGCTTCAAAGAGAATAAAATACCTAGGAATCCAGCCTACAAGGGATGTGAAGGACCTCTTCAAGGAGAACTACAAACCACTGCTCAATGGAATAAAAGAGGATACAAAGAAATGGAAGAACATTCCATGCTCATGGGTAGGAAGAATCAATATCGTGAAAATGGCCATAATACCCAAGGTAATTTACAGATTCAATGCCATCCCCATCAAGCTACCAATGACTTTCTTCACAGAATTGGAAAAAACTACTTTCAAGTTCATATGGAACCAAAAAAGAGCCTGTATAGCCAAGTCAATCCTAAGCCAAAAGAACAAAGCTGGAGGGATCATGCTACCTGACTTCAAACTATACTACAAGGCTACAGTAACCAAAACAGCATGGTACTGGTACCAAAACAGAGATATAGATCAATGGAACAGAACAGAGCCCTCAGAAATAATGCCGCATATCTACAACTATCTGATCTTTGACAAACCTGACAAAAACAAGAAATGGGGAAAGGATTCCCTATTTAACAAATGGTGCTGGGAAAACTGGCTAGCCATATGTAGAAAGCTGAAACTTGATCCCTTCCTTACACCTTAGACAAAAATTAATTCAAGATGGATTAAAGACTTACACGTTAGACCTAAAACCATAAAAACCCTAGATGAAAACCTAGGCAATACCATTCAGGACATAGGCATGGGCAAGGACTTCATGTCTAAAACACCAAAAGCAATGGCAACCAAAGCCAAAATTGACAAATGGGATCTAATTAAACTAAAGAGCTTCTGCACAGCAAAAGAAACTACCATCAGAGTGAACAGGCAACCTACAAAATGGGAGAAAATTTTCGCAACCTACTCATCTGACAAAGGGCTAATATCCAGAATCTACAATGAACTCAAACAAATTTACAAGAAAAAAGTGAACAACCCCATCAACAAGTGGGTGAAGGATATGAACAGACACTTCTCAAAAGAAGACATTTATGCAGCCAAAACACACATGAAAAAACGCTCATCATCACTGGCCATCAGAGAAATGCAAATCAAAACCACAATGAGATACCATCTCACACCAGTTAGAATGGCAATCATTACAAAGTCAGGAAACAACAGGTGCTGGAGAGGATGTGGAAAAATAAGAACACTTTTACACTGTTGGTGTGACTGTAAACTAGTTCAACCATTGTGGAAGTCAGTGTGGCGATTCCTCAGGGATCTAGAACTAGAAATACCATTTGACCCAGCCATCCCATTACTGGGTATATACTCAAAGGATTATAAATCATGCTGCTATGAAGACACATGCACACGTACGTTTACTGAGGCACTATTCACAATAGCAGAGACTTGGAACCAACCCAAATGTCCAACAATGATAGACTGGATTAAGAAAATGTGGCACATATACACCATGGAATACTATGCAGCCATAAAAAAGGATGAGTTCATGTTCTTTGTAGGGACATGGATGAAGCTGGAAACCATCATTCTCAGCAAACTATCACAAGGACAAAAAACCAAACACCGCGTATTCTCACTCATAGGTGTGAATTGAACAATGAGAGCACATGGACACAGGAAGGGGAACATCACACACCTGGGCCTGTTGTGGAGTTGGGGGAGTAGGGAGGGATAGCATTAGGAGATATACCTAATGTTAAAGGATGAGTTGATGGGTGCAGCACACCAACATGGCACATGTATACATATGTAACTATCCTGCACATTGTGCACATGTACCCTAAAACTTAAAGTATAATGATATAAAAAAGAAAAAAAAAGATACAAAATTACAGCTAAATAAGAGGAATAAGTCCTAGCATTCTATACCGTTGTAGGATGACTATAGTTAATAATAAAATAGTTTCAAAGAGTTGTAGGTAGCTAGAGCTAGAGAAAGATATTGAACATTTTCAACACAAAGAAATGATAAATGTTTTAAATGATAGATATCTTAATTACCCTGATCTGACCACTATACATTATATGTATCGAAACCTTACTGTGTACCCCATGAATTTATACAGTAGTTATTTGCCAATTTTTTTTAAAGTCTATCAAAAAAAGAAATATACTGCCTAAAATTTTTACATAATTCCCTGAAGAGATATTCCTGAGATATTGAGCAAGACGGATTCAGAAAGTGGCTAGTGGAACAGAGTCATTTATAGCCAGTCCTTCTCAGGACTCAGACCTCAGTATTAGTATTGATAAAATGATAGTCCACCTCAAGAGCCTTGAGGAAATATACAGATCTTTACCATAGGTATCGACAAGATCACATGTCACAGGATGTGACAGAGAAAGCTTTCTTAAGATCCATCTGAACATGTCTCATTTCCCCACACATCAGCTCTCTACTTTCATCCTTACTTGCGGTCTCCTCCTAGTATCTGCAGTTTGATTCCATATAAGGATGTATGATCCAGAACCATTGCAAGAGGCATTTAATAGGAAAAATCAACCAGGTCTGGTGACTAATTGAGTATAGGTCTCTGAGGCAGGGGAATGTGAACTAAGTTTGGCTCTAGATTTATGGACCACAAATGGAACGCAAAGGGTCAAAAAAGTTTTAGGTAGTTCTGGGTTCTCTGGTTTGGCTGTGGCTCCAATTCTCCCTCTGTTCTTATACTCAAGTGATTCAAACATTTCTTTCCTGCCTGACTTTTGAGAAAACTGGAGTTTGTGGACGCCACTTCATAAGAATTCCTAATCCTTATACCTGGGATATTATTAGTACCTTCAGTAGAAGTAGAGAAAAACCCATTTAATATGATAAGTTTAATTTTACACATGTTCAGTTAAAAATGACAAATAACACCTTGAAAAAGTGATCTGGTGTTTGAAAATTAGGGTGGGTGAATGTGAAAGCAGGCCACAAAATGAAATGCAAAATTAGACTCTAGTTGTAAAAAAAGGAATATGTATATATAAGAGTTATCAATATTGAGATAATAGCTAAATCCGCAAGAGTGGAGTCATTAATTTGTTCAGCAATAGTATATTGAGCATCTGTTTTGAGCCAAACGTGGAAGTGCTGAAGATATAATACATGAAGAACAAGACAGGCAAGCCCTCTGCTCTTATGAAGTTTATGATCTGAATGGCTGAATACAGTATATTTCTTCCCAGAAATGGTATAAAGGATAATAATAAGCATCCAGGCTTGCGATTTGGAAAATATTGTCAGTTAAGGAGGTTGAAAAGTTTCATGTGTGTTTTAAAGACAAAACAATGTGAAAGTCAGCTTAGTGGAATAGAAAGAATGTGGCCTAGGAGCCCAAAGCCCTGGGTTCCAGTCTCAGCTCTCCAGTCAACTACTTGTACTGCCATAGACAAGACACAACCTCTCTAAGTTTCACTGCTGACAAAGCAAGCAAGTTGATTGAGATTTGTGTTTTTCCAACTACACATCATGATCCACTGCAAGCAATTTAAAGTTTCACGGTGTAGCATTTGTTATTTAAATAAAAATGAAATAGAACAGAATAACAAATCTTAGTGTATTGTTCATAGGATATTGCTTTGTGAAACTTTTTTTCCCATTTTCTGCATCTGTTTGCACATGTGGCTGTGCATACCAAGTTGTGATATGATTTTTCTTTTTAATTTTAGAGACATAATTTCACTCTGTTGCCCAGGCTAGTTGCCTTCCCTTCCTATTTTTTTCTCCAATCTGTCATTTGTAGCCCCTGTGCAGCATAATTTTCCTTCTGTTTTGATTTCTTTTCTCAAGAGATTCAGCTCCCCTACTCCCTTCCTGTAATCCTAGCAGATAAAATTTGTTCCCTACTCTCTCTACAGCATCTTCTGCTCTTTCAAGTTTCTGTTGCCATTGATGATAGTTTTACTCTTCTTTTTATTAAAAAAAATCTCAAAATCCAAGAAAAGTTGAAAGAATCATAGGACGGGCACCTGTGTAATCAAGAATTATCGTTTTACCATATTTCTGTTGTATGTATGTGTTTTCTAAATCATGTGAAAGTGAAGACATCATGACACTTGATCTCTAACCATAATACCATTATCACAACTAAGAAAATTAACAATTTCATATCATTAATATCTACTTAATACTTTTTTTTTTATTTTTTGAGACAAGGTCTCTCTGTTGTTCAGGCAGGAATGCAGTGGTGCCCTCATGGGGACTGCAGCCTTGACCTCAGGGATTCAATTGATTATCTCACCTCAGCCTTCCGAGTAGCTGGGACTACAGGCATGCACCAGCATGCCCAGCTAATTTTCTTTTTAAAAAAATAAAAGCTGGGTGCAGTGGCTCACGCCTGTAATCCCAGTACTTTGGGAGGCCGAGGTGGGTGGATCACCTGAGGTCAGGGGTTCCAGACCAACCTGGCTAACATGGTGAAACTCCATCTCTACTGAAAATACAAAAATTAGCCAGGAGTGATGGCGGGTGCCTATACTCCCAGCTACTCAGGAGGCCGAGGCAGGAGAATCGCTTGTACCTGGGAGGCAGAGGTTGCAGTGAGCCGAGATCATGCCACTGCACTCCAGCCTGGGTGATAGAACGAGACTCTGTCTCGAAAAAAAATTTATATAGACAGACTCTACAAGCCATACCACCCTGAACGCACCCGATCTCATCTGATCTCAGAAAAATAGAAACAGGATTTCCCTATATTGCCCAGGCTGGTCTTGAACTGGGCTCAAGTGATCGCCTGCCTCAGCCTCCCAAAATGCTGGTATTATTAGTTGTCAAAAAATGACTATTATAGTCTTTTTTTGTTTAAGTCACATTCCAACCAAGGCTCGCATACTGAATTTATTATTTCCTTGTCTCTTTTAATCTAGAAGAATCTTTTTTTTTTCCATATGAAATTGACTTTTTGAAAAGCCTGAGTCACTTGTCTTATGGAATATCTCATACTCTGGAGTAGAATGATTGTTTCCTCGTGATATTTTGGGTCAGAATGTCCCATTGATAGTGGCCCCTTATACTATATCATATTAAGAAGCATGTGATGTCAGTCATCTCCATTTTTAGTGATGCTAAGTTTAATTGCTTGGTTAAGAGGGCATCTGACACATGTCTCCACTATGCAGGTGTGTGTTACCCTTGCAATCACTAAGGCATGCTTGGAGAGATACATGGAACTCTGTGAATATTCTCCTATTTCCCACATTGACTTTTTAAAGTAAAGGGTAAAAACTATAAAATTTTGATAATATTTATGGAACAAAGTGGTTAATTTTAATGCCTGAGGGGAAATATTTAAAATGTGGAAAGGACCAATCTACTATTCTTGGTAACAGATATAATAACTCTCAAAAAGGGAGAAGAGTTGCTGAGAATACTGCTTCCTTCTCTGATATTAATTCATTGAGAATCTGCCCAGTATAAGTTGTAAGTAAAAAGCTAAGAGTCCCTGGTGCTTTGCATTCTGCAGCCTCTTGAGAACCAAGGGGAGTGGTGGGAGAAACACAAAAGAAAGTTTACTGTGAGGGATCATTTATTTATTCAATCCCTGAATATTTCCATTTAAAGGGAATTATTATCTGGTTCTAATAATAGTAATTGTAAGTTCCTATGGCGTTTTCCTGATGCTTAGTAATCATTTTGACCATCACCAACTTAACCGTGCAGCTTTTGCTGCGCAGAATGCTTCAGGTTCCTTTGGTAATTTGGGATGTCTTTAGTGTCATGCTCTTAACAAAACCAGTCTCAGAACAATGAGCATTTAAAGCATGTTGAGTATTAGAATGAATATGTTTGAAAAATACTTCCAGGCCAGGCGTGGTGGCTCATGCCTGTAATCCTAGCACTTTGGGAGGCCGAGGCAGGTGGATCACCTTAGGTCAAGAGTTCGAGACCAACCTGGCAAACATGGTGAAAACCTGTCTCCACTTAAAATATAAAAATTAGCCAGGTGTAGTGGCAGGCGCCTGTAATCCTAGCTACTCGGGAGGCTGAGGCAGGAGAATCGCTTGAACCAAGGAGGCGGAGGTTGCAGTGACCTGAGATTGCGCCATTGCACTCCAGCCTGGGTGACAACAGTGAAACTCTGTGTCAGAAAAAAAAACAAGAAAAAAAAAAAGAAAAAGAAAAATACCTCCTTGTGGTTGTAAACAGCAATGGCAATTTTTTAAGGGGCCTTCTCTTATGAAAGCCTACACTAAATGTTTTTAAATTTTGTTTTTTAAATAATTTAACTACAATTTTTCTTTAATCTATATTAATTTTAAGAAATGAATTCCATTAATTGAAATAAACAATAACAAATATCCACATTATGTTCATAGGAATATATCTCTTTCCTTAGCAAGATTGTTTCCAAGTAGATAGGCTATATATAAAGCAAATAACCAGAGTTTGGTGTCAGGTTTTAAGTAATCACAGAAAAATATAAAGATAAAGAGTATAGTTCAGTTGATATTTACAATATTTATCCAAGAGAGTATTTTAAGTTCAAGCTGTTAGATAAGTTGAATTGAAACATTATCATGTAAAGTACGACCTCTTGTTTTTTTTTGTAAACTAGTATCTTGAATTCAGTCAACAGAACTATTCAACAAGGTTTAGGTATATTATTTTATAACACAGGAGTTTCTTTTTGTTCTAGAATAAGTGATATTAGAAAACTAACCACTTAATATAGATTCATTTAAACTGGCAATAACAATTATGGTAAATAATGACAACAGGTTTCATTGGGATTTAATCTCAAAATATGAAACTAACATTTATCAAAGTGAATTTATTTTGTCTTTTAACAATATTATGAAGTCATTCTAATGAGTTATTCAGCATTTTTCAGTACCACACAGAAAAAGTCCTCAGTAAGACAGAGTGACCATTCACTCAACAAGTAAATATTGAGTGCCTGCTCTGTGGCACACATGGTTCTCAATGTTGGGGATACAGCAGGGAACAAGACAGACAGAAAACCCTGCTCTAATGGAGCTTACTAAGAGAGTGACATGATAGCCACATTTATTAAGTAAACTATGTGGTATTTTACATAGGGAAAGCACTAAGAAGAAAAATATAGAGAGAAAGGAAGAGAGGAAAGACAACAGGCTATTTGCAGCTTTTAGATAATGTGACTAGGGAAGGCCTCTCTGAGATGACATCTGAGTGAAGACTGAAAGAAGTAGAGAAAGCAGCCAGGGAGTGTTTGGAGCAGGGAAATAGCAAGTGCTAAGGCCACAAGGCAGGTATATTCATGGTATGTTCTAGGGACTATAAGGAAGCCCCTGTGTCCAGAGCAAATTGAGCAAGAAGGAGACAAATAGGATGTGAGGGAGACAACAGGGAAGGGTGTCGTGGAGGAAAGAGGTTACAAAGGCCCTGTAAACCCTCGTAAACACTGGTCTTTATCCCCAGTGAAGTGGAAGCCTTTGGAGGGTTTTGAGCTGAAGGGAGAGACAATCTGGCTGTTGCATTGAGAGTAGTCATTGAAGAGGGTGAAGGATAAGAGATACATGTCAGGGGGTTGCTGTATCAGCAGAGTCCTGATCATGACTTGGAGGGGGTAAAAAATGGTTATATTTTGGATATATCTTGAAAGCAGAACCAACAGAATTTCCTGACAGATTAGTTGGAGACTATGAAAGAAATAGTCAAAGATGATTCCAATTTTGGCCTAAGACAACACTGAGATGGCTAAAACTGTAGGAGGAGCTGATTTGAGGGCAGAGAGAAAACCAGGAGCTCAGTTTTGAACATTTTACATTTAAGATGCCTGTTGAACATCCATCTGGAAATGGCAAGCTAGCAGTTGGCTCTATAGGCCTGGAATTCCAACAGAAAGAGGTCTGGACTAAAGCAGAATGGTATCAGAATGTGGAATGCTTGAATGTGGATTCCGGAAGGGTTGCCAGTTAATGGTAGTGACCAGGTATAGGTTAAAATGAGGAGAGTGAATCAAGTGTGGAGGACGACAAGATCACTGGAGGGAAAGCCAAAGAAATGAGTAGTTTTGGAAGGACCCTCTCTATGGACTTTGAAATGACCAAGCACTCGATAAAGGTGGTGTTGAAGACACTGACAGTGAGCTGGGGAATGGGAGTGTGAGCGACCTGATAACCCACAGATAACTGCCACAGGTAAGAGTAGAAGGTGTTCTCTGGTGACATAAGATTTAAAGCTGGGGGCAGAGGGGCAGGGGATGCATGGAGGAAGGGTGGAGAATGGCCGGGAAGCAGCAGTGAGAACCAAGGAGCCTTCTCCAGGCCCAGCAGCTCAGGGGCATGAGACACATGCAAGAGGAGCATATCACGCGGGAAAAGCCCAGTTTCAGTTACAGCAAAGTGAATGGCGCATCCTGGAAAGAGACTGAGGATAAAGGAAGTCCTGCTGGTGACTCTGTCCAAAGGGCACAGTGAATAGAAGGGATTCAAGAGGAGGGGTAAAGATAAGAATCAGAATATAGGATGTACAGAGCCTCATAGAGATGAGAGCCCAGGGGAAGAAGGCTGACCTGGGGGGCCTGGGCTTTACATGGCGACCTGTATAAACTTGGACACAATGAGGAATGAGATTGGCCTTGACTGTCCCAGGCCAACTGGATGGGTGAGGCCGTGAGTGAGCTGTAGGGACCTTGCTGGAGCCTGAAGAGTTCTGGGATGACTCCTGATTCCAGCCAGGACAGAGGTGACCTCCACCCAGAGGGCCTGTGTTCCCTATCTCCCTGCCTCTGGGAGTCAGTAGAGATGCAGTCTTACTCTGACGGTATGGTAAGAAGGCCTGTAGATGGACCTTTTTCTCCATCACTTGGGGCTTTATCAGTGATTCTAAACTTTCTTGTATGTCATCTTTCACATTATCAAAATTGCACAATGGCACGTTATAACATTCTTCATATGTAACCTTTCCAGCCCCATCATAAAAATGAGTCTCTTTTTGTAAAACTATGTAAGATCTTCCTCAGTTTTCCATTGCTATTCAAATTAGCATTCCCTTTTGAATTGCCTGTCTTTTGAATTGTCTTGTCTTCACCCTTGAAGAGATTTTTCTCTTCTCCAGCTGTTAATCATCTAGTTTTGTGTTTATCTGTCAGACCCTCACTCATCAAAGACTTTGGTGTAATTTTTCTATCATCACTGGCGCTGATTTTATGAAATCTCACATCTTGTGCAAGATTTTAATTTTTTTCTTCACTTGGGTATGTGAGCACATGACAGCCAACTACCCAACAATTTCTCAGTGCACTTGTTCATGCCCCTAAAGACTTGGGCTTCCCTAATCAATCAGACTTCCTGGGAACTAGGGAATTAAAAATAAATATTTATGTAATATGTATCCTCTGCCACTCTCACTACCCATTTAGCATAGCAAACCTATGATCCCACATGCATGCATAGTTTCTTCTTAAGAATTTGCCTTTAAAATCAAGCATCATAGTAAGTGACCTTTTTGATCTGTGTCAGTGCACATTTACTTTGATTTTTAAAAAATATTTTGGCTTGTAGGGGTGATGAGTAAGGTTGAGCTAAACCACATGGTCTCCTTCCAGTCTTTCTGCTTAGAACATTTAGGAGATGGCTGGGCAAGGGTTAGTGCCCCAAACGTATGTCATAGATCAGGTCTCATTGGCATTTTAGGCAGTTGTGCCAAACTTCCTAGACCGGTATCCCAGTGATGGCCATGAAATTGTTATTGAGGCTTGTTTAACGTTTTCTGTTTCAGGGATTAGTCTTTTTCAACACCATTGTTCAAGGAAATGTTTTGAAAGTGTTCCTGAGAATTATTTCTCATGGCATCTTGATTTCCTTTTTCAGTTGAAAGCAAGCTGCTATCATGACCCTCCCTGAAGCAAGTAATGATTAGGGCTCTCATTTCAAATTATTCTGCCTCCATTTCCAATTTATGCATATAACATTTTTATCCATTCTTCAAAGAAAGTCTCAGAGTTCCATACAGTACATGTATTTTTTAGGATACTGAACACTTTTTTTTTCTTTTTTCACTATTTTTTTTTTAAATACTTTAAGTTCTGGGATACATGTACAGAATGTGCAGGTTTATTACATAGGTATACATGTGCCATGGTGGTTTGCTGCACCCATCAACTCGTCATCTACATTAGGTGTTTCTCCTAATGCCAGCCCTCCCCTTGCTTCCCATCTCCCGACAGGCCCTGGTGTGTGATGTTCCCCTTCCTGTGAACATATGCTCTCATTGTTCAGCTCCCACTAATGAGTGAGAACATGCAGTGTTTGGTTTTCTGTTCCTGTGTTAGTTTGCTGAGAATGATGGTTTCCAGCTTCATCCATGTCCCCACAAAGGACTTGAACTCATTCTTTTTTATGGCTGCATAGTATTCCATGGTGTAAATGTGCCACATTTTCTTTTTTATTTTATTTTGTTTTATTTTTTATTATTTTATTTATTTTATTTTATTTATTATACTTTAAGTTCTAGGGTACATGTGCACAACGTGCAGGTTTGTTACATATGTATATATGTGCCATGTTGGTGTGCTACACCCATTAACTCGTCATTTACATTAGGTATATCTTTTACTGCTATCCCTCCCCGCTCCCCTACCCCATGACAGGCCCCGGTATATGATGTTCACCTTGCTGTGTCCAAGTGTTCTCATTGTTCAGTTCCCACCTATGAGTGAGAACATGTGGTGCTTGGTTTTTTGTCCTTGCGATAGTTTGCTGATAATGATGGTTTCCAGCTTCATCCGTGTCCCTACAAAGGACATGAACTCATCCTTTTTTATGGCTGCATAGTATTCCATGGTGTATATGTAAGTGCCACTCATTTTATTTTATTTATTTATTCTTTTTTTCTTTTATTATTATACTTTAAGTTTTAGGGTACATGTGCACATTGTGCAGGTTAGTTACATATGTATACATGTGCCATGCTGGTGTGCTGCACCCACTAACTCGTCATCTAGCATTAGGTGTATCTCCCAATGCTATCCCTCCCCCCTCCCCCCACCCCACGACAGTCCCCCGAGTGTGATGTTCCCCTTCCTGTGTCCATGTGATCTCATTGTTCAATTCCCACCTATAAGTGAGAATATGTGGTGTTTGGTTTTTTGTTCTTGCAATAGTTTACTGACAATGATGATTTCCAATTTCATCCATGTCCCTACAAAGGACATGAACTCATCCTTTTTTATGGCTGCATAGTATTCCATGGTGTATATGTGCCACATTTTCTTAATCCAGTCTATCATTGTTGGACATTTAGGTTGGTTCCAAGTCTTTGCTATTGTGAATAGTGCTGCAATAAACATACATGTGCATGTGTCTTTATAGCAGCATGATTTATAGTCCTTTGGGTATATACCCAGTAATGGGATGGCTGGGTCAAATGGTATTTCTAGTTCTAGATCCCTGAGGAATTGCCACACTGACTTCCACAATGGTTGAACTAGTTTACAGTCCCACCAACAGTGTAAAAGTGTTCCTATTTCTCCACATCCTCTACAGCACCTGTTGTTTCCTGACTTTTTAATGATCGCCATTCTAACTGGTGTGAGATGGTATCTCATTGTGGTTTTGATTTGCATTTCTCTGATGGCCAGTGATGATGAGCATTTTTTCATGTGTTTTTTGGCTGCATAAATGTCTTCTTTTGAGAAGTGTCTGTTCATGTCCTTTGCCCACTTTTTGATGGGGTTGTTTGTTTTTTTCTTGTAAATTTGTTTGAGTTCATTGTAGATTCTTGATATTAGCCCTTTGTCAGATGAGTAGGTTGTGAAAATTTTCTCCCATTTTGTAGGTTGCCTGTTCACTCTGATGGTAGTTTCTTTTGCTGTGCAGAAGCTCTTTAGTTTAATTAGATCCCATTTGTCAATTTTGTCTTTTGTTGCCATTGCTTTTGGTGTTTTAGACATGAAGTCCTTGCCCATGCCTATGTCCTGATGGTAATGCCTAGGTTTTCTTCTAGGGTTTTTATGGTTTTAGATCTAACGTGTAAGTCTTTAATCCATCTTGAATTGATTTTTGTCTAAGGTGTAAGGAAGGGATCCAGTTTCAGCTTTCTACTATGGCTAGCCAGTTTTCCCAGCACCATTTATTAAATAGGGAATCCTTTCCCAATTTCTTGTTTTTGTCAGGTTTGTCAAAGATCAGATAGTTGTAGATATGTGGCGTTATTTCTGAGGGCTCTGTTCTGTTCCATTGATCTATATCTCTGTTTTGGTACCAGTACCATGCTGTTTTGGTTACTGTAGCCTTGTAGTATAGTTTGAAGTCAGGTAGTGTGATGCCTCCAGCTTTGTTCTTTTGGCTTAGGATTGACTTGGCGATGCGGGCTCTTTTTTGGTTCCATATGAACTTGAAAGTAGTTTTTTCCAATTCTGTGAAGAAAGTCATTGGTAGCTTGTTGGGGATGGCATTGAATCTGTAAATTACCTTGGGTATTATGGCCATTTTTACGATATTGATTCTTCCTTCCCATGAACATGGAGTGTTCTTCCATTTGTTTGTATCCTCTTTTATTTCCTTGAGCAGTAGTTTGTAGTTCTCCTTGAAGAGGTCCTTCACATCCCTTGTAAGTTGGATTCCTAGGTATTTTATTCTCTTTGAAGCAATTGTGAATGGGAGTTCACTCATGATTTGGCTCTCTGTTTGTCTGTTATTGGTGTATAAGAATGCTTGTGATTTTTGTACATTGATTTTGTATCCTGAGACTTTGCTGAAATTGCTTATCAGCTTAAGGAGATTTTGGGCTGAGACAGTGGGGTTTTCTAGATATACAATCATGTCGTCTGCAAAGAGGGACAATTTGATTTCCTCTTTTCCGCCACATTTTCTTTATCCAGTCTCTCATTGATGGGCATTTGGGTTGGTTCCAGGTCTTTGCTATTGTGAATAGTGCTGCAATAAACATATGTGTGTATGTGTCTTTATAGTGGAATGATTTATGATCCTTTGGATATGTACCCAGAAAAGGGATTGCTGGGTCAAATGGTATTTCTAGTTCCAGATCCTTGAGGAATTACCACACTGTCTTCCACAATGGTTGAACTAATTTACACTCCCACCAACAGTGTAAATTTCTCCACATCCTCTCCAGCATCTGTTGTTTTCTGACTTTTTAATGATTGCCATTCTAACTGGCTTGAGATGGTATCTCATTGTGGTTTTGATTTGCATTTCTCTAATGACCAGCGATGATGAGCTTTTTTTATATGTTTATTGGCCCCATAAATGTCTTCGTTTGAGAAGTGTCTGTTCATATCCTTTGCCCATTTTTTCATGGGGTTGTTTGTTTTTTTTCTCGTAAATTTGTTTAAGTTCCTTGTAGATTCTGGATATTAGCCCTTTGTCAGATGGATAGATTGGAAAAATTTTCTCCCATTCTCTAGGCTTCTTGTTCACCCTGATATGCTAGTTTCTTTGGCTATGCAGAAGCTCTTTAGTTTAATTAGATCCCATTTGTCAGTTTTGGCTTTTGTTGCCATTGCTTTTCATATTTTAGTCATGAAGTCTTTGCCCATGCCTGTGTCCTGAATGGTATTGGCTAGGATTTCTTCCAGGGTTTTTATGGGTTTAGGTCTTACATTTAAATATTTAATCCATCTTGAATTAATTTTTGTATAAGGTGTAGGGAAGGGGTACAGTTTCAGTTTTCTGCATATGGCTAGCCAGGTTTCCCAGCACCATTTATTAAATAGGGAATCGTTTGCCCATTGCTTGTTTTTGTCAGGTTTGTCAAAGATCAGATGGTTGTAGACACATGGTGTTATTTCTGCGGCCTCTGTTCTGTTCCATTGGTCTATATCTCTGTTATGGTACCAGTACCATGCCGTTTTGGGTTCTGTAGCCTTGTGTAGTTTGAAGTCAGGTAGTGTGATGCCTCCAGCTTTGTTCTTTTTGCTTAGGATTGTCTTGGCTATACAGACTCTTTTTTGGTTCCATATGAATTTTAAAGTAGTTTTTCCTATTCTCTGAAGAAAGTCAGTGGTAGTTTGATGGGAATCGCATTGAATCTGTAAATTACTTTGGGCAGTATGGCTGTTCTCACAATACTGATTTTTCTTATCCATGACCATGGAATGTTTTTCCATTTGTTTATGTCCTCTTTTATTTCGTCGAGCAGTGGTTTGTAGTTCTCCTTGAAGAGGTCCTTCACATCCCTTGTAAATTGTATTCCTAGGTATTTTATTCTCTTTGTAGCAGTTGTGAATGGGAGTATGCTCATGATTTGGCTCTCTGTCTGTTACTGGTGTATAAGAATGCTTCTGATTTTTGCACATTGATTTTGTATCCTGAGACTTTGCTGAAGTTGCTTATCAGCTTAAGGAGTTTTTGAGCTGAGACGATGAAGTTTTCTAAATATACAGTCATGTCATGTGCAAACGGAGATAATTTGACTTCCTCTCTTCCTATTTGAATACCCTTTATTTCTTTCTCTTGCCTGATTGCCCTGGCCAGAACTTCCAATATTATGTTGAATAGGAGTGGTGAGAGAGGGCATCATTGTCTTGTGCCAGTTTTCAAAGGAATGATTCCAGCTTTTGTCCATACAGTGTAATATTGGCTGTGGGTTTGTCATAAATAGCTCTTATTGTTTTGAGATATGTTCCGTCAATACCTAGTTTATTGAGTGTTTTTAGCATGAAGAGGTGTTGAATTTTATTGAAGGCCTTTTCTGCATCTATTGAGATAATCATGTGTTTTTTTCCATGGGTTCTTTTTCTATGATGGATTACATTTATTGAGTTGAATATGTTGAACCAGCCTTGCATCCCAGAGATTAAGCCAACTTGATCATGGTGAATAAGCTTTTTGATGTGCTGCTGGATTCCATTTGCCAGCATTTTGTTGAGGATTTTCACATCAATGTTCATCAGGGATATTGGCCTGAAATTTTCTCTTTTTGTTGTGTCTCTGCCGGGTTTTGGTATCAGGATGATGCTGGCCTTATAAAATGAGTTAGGGAGGATTCCCTCTTTTTCTGTTGTTTGGAATAGTTTAAGAAGGAAAGGTACCGGCTCCTCTTTGCACCTCTGGTAGAATTCAGCTGTAAATCTATCTAGTCTTGGGCTTTTTTTGTTTGGAATGCTGTTAATTACTGCCTCAATTTCAGAACTTGTTTTTGGTCTATTCAGGGATTCAACTTCTTCCTGGTTTAGTCTTGGGAGGGTGTATGTGTCCAGGAATTTATCCATTTCTTCTAGATTGTCTAGTTTATTTGCGTAGAGGTGTTTATAGTATTCTCTGATGGTAGTTTGTATTTCTGTGGGATTAGTGGTGATATGCCCTTTATCATTTTTTATTGCATCTATTTGATTCTTCTCTCTTTTCTTTTTTATTAGTCTGGCTAGCGGTCCATCTGTTTTGTTAATCTTTTCAGAAAACCAGCTCCTGGATTCATTGATTTTTTGAAGGGTTTTTCATGTCTCTACCTTTTTCAGTTTTGCTGTGACCTTAGTTATTTCTTGCCTTCTGCTAGCTTTTGAATTTGTTTGCTCTTGCTTCTCTAGTTCTTTTAATTGTGATGTTAGGTTGTCAATTTTAGATCTTTCCCGCTTTCTCCTGTGGGCATTTATTGCTATTAATTTCCCTCTAAACACTGCTTTAGCAGTGTCCCAGAGATTCTGGTACATTGTGTCTTTATTCTCATTGGTTTCAAAGAACTTCTTTATTTCTGCCTTAATTTTGCTATTTACTGAGTAGTCATTCAGGAGCATGTTGTTCAGCTTCCACGTAGTTGTGCCGTTTTGAGTGAGTTTCTTAACCCTGATTTCTAATTTGATTGTACTGTGTTCTGAAAGACTGTTTGTCACCATTTCCATTCTTTTGCATTTTCTGAGGAGTGTTTACTT
Organism: Homo sapiens; assembly: GCF_000001405.40. NCBI lineage: Eukaryota > Metazoa > Chordata > Mammalia > Primates > Hominidae > Homo > Homo sapiens. Next base: position 41,373,384 of record NC_000003.12, on the reverse strand, counting down.
CCAATTATGTGGTCGATTTTAGAATAAGTGCTTTGTGGTGCTGAGAAGAGTGTATATTCTGTTGATTTGGGGTGGCAAGTTCTGTAGAGGTCTATTAGGTCTGCTTGGTCCCTAGCTGAATTCAAGTACTGAATATTCTTATTAATTTTCTGTTTCGTTGATCTGCCTAATATTGACAGTGGGGTGTCACTCCCACACTATTATTGTGTGGCAGTCTAAGTCTCTTTGTAGGTCTCTAATAACTCGCTTTATGAATCTGGGTGCTCCTATATTGGGTGCATATATATTTAGGATAGTTAGCTCTTCTTGTTGCATTGATCCCTTTACTATTACATAATGCCCTTCATTGTCTTTTTTGTTGTTGTTTGTTTAAAGGCTGTTTTATCAGAGACTAGGATTGCAACCCCTGCTTTTGTTTGCTCTCTATTTGCTTGCTAAATCTTCCTTCATCCCTTTATTTTGAGCCTATGAGTGTCTTTGCATGTGAGATGGGTCTCCGAATACAGCGCACCTATGGATCTTGACTCTTTATCCAATTTGCCAGTCTGTGCCTTTTAATTGGGGCATTTAGCCCATTTACATTTAAGGTTAATATTTTTATGTGTGAATTTGATCCTGTCATTATGATGCTAGCTGGTTATTTTGCCCGTTAGTTGATGCAGTTAATTCATAGTGTCAATAGTCTTTACATTTTGGTTTGTTTCTGCAGTGGCTGGTACTGGCTTTTCCTTTCCATATTTAGTGCTTCCTTCAGGAGCTCTTGTAAGGCAGGCCTGGTGGTGACAAAATCCCTCAGCATTTGCTTGTCTGTAAAGGATTTTATTTCTCCTTTACTTATGAAGCTTAGTTTGGCTGGATATGAAATTCTGGGTTGAAAATTCTTTAAGAATGTTGAATATTGGCCCCCACTCTTTTCTGGCTTGTAGGGTTTCTGCAGAGATATCTGCTGTTAGTCTGATGGGCTTCCCTTTGTGGGTAACCCGACCTTTCTCTCTGGCTCCCCTTAACATTTTTTCCTTTATTTTAACCTTGGTGAATTTGACAATTGTGTTTCTTGGGGTTGCTCTTCCTGAGGAGTATCTTTGTGGTGTTCTCCGTATTTCCTGAATTTGAATGTTGTCCTGTCTTGCTAGGTTGGGGAAGTTCTCCTGGATAATATCCTGCAGAGTGTTTTCCAACTTGGTTCCATTCTTTCCATCGCTTTCAGGTACACCAATCAAATGTAGGTTTGGTCTTTTCACATAATCCCATATTTCTTGGAGGCTTTGTTTGTTCCTTTTCATTCTTTTTTCTCTAATCTTGTCTTCACACTTTATTTCATTAAGTTGATCTTCAATCTCTGATATCCTTTCTTCTGCTTGATTGATTCGGTTATTGATACTTGTGTATGCTTCACGAAGTTCTTGTACTGTGTTATTCAGCTCCATCAGGTCATTTATGTTCTTCTCTAAACTGGTTATTTTAGTTAGCAATTCCTCTAACCTTTTATCAAGGTTCTCAGCTTCCTTGCATTGGGCTAGAAGATGCTCTTTAGCTTGGAGGAGTTTATTATTACCCACCTTCTGAAGCCTACTTCTGTCAATTCATCAAACTCGTTCTCCATCCAGTTTTGTTTCCTCACTGGCGAGGAGTTATGATCATTTGGAGAATAGGCATTCTGGTTTTTGGAATTTTCATCCTTTTTGCGCTGATTTTTCCTCATCTTTGTGGATTTATTTACATGTGGTCTTTGCTATTGGTGACCTTCGGATGGAGTGTCTGCGTGGTTGTCCTTTTTGTTGATGTTGATGCTATTGCTTTCTGTTTGTTAGTTTTTCTTTTAACAGTCAGGCTTCTCTTCTGCTCGTCAGCAGGAGTTTGCTGGGGGTCCACTTCAGACCCTGTTTGCCTGGGTATCACCAGCAGAGGCTGCAGAACAGCAAAGATTGCTGCCTGCTCCTTCCTCAGAAGCTTTTTCCCAGAGGGGCAGCTGCCAGATGTCAGCTGGAGCTCTCCTGTGTGAGGTGTCTGTCGACTCCTGCCATGAGGTATCTCCCCATCAGGAGGCACGGGGGTCAGGGACCCACTTGAGGAGGCAGACCATCTGTTAGCAGAGCTTGAGCACTGTGCTGAGAGAACCGCTGCTCTCTTCAGACCCAGCAAGCAGGAACATTTAAGTCTGCTGAAGCTGTGCCCACAGCCGCCCCTTCCCCGAGTTGCTCTGTCCTAGGGAGATGGGAGTTTGATCTACAGTACCCTGACTGGAGCTGCTGCCTTTCTTTCAGAGATGCCCTGCCCAGAGTGGAGGAATCTAGAGAGGCAGTCTGACCACAGTGGCCTTGCTGAGCTGCGGTGGGCTCTGCCCAGTTCAAACTTCCAGGCAGCTTTGTTTACACTGTGAAGGGAAAACCACCTACTCAAGCCTCAGTAATGGTGTACGCCCCTCCCCCCACCAAGCTCGAGCATCCAGGATCAGCTTCAGATTGCTGTGCTGTCAGTAAGAATTTCAAGCCAGTGGATCTTAGCTTGCTGGGCTCCATGGGGGTAGAATCCGCTGAGCAAGACCACTTGGCTCCCTGGCTTCAGCCCCCTTTTCAGGGTAGTGAACAGTTCTTTCATGCTGACGTTCCAGGCGCCACTGGGGTTTGGAAAAATACTCCTGCAGCTAGCTTGGCCACCCAGTTTTGTGCATGAAACCCAGGGCTTTTGTGGTGTAGGCACCTGCGGGAATTTCCTGGTCTGCAAGTTGCAAAGACCATGGGGAAAGCATAGTATCTGGGCCGAATAGCTCCGTCGCTCGTGGCACAGTCCCTCATGGCTTCCCTTGGCTAGGGTAGGAAGTTCCCCAACCCCTTGCCCTTCCTGGGTGAGGCAATGCCCCACCCTGCTTTGGCTTGTGCTCCGTGGGCTGTACGCACTGTCTAACCAGTTAACCAGTCCCAGTGAGATGAGCTGAGTACCTCAGTTGGAAATGTAGAAATCACCCACCTTCTGGGTTGGTCTTGCTGGGAGCTGCAGACCAGAGCTGCTCCTATTTGGCCATCTTGCCTGGTAATCCCCACTAAACACTTATTTATCATAAAGTGATAGTCTCTGGTTTCTTTCTATGAAACACTTCTAGAAACATTATGGATTTCATTAATTGCATCTCCAAAATATTTGGTTTTAAGTTCCACAAAAGTTTTGATGCCACTTGCTTTTTTTTTTAATTCCTTCATTGTCATGTCAAGAAACTAAGCCTGTTTATAAACTCTACATGGATCTTTTGTGTAATGGTTCTGAGCAGGTTTTAATGAAATTTGAGAGTGTCTCTAGAGATCACAGATACCGGGCCCTTTAACGTTGTGACGTTGCTTAGCAACCTGGAAGTCATTACATTTCCAGGCTCTGTAATAACATGATATACTTTTCTTTGCCAGTCTCTGATGAAAATGTAATGGAAATAATCCCTTTCTAAAGGTTGCACTCTATGAGTGGGTGGCAAAATAGATTTTTTTTTTCTTTTTTCCTGGCCTGGGCAGGTTTTAATTCAGTACACAAAGTATTGTTTTCTGACTGTTGTATGTGACAGAGTAAAATATATTCCAAAATGAGATTTTTTTTTTTTTTTTTGAGACATAGTCTCACTCTGTCACCCAGGCTGGAGTGCAGTGGCATGATCTCAGCTCACTGCAAGCTCTGCCTCCCGAGTTCAAGGGATTCTCATTCCTCAGCCTCCTGAGTAGCTAGCATTACAGGCGGCCACCACCATCCTGGCTAATTTTTGTATTTTTTTAGTAGAGACGGGTTTTCACCATGTTGGCCAGGATGGTCTCGATCTCCTGACCTCAGGTGATCCACCCACCTTGGCCTCTCAAAGTGCTGGGATGACAGGCGTGAGCCACCGTGCTCTGCCATTTTTTTTTTTTTTAAAGACAGGGTCTCACTCCATTTGCCCAGACTAGAGTGCAGTGGCGTAATCTCAGCTTACTGCAGCCTTGACCTCCCAAGCTCAGGTGATCCTCTCACCTCAGCCTCCTGAGTAGCTGGTACCACAGGCATGTGCCACCACACCTGGCTAATTTCTAGTATTTTTAGTGGAGTCAAGGTTTTGCCATGCTGAGTCCAGGTCTCGAACTCCTGGATTCAAGCAAGCTGCCTGCCTCGGCCTCCCAAAGTGCTGGTACAGGCAGGGGCCACCATGCAGGGCCTCTAAGATGATATTCTTAAAAGGAAGGCCTACTTCTGAAATAATAGTTGTAAATGCTATAGCAGTTGTTAACATAAATTAGAGTACTCTCATCATTTTGAAAAGAAAATTTTCAAATGTTATTATTAGTTGTATTCATTGACCACCAATTAATACAAGAATGTCTGTTTATTCTTATTTAATTTATTCTACCTAGGTATTTGCAGGTATTAGGCAGATTTTAAGAGTATAAGAGAACCATATGCTCTAGGTAGGAGCAAAGCGGGTATAAATGAATGAAAAGTTTGATGTACTATTTTTGAAAAAATATTTTTGTAATTTTTTAAGCAGTATTTTTTTAATTACAAAAGCAATACAGTTTATACATGAATTTCATAACAACATTGTTCATAATAGCCAAAAAGTAGGGACAACTCAAATGTAATTCAATTGATGAAGGAATAAATAAAATGTGGTATACCATAAAATAGAATATTATTCAGTCATAAAAAGGAATGAAGTACTGATACATGCTACAACATGGATGGACCTTGGAAACATTATGCTAAGTTAAATAAGACAGACACAAAGCACCACATGATGTGTGATTACATTTATGTAAAATACCCAAAATAGACACATAGATTAGTGATATGTGGAATCTACAAATCTACAGAAAGATTGTGGTTGCTGGAGGCTATAGAGAGAGGGGAATGGGTGTGACTGCTAATGAGTATGAGTTTATTTTGGGAATGATGAAGGTATTCTAAAATTGATTGTGGTGATGATTGCACGTTCTGTGAATATACTAAAAAGCACTGAGTTTGTACACTTTAAAATGGTGAATTTTATGGTATGTGAATTTGTTATTTTAAAAAATCACAACACAGGCCGGGCTTGGTGGCTCACACCTGTAATCACAGCACTTTGGGAGGCCGAGTTGGGTGGATCACGAGGTCAGGAGATTGAGACCATCCTGGCTAACACAGTGAAACCCCATCTCTACTGAAAAAAACAAGAAAATTAGCCGGGCGTCGTGGTGGGCGCCTGTAGTGCCAGCTACTCAGGAGGCTGAGGCAGGAGAATGGCGTTAACCCCAGAGGCAGAGGTTGCAGTGAACCGAGATCGCACCACTGCACTCCAGTCTGGGCAACAGAGTGAGACTCCATCTCGAAAAAAAAAAAAATTGCGACACAAAATGGAATATATAGTGATGGTTGATAACTTGGAATATACACGAGCAAAAAGAAGAAAGTAATGTCTTCCTTAAACATATAATGCATAGATTAACGTAGTTGGAATATTTTGGTTGTTTTCTTGGCACACACATGACATATATGTATGCATATGTGTATACCTGCATACATATATACATATACATATATTAACATATTTCTAAATGAATTAGGATTGTAAATCCTAATGGTGAAAAGTTCATGTGTTTATTTTGCTGGCTCCCACAAAATTCCATTGAAGTAATCAAAATAGGTAGGAAAATAAGTAAAAATGCACAATATCACTATAAACAGGGCAAGTTATCAATAATAGATGCCTAATTTGAGAAATTTCTAGAAGACAACTGTTTTGAGAGAGTGTTCAGGATTGAGAAGACCACATACCACCATAAGCAGGAAGCAGGCTTATGGAAAAGTTCTGGAGGAATCCCAGACTCAGGGCCAGGGGTTTTGAGGAAGAGCGAAGCGTGGGCCCCAGCTCCAGCCATGGAGCTGCTCACCACAGGATATACCCCAAGGTGTCCTGTGGGTGGGCACAAGAGTAACTGAACTCTGGACTGGGTTGTCCTGGTCCCCCAGAGCCATCGCCCTCTACCAAAGAAGACTCTCAACCTTCCGTCCCTGTTCCTCCTCTGAATTGATATCTTTATTCTTTTCTCATCCATTTCTCACTAACTCCAGGGTGAGGCTGCCTACAGCTTTCGGCAGCATCTACTTAGGAGAAGATCCCCAAGAAAATCAAAGCGAGATCTTAAAAATTGCTGAGATATCTCATCAGGCTGCCAGTACTCATAGACCTTCATTTATGAACATGAACAGGCAAGAATTGCTGGGCATTTGAGGAAGTCGGTAGCCAAAAAGTGGCCACAGGGGATCCCAAAGGCCAATGGTCATGGAAAAAACAAAGATAATGTAAGAAACAGGTCTTTAAAAATATCTAATTAGTACCCTGATGACAACTTGAAAGATTTCCGTAAAATACGACTTTCAGATTTTAAATCCCAGTAGAGGGATTGAATAACAATACACTGACAGAAGTCAAGTGACTTACTTACAAGACCAGCTTGAAGAGTTCTCTCTGAGCACAGAGTGAGAGAAATGTTAAGAACTGTGGCAGGTACATCAAACAGATTCAAAAGCCCTTTATGGGAACTGTATATTAGCACCACAGGTCTGATGATCTACTGAAATTGAATACCCTCCCAGCATAGAGAGAAGGGACAGAAGACTCAACTGTGGCATATGGACATTTCCCCCACATTGTCCACATGAAAGCAATTTGCATATTGTGTATATTCATGTGTATATCTACAATGGTATAATATACAATGGCATAGAAAATTGTAGACATATACAGATATAAGTATATCTGCGCACAATAAGTGTATGTGTGTGTGTGTATATATACATAATAGGTATATAGATAAAGTGTGTGTGTGTGTGTGTGTGTGTGTAGCCATATTTTCCAAATACAGGTGTTTGGGGCATTTCATTTGTAGAATCAATTGAACTGGATATTATTACATATTTACTTAGATCAAATAAATATAATTGTATAGGACTGTTAAAACATAAAATGTATGCTGTTACTCTCAGAAGCACATATTTTCTAGGGAATTATATTTCCAATATCATAATATATAAATTAAAGACCATCTTACCTACTTTCCCTCATATTTCACCTAAGTGGTTGTCCCTCTTTGGTGAGAACCACTGCAAATGTGTGTGCCTTGGTTTTCCACTGAAGTAAGTTTTTAGAGGAATTCAAGAAGTGAATTGCACCTATAGTGAAGCCAGGAAGCCCTTTGGCTGGGATTCCTTCTGTGTTGCCCAGGGCTGTCTGCTATGGGGAGCTGAACGAACACCTGGAGTGCTACTTGCTGTTTGCTTTGAGGACATCCCCAGCTTTTGAAATGGTGCCATTATTAGCCTGGTTTGTGAGACTGTCCTGTCTTTGTGGATTGGAGGATTTAACCTGTGCAGCCTTTCAGTACATATAATTAACAGATCACCCTTTGTTGAGGAAAGTAGTGAATCTATCCAAATGGTTTTTGAACAATTAACTTTGCAATCTGGAGTATTTGATTTTAACCAACTTGATTTATGTCTTTAATCAAGAAAATCAGTCATCTTAACTTTTTTTTTTAAGTCTGTAGTTTATTTGATATGGCCTTATGATGTAGTTGTCTTTCCATTGGGGTAGGTGAAATTTAATTCTTACAAGGTGCTGCTTCTGTATTTGCAATGAAACACTCATTTAACGTAATGGTGAAGAGCAGGGGCTTGGGGGTTAGGCAGCCTTGGGTTCCAGTCTCACTTTTATTTGGTAAATAATTGGGCAAGTAACCTATCTTCACTGAGTCTCAGTTTTCTATCATAAAAAACTAGACATAATGATATTTCTACCATAAAATTGTTATGAGGATTAAATGAGATATAGTGTAAGCAAAGTGCTTAGCATGTGCCTGGAGCATAAGTGCTTGAAACTATTAATTGCTGTTGTCATTATCATCATTTTTATTCCTATGTTATATTAATTTTCTGGCTGCAGCAAAAACATTAGTTGTCTTATTTTCCAGATACATAATACTTTTTGCCCACAGAATTGCAAAACATTAGGACATGAAAAATATCTGCTGGTTATTTGAGACTATTTCGTATTTGCTTCATTAAAATTTCATCAAACTTCAAGATTGTGAAGGCTACCAAATATTGTCAAATTTTGTTTATCCCCTTCTTCTTTTTCTTAAATGAGGCAAGTGTTACTGTTTACTGTGATGTGAAGAAACACTCATTCATGGCATGCCCTGGTAAGACAGCCAGATTTTCCACACCAGATATTGAGATTATCTGGCAAACAGAACTTCTGGATTCAGAATCCTGAGTGTAGTAAAAATGCTGAAATACTGCCATCTCTGGGATAGTTTTTGTGATGGAGATGACAGGACCTCTAGCCCCTTGCTATTCAAAATTTGGTCTCAGACTTGCAGCCAAATCATTACTTGGGAGCCTATTTGAAATTCAGAATCTCAGGCCCCACCCCTTGCCTGCAGAATCAGTATCTGCATTTTAATGAGATCCCCCAGATGATTCATATGCATATCTTTTGAGAAATGCTGCTCTGGAGAAGGCTCCTGAACAATCCAGAAGGGTGATTATTGAAGCCGTAAAAAAGATTTGTATCTGAGAGTTTCACTTTTCCGAATCTAGTCTGTCTCTAGCCAGTTCCATATATTTTCAGTTATGTTTGCTGGAAAGAGGACTGGAACTCCAATTTGTGTTTGTTTGTGTATTTCTAGAAGGCCTGCTAACATCCACTTGGGAAAATCTTTCTATTTCTTTAATTTTTCCTTATTAAATGATAATGATAACATTCAGCATTGGCATATGTTTATGGTCTCTTGCCTCTAAAGTCTCATTTATCTAGTAAAGAATTCACAAATGGAGAGACTTTGAGCAGCAGTAGAAGAGAAATACCAGGAAAAAAAAATATTGATTTAATAAACCTGTGAAACAGGCTAGCCAAAACAGTACAAGAGTTTTGTTCTCTGTTAAAATGACAATATTTACATACTGATGCCTTAATAATGTAACATGCAAGGGGCGCAGCACAGGGCCTGGTGGAGGGCAGGTGGGCCAGTGTTGTTGCTGATCAATCAGTTCAGGGGCAAAGGTCAGGAAATGGGCAGGAGGTAGAGTGGGGAGTATTGAGTGAGCCCTTCCGGATAGTTAATCACCAGTGACTGGATTAAGAGAAGAGGCTTGGGCCGGGTGCAGCAGCTCACACCTATAATCCCAGCACTTTGGGAGGCCAAGATAGGAAGATCACTTGAGCCCAAGAGCTCAAGACTAGCCTGGGCAACATTTTGAGACCTTGTCTCTACAAAAAATATATATTTTTAAATTAGCTGAGGGTGGTGGCGCATGCCTGTAGTCCTAGCTACTCAGGAGGCTGAAAGTGGGAGGATAGCTTGAGCTGGGGAGGTCAAGGCTGCAGTGAGCTGAGATCACACCACTGCACTCCAGCCTGGGCAACAGAGTGAGACCCTGTATCTACAGAAAAAAAAAAAGAGAGAGAATTTGGATGGAGGGTTCAAATCTTCACTCTGTCCCTTCCTTGGACACATCCCTTAACATCTCAAAACTGAATGGTAGTTTACCTGATAGGGCCCTTTTATGAAGATTACAGCAGATAGATATTCAAAGTGTTTGTCATAGTGCTTGTCACAGAGAAAGCCATCAAGAAAAGACAAATGCATATATGCATGCCCATGCCCACAGATATATACTTTGGAAATGGCAGTTGTCATCTTAAATGTGTGGAATATCCCTACTATATTACAAATTTTCATCCTATTTCTTTAGTAAAGGCCCATTTCTGTTTGATCATGCACACCCTTCCTGTCAGTGGTACACACCTTCTGCTGAGGGGTTCAGTGTTGGGTGAACTAGAATGTACACTGCATAATGCACACATTTTTATTGCTTGCCTCAGCAAGAACCAGAGCTGTGAAGTCAGCTTTATTGGAGCCACACAGAGAGGTAGGGAGCTATCCCAGGCCAGAACCTCCCAGCACAGAGGAAGCCTCTTTTTCCTGATTCGCCAAACCAGGCATCTGCCTTGCTGTGTCTGACTCAGGAGAGCACAGAGCAGTCAACAGAGCTGCTCATGACTTATGCATGAAGATAGGTGATCCCATCTGGCCTCCCTCAAAGTCTTGACCCTTCCCTGTCCCTTCCCTGCTGCTAACAGATAATCCTCAGCCCCTGGGGGACCAGAGGACCATTGCCAATTACTGTGGGCATCTCTATGTGCCCCCCGGGGAGCTCCTTATGCCTTGTTAGGCTTAATTGCATGGCCACTGAGAGCTGGAGCCTCTGGTATTCTCTCTTCAGTGACCTTGGGGCATTGTAGGGATAGGCAGTGTGGCTCAGAGAGTCCACTGCAAAGTTGCAGGTCTCCTCCCTCCATTACCATTACAAAGGCTGGAGAATAGCCAGCCTGCTGGCGAGGCCTCAGCTGCAACAAATGACACTGGAGACTGCATCACTGCACAGAAACTTTCCAGGAACAGTGCAGCCAGATCAGGGCTCTGCTCTCTTGGTGCCTGGGTCTCCTGAGCTTCTGAGCTGTCGTGAAGCTGGAATGTTCTCTGTTGCTAAGTGCTTATCCCAGAGATGTTCTGGTTATTGTCACCGACTGTTAATCAGATGACTCTATAGACTGGGAAACAGTTTTCTTCAAAGTTACTGTTTGACCTTTGTCTTAATAATGATGTAAAATCTACCCATGTATTGAGTGTTTGCTGTCTCTGGGCTGGTCACTGACTGAGTCATTGATGTGGATAATATTAGAACAACCTAATGAGAGGAGATACTATTAACCCCATTTTAGAGTTATAAAATCTGAGGCATAAGAGGATGGCTGAGTAAGTGGTGGAGCCAGGATTTGAAGCTAGATATTTTAGCTTGACAGTTTAACCATCATCATCATTGTATATACTGTATATGATACATGTATACTGTATATGATACCCTAGTATATGAAGAGTTGGCAAAATCCTCTAGGGATCTATTTTTAGGAATGTGTTGCTGATTCGAATGTTCTTAACCAATCTCTGCTTTATCAATAGCTTCAATATGTCAGTCTCTATTTCAGTCACAAATATGAATTCTACCTTTTCTGTTAAAATTGTCTTTGTTCTAAAAAAAATTCCAGAATAATATAGCATCATCATACCTAGTAACTTTCTGAATACTCCAGTCAACACTACACTGGAGAAGTTGCATTTTTTGTGTCTTTAAGCCACAAGTCTATGCCTGTAGGTTTTCACACCTGAAATAAACTTGCTAGACTCAACTGTCTTATGATAGTTAACCCTGTGCTGTCTGACACAACTGAAAAGTGGGCTCTTCTGGTTAATTGAGGTATTTGACCAATGATACTCTCAGGAAGCAGAGGGCAGTAAGATAAGCTTTATCAGCAAAACTCTTCCCTCCACAAATTAATCTTTGTTCAACTGTTTAGAATGCCTTTCTGAAAATACAGTGACCCACATGATATTATAAACAGCAGAACATCAAGTAAAGCCTCAATTATCTTGTTTTACAAGCCTGCTGAAGCTCTTACTTCATAATGACAGATACAAAAACAGCTGACTTCCCTAGAAACAATACCAAAATTCTAGTCTATCTTTAAAGATTTTACTTGCATTGAATGAAAATTCATCATATCAAAATTAGAGTAAGATGCTCCATTTTATTATTATGAATATTTCATACTCATGCAAAAATGTGCAGAAAACAAAATAATAAAGACTTGTGTAACCACCACCCAATAAAATGCTGCTTTAAAAAAAGGTTCTAGTCAGTCACATCGGGATATGAAAACTTATCTCATAGTAGTGTTGTGATATAAAATAATCTCCAAATGATGTACTTTTAACTGTATAGCTTTCAAAGTTCTAAACAGTTTTATTTGTATGTCCAACAAGTTCTGGATTTAGTCAGCTGCTTCCACAAAGAATGGCCCACTGTCAGGCCTGATCCTAGGAGAAGATGAGTTTGTGTCCAAGAGCACTTTTCAAACAATAGGGTAAGGAATTCATATTTTTTGTTAATTTTGTGTATTTTTTCCTGGGTTTTATCTTATCAAATTGGAGTTTTCTCAATCAGATCTAACTTTGCCATTTCCTATTTAAAATCTTATAAAAGATTTTTAAGCCTATCATCTTCTCTCTCAGCTGATGACCTTCATATGTCACTGAGGAAACAGATAAGGAGAGAACACCTCAGATTCTCTCCCCAATATCTGCCAACTGCCTGCACCTGTGCCACAAGGCTGCTGTTCCCTCTTACTGGAGGGGCCAACTCCTCCCTGAGGCTGAGCCCTCAGCTTCTGCACCAGGTCTCACTTTTCCTGCTTGCTCAAGGACATCCCATAGCAGATCTCCCCTTTCTCTCTCCTGCGTCATCAAAGCGCCCCTTCCTGGGTCTTTCCCATCAGAATATGATATGCTGATATATATCACCCATCTGTTTTTTTCCTTCCTTTTTTTTTGATTTCCAACTCTAATTTCAAGTTCAGGGGTACATGTGCCGGATGTACAGGTGTGTTACATAGGTAAACGTGTGCTATGGTGGTTTGTAGCACAGATCATCCCATCACCTAGGTATTAAGCCCAGCATCTGCTGGCTGTTCTGTCTGATGCACTCCCTCCTTCCAGCCTTCACCCTCTGACAGGCCCCAATGTGTGTTGTTCCCCTTCGTGTGTACATGTGTTCTCATCGTTCAGGCTCCCACTTATAATTGAAAACACGTGGTATTTGGTTTTCTGTTCCTGTGTTAGTTTGCTGAGGGTAATGGCTTCCAGCTCCAACCATGTCCCTGCAAAGGACTTGATCTCATTCCTTTTGATGGCTGCATAGTATTACATGGTGTATATGTACCACATTCTCTTTATCCAGTCTATCATTGATAGGCCATTTAAGTTGAGTTCATGTCTTTGCTATTGTGAATGGCGCTGCAGTGAGCATACACGTGCATGTATGTTTATAACAATGATTTCTATTCCTTTAGGTATATACCCACTAATAGGATTGCTGGGTTAAATGGTATTTCTGCCTCCAGGTCTTTGAGGAATTGCTACGCTGTCTTCCACAATGAGTTGAACTAATTTCTACTCCCACCAACGGTATAAAAGCATTCCTTTTTCTCCACAACCTCACCAGCATTGTTGTTTTTTGACTTTTTAATAGTAGCCATTCTGACTGGCATGAGATGGTATCTCATCGTGGTTTTGATTTGCATTTCTCTAATGATCAGTGATGTTGAGCTTTTTTTCATGTTTGTTGGCTGTATATATGCCTTCTTTTGAGAAGTGTCTGTTCATATCCTTTGCCCACTTTTTAATGGGTTTTTTTTCCTGTAAATGTTTAAGTTCCTTGTAGATGTTGGGTATTAGACTTTTGTCAGATGGATAGTTTGAAAAAATTTTCTCCCTTTCTGTAGGTTGTCTGTTCACTCTAATGAGAGTTTCTTTTGCTCTGCAGAAGCTCTTTAGTTTAATTGTATCGTATTTGTCAATTTTTGTTTTTGTTGCAATTGCTTTTGGCATTTTCATCATGAAATCTTTGCCCATGCCTGTGTCCTGAATGGTATTGCCTAGATTTTCTTCTAGGGTTTTTATAGTTTTGGGTTTTACATTTAAGTCTCTACTCCATCTTGAGTTGATTTTTGTATATGGATATCACCCACCTTTAAAAAAGAAAATAAAAGCCTCTCCAGATCCACATTCCTGTCTAACTCTGCCCCATTTCCTTACCTGCCTTCCCAACAAAACTTCTTGGGAGAGTTGTCTAGACTCACTGTCTCCAGCTAGCTGAGCATCTGTACCTGCAACTCTTGCTGGTGACTAGTGAATGATCAGTTCTTAGTCCTTGGCTGACTTGGCCTTTGGCACAGCCAGTGACTCCTGCTTCAGGAACACTCTCTCCCTTGGTTTCTGGGACACCCTACCCTCTTGCTTCTCCCGACACACTGACCGTTCAGCTCAATCTCTGTGGCTGGTGTCTCTAAACGTTGCAGTGCCTGCCTGAAGATTGGGTCCTAAGACTGCTACTCCTCTCCATCTGGGTTTGCTCCCTAGGGGAGCTCATCCAATTTCTAGCTTTTTCTATCATCTTTACAGTTGGGCCTCTGTATTTGTACCTTCAGCCCACCCAGAGCCTGAACTCGAGTCTGACGGAGTCAGCTGCATGCTCCACATCTTCGCCCACTTGGCTCATTGGCACCTCAGGCTTCTCATGGCCTCCCCAGGCCTGTTCCTCCCTCACTCCTGTTCGCCTTAGTCATGGCAGCTTCAAGTTTCCCAAGTCAGACCTTGCATCAGCAAGTCCTGCTTCTTCAGTAGGGTGAACTCTGAGCAGAGGCCTGAAGGGAGTGAGGGAACAAGTCATCTCTAACTCTTCCCTCTCTCACACTCCACCCCGTTTACCAACCCATTTTGTTGGCCCTACTTTCAACGTATGTGAAGAATCTGATCATTTTTACCACCTCCACTGCTCCACCCAATCCGTCACCCCACACATGGTTTATTGTAACTGCCTTGTCTTCCTGCTTCCACCATTGCCCCTCACCCCCACCCCAGTTCATTCTCAACACAGCAGCCAGAGCCATCCTCTGAAAACCTAAGTAAGTTTATGGCATGCAAGCCGTGGACTGGCTGTCCATCTCGGAGTAAAATCCAGTTCTCCCTCATCTTTGAGGCCCCTGCAGTCAGTCTCCACTACCTACACGTCTCACCTCCTCTCTGGCCACTTTTCTTCCTGCTCACTCCAGTCGTGATGCACTTGCTGTTTTTGAGGCACACCAAGTATACTTGTACCCCTAGGCCTTTTTATGTGCTCTGCCCTCTTTCTGGAAGATTCTTCCACATAACTGCATAGCTTCCTCCTTTCCTTCCTTCAGGTCTTTACTCACATGTCACCCTGTCAGAGAGGCCTTCCCTGACCAGCCTGCAGGAACAGGCGCCCCTTTCTCTGCCTCTGCATCCTTTGCCTGCTGATTTAGCTTGCTTTATCCCCTTTACACTTACTGTCTTTTCTTATTGTGTTTTGCCTATTTGCTTGTTTATTTTCTGTTGTTTATCTGCCCCTCTGATATACAGGCACTACATAGATAATGAATTTGTACATTCTTATCCTCATTGCTATATACCTAACACCTATAATTGTACTAGGGATATGGTTTGTTTAAATAAATGAGTAGTTTTTGTAAAGTATGCACCTGCTCCTCTCTGGAATGGGCTTGAGCCACAATCTGTTCTGCGGAGCCCACTCCATTGTGGTGTGTTTGCCCTCCAATGTCCTGTAGCTAGAGATCATGTGAGAGGCAGTGTGGTGTAATGGTGAACAGCACAAGTTCTGGAGCCAAAGTTGCCAAGTTTGAACCTGCCTCCAGCACTTACTGGCACTCTGACCTTAGAGAGGTCACTTAACCTGTCTGTGCCTCCAATTTCTTCATCTGTAGAATGGGTTTCTAATAGTTTTCTCTTTTTATACATGAGGCTATTGTGAGGACCAGATGAGTTATTTCTGTAAAAGCAATTAGAGCAGTGCCCAGCACACGATAGATGCTAAGTGTTAGTTGTAATATTTTTGTTCATCTTTGGATCCTCCGTGACTCCTGCCACAGTAGGTTGAATTAAGTGAGCTTACATCAAATCTACATGTCTCCTTTTGGAGGTACAGCGTAAGTGGGAGGGGACAGCATCAGATTGGCAGGCAGTAGACCTATACCTATGCTGAGCTGTTACCATTTCATGAATGTGTTCGACAAACATGTTCTGAGCCCTACTCTGTGCTAGGCTCTGCACTAGGTGTGCGACAAATGGCAGTGAGCAAACACAGATGACAGTCTCCAGTGCCAAGGATCTCTCAGCTCCACCCTGTTTAACTGTGAGATCCTGGTGTCCCACTCTCAGAAACTGACACCGCGGGAAGCAGACCACATGCAATCTATAATTACATCTTCTGGCTCCCACCCACTCTTAGGCTGTGGGGTGTTCCTGCCAGCCGAGCACTCCGGAGAGCGTTCTACCCCACACGCCATGAACACATCCTCACAGTTGGATCGAGGCTGCTGACTTGGACTGTCACTTATTCTTCCTATGATATCTTTCTTGAGGAGGCAAGGTTTTCATGTTGAGTCTAGGTTGAAGTCTCCACTCTACACTGGGAAACCTGGGACAAATTAATTAACTTCCTTAAGTATTTATTTTCTTTATCAAAAGCTGGAGATTGTAACATCTGCTTCATAGATTAATGTGAAGATCGAATGTTTACCCAAATGTCCTCACATAGTCCAAGCTTCTAGGGTGATTATTGCCTTTAATCTCCAAATAAAACAACTGCTTTACTCTGGGGTCCAACACCCTCCAGTGGTTGCAGAAGATGCCTGAAAAGTGGAAAGGGCTTAGAGTCGAGATTCCACACCCCAAATTCTTGCTTGTGACTCACTATCATACCTTTTGCCTTCCTCAGAGCATGGACCTGAGCCTCTCTATTTCACCTATTTCATGTGCAGGTGTGGGGAGCAGGTGTTTTCAACCTGCTGCCTGAACTACTAGGCCTCATTCTTCCTTGCACCCCACTTCTCAGGCTTCCCTCTTCCCTTCACTCCTTTCTCTCCCTTGAAGCTGCTCCCCAGACACCTGGCCCTGATGGGCTTTGCCTGGTTTCAGCTTCCACTCTGATTCTGTCTTCCCTGTGAAACATCCTAACCAGAAGAACATCCATTTTCTTAGCAAAATTAAATCTTTATTTTAATTTTCTGATTGTGCAGGTAACATATAACCTTTAGAGAAAACAAAGCATTACAGCAATGAGTGAAAATGTTAAAAAAAATATATCTTAGAAAAAGGAATCATACTGTACCTGTCCCACAACTGCCTTTTTGCACTGGCTTGTGAGGCGTGGAATGTTTAGTCTGGTTAAGCTACACTTAATAAGTAGTAAGGATATGGTTCCTGATGCTGTGATTTGGGATGCCACCATATCCTCAGACCTCTGTGAGTGATTGTATTAGAGAAGAACAGTCACTGAGAATTTGGAGACAGGAGAGACTATCAAGATAAACGGCAAGAGATGATATACACCTGACAGTGACAAATCAAATGCATTCCTGCCAGGCAGCTTCAGGTCTCGTCTATGCGTCTGGCGTATCCCAAGGACTGCCACATCTCAATCTCATATTAATAGGACTAGATGTGTTTTGAGTGATCCTCTGTCCTTTATAGAAGCATGTAAAGTCACAGAAGAGCCAAAGAGCAGTTTGGCAGGGAGAACACAGGGGACAGGGCTTCTCTGTGGCAGCCTCAAATATGGAAACAAATTTAATTACAAGGGCTATGACCTATTTTCATCTCACCAAGGTCAGAATGATAAACAATTTAAATAAGTTATAATTTTGTGATAGTTACATATCCAGGTGCTTATCTGAAAGAGGCTGTGGGATATCCTTCAGGCTAGAAAAATGGTTTGCATAGAGTATTTGTTCTCAAGTTTTCTGTTTTGAATTTGATGACATTTTTAAGCTAGCTCTTTCACTTTAGCATATCCAGTAATGAAATAAACAGTATAAAATATGAGACAGTGCTAGTTAAACATTTATACCAGCCCTACCCTGTCATTTCTTCAAACTATTAAAATGTAATGTTTTTATATGAAATCATTATAAATTTATAACAAGTCTAATCTGTGGTGATGCACTATTCCATGGACTGTGAATTATTGTTCTAAATTTTGGTTGGCATATGCTTTCTCTGAGTGATGTGCTAGGATGATTAGATCCTGTGATGCAGTATAAGAATATATCTTCTAATTTGCATAAAACATGAGTGCTGATTATACAGTTTGATTTGAGACCTTCTAAAATATTTTTTCAAACAACAGTCTTGACAGTCAGCTCTCTTACAATAAGAAAGTTGATTATGAATACTGCCCTGAAGACTTTCTATCCCAAAATCTCTATTAAGAATATATCCATACAGGGAATTACTCTTTGAAAAGATCACTGAGTCTTCACGATGGGTACAATAATTGATCTATAAGTAGAAGTTAGGTTTTGTAGGGCTTTTGACAAGCCCAAGAGCATTTTTGGGTTTGGAGGCTGAGATTCAAGCCAGGATTGTATCTCTTTCCCAGGTCCAGTCTTAGATGTGGGCGGACCAAAAGCTACCATTCTAAGGTAATTGAAGAGTATGGGTGTGCCATTCCACCTCAAAGCATCTCTGTCTTTTGGGTCTTCCCTGAAAGTCATCATTAGTTTCTAAAATTTTACCACTAGAGATCTTTCTTTGGGTACAAACACTCCTTAATACACAGACACTCTTGAAAAGGTAATTGTCTTTACCCTTAGCACAGTTATTTTTGTTATTTTCCTGGCAAACAAGAGTTTTCTAGCTACTTTCCAGTGTGGTAGAGAGTTGAGAGCAACTCCTTTAGAATTGATGAACAGGAACCTCGCAGCGCTTTGAGGCACATATTCAGAGAAGGGAAAGATAGCCATCACTAGAGGGAGGAGCATCCACAGATAGAGGTGAGGTCAGCAAGCCATTCTGGATCTCTGAAATAAAACAGAGGTCAAGTGTTCAACCTGGAGAAGACTGCACAGAAGTGCTCATCTGCAATTACATGTGTCTGTAATGAATACAGATTTGTAAAAACAAGTTATAATCTTGTAAACACAGCTTTAGTGGGCTTGCTTGAAACTAGCAGAGTTTGCTTGCCCCATCTCAGAGTGGGACCTCATTTCCTGATCTTCCAGGACACTTTTGTAACCTGGCTTCTGTCAAGCTTCTGCTTGTCCCCAGCTTAAGAGCAGAAACTATAATAAAGAGTTCTCTACTGTGTCCTTACCTCAAAGAATCCCCAGTCTAACAGGTAAGAGACATGTTACCATATATTGTTGTCATACAATGTTTGTAATTAAATGAGAACTATCTGCAAATGTGTCCCTAAATGAGTTAGCCCGTTTGAAAACCAGATTCCACTGAAATATCTGAAACAGCCAGAGAGGCTTGATTTATAGTGGATACAATCTATGGAAATTATGGGCAGTGACACTTGGAAAAGAAGCCCCTGTCACGTTATTCAAGACTTCAATAAAAGCAGATTGGACTCCATGGTCTCATAAGGCCCCTCTCCATGAGTTCATGATATCAACATAGCCCCTGCTCAGCCACTGTGGACTGAGGGGAGAAGGCAGGGAGTGACAGAGTGGTCAACAATGAACCAAGGATAGTCACCCTCTTACGTGGCTCACACTGGACTGCACATCCCAGCCTCCCTTGCATTCAGGTTCCACTAATGATGTGTGAGGGCATATGTGTGACTTCTGGGATGAGTTTCCTTGGCAGGCAGTGGTGCCTTCTCAGCCCTCTCTCTGCCTATTTGCCAGCTGCATGCAGAGGGCTCTGGGATCCTCATGGGACAGTGGAGCCCCACAATGGAAAGAGCATGGGTCTCTGAGACACTAGGTAGCAGGCCACCTTTGTGATTTGCATTGAATTGTCTATGAGAAGACACAAGAAATAAACTTCTAAGGTGTTTAGTCACCGAGATTTGGGTGAAGGAAGGGATGGTGAGGCATCTGTTACTTCATCTAGCATTATTTTAACTAGTATAGTAGGTGTACCCTATAGAAGTAAGACCAGGAAAGTTATAAAGCAGTCTTTCTTTGTTTTGCTTTAGTAGTAGTAGTAGTAGTAGTAGTAGTAGTAGTAGTAGTAGTAGTAGTAGTAATTGTAATTATTATTATTATTATTATTTATTAGAGAAAGGGTCTTGCTCCATTACCCAGTCTGGAGTGCAGTGGCATAATCGTAGCTGACTGTAACCTTGAACTCCTGGGCTCAGGTGATCCTCCTGCCTCATCCTACTGAGGAGCTAGGACTACAGTCATGAGCTACCACACTCAGCTAATTTTTAAAAAAATTTTTGTAGAAATGGGCTCTCGCTATGTTGCCCAGGGTGGTCTTGAACTCTGGGGCTCCAGAAATCCTCTCCCCTTCCCAAAATGCTGAAATTACAGGCATGAGCCACCACACCCAACCTACTTTAGTCATTATTGGCTTTATGTTAACGTTCTACTGCTCCAGAATGTTAAAATATTTTAATACAAATTTGTGTCTATATCACTGGCCCTCTGAATAGAGATTAATCTGGTCTGTAGTTGGTGAGGTAGGTCAATGCTTAGTGGAATCAGTTCCTGCTTGTTCTAAGAGTCAACAGAAATCTGAATTCCAGAGAGGGTTCTAAGATGGGGAGACCCAGGAGCAACGGGTACCAAAGCTTAACATTTCTACATAGTAGGCAGGAGACAGTATCCTGGAACAGGCCAAAGTCAAATTGTTTCTTAGATTTCCCAAGTCCAGAAAGGAAGGCTACCACATACAGCTGGCTTTGAAAGCAAGTCCAGTAGAGTAAAGGCTGGGGAGGGGAAGGCAAGAGGCAGATTCTCAGGTCCATGGGTACTGACTGTTCTGACACCCAATTGGGTGGAAGATGGTACTGCTCTCTTTTGCTTAAGATTAAAAAATGCATGTGCCCTGCTTTTTTTGTGAATTGGCCTTGTTTGACCTTGAAGGTTCACGCTTCCCTGTTAACTGAACCTAGTTAGGCCCTCTGAATCATCTGCCTTCCTGCAAGCCACGCACTCTCCTGTTTGGGCTTTGAGCTCTGCAGAGATGAGGCTGGGAACGTAGTCCAAGGGAAGAAGTTAAGCAAAGAGGATCTCAGCTGCTCTGCTGGGCAAATCAAAAAGTGACTGTCCTGGGAGGGGAAGTTAGTATGGTGTTTACTATTTTTGGCTGCTTCTTGGTGACCAGAGTTCTGATCATGGGACAGGACTGAGAGCATGAGGAGAAGCAGCTCATAACTGAAAGAGATATTGCAGTTCCCAGCAATATGAAGGGAACAAGGAAAGCAGTAGGTTGACAGGGGGCCCCCAGCAGTGGGATATGGCTAATTCCTCCATGAGAACATCAGAACTTGATGCAGAGATTTAAGTTTTCTTTTATGAATTGCAAATCCCTTCTAATACTATCAGTAAATTCTGTAATAAGTACTAGTCAGTGGTGCCTTAAAGATAAAGGAGGGGGAAGCCGTGTGTACTCTTGTCAAGGACAGTGTAGGTGTATGTGACCCTTACCATTCCTCTGTAGCTACAATGATGGTTGTAGCATTTGTGGAGGAGCAGGAAGGGGCACCAGTCATCCTCTAGTCCAGCTGGTAACCAGGAGCCAAGTCAGAGGAAGCCTGCGGTCAAGTGAAGAGTATGAGGCCATGGCCAGATAGCATAGAAACAGAGTGGAGACACTCCAAGCTCCCTCCTTCAAATACATTATAGCAGTGTTGCTCAACCTTTTTTTCACATGCACCTTAAGGAACCTTTTTTGACTTATTTTCCCTGACTACCTCTATCTATGCAATTTTAATATAGACTGTGTCTGTTTATGTATTGTCCTTTGGCACAAACCACTGTAATATGTAAGCTTTAGTCCCACTTGCTGAACCAGTTTTCACCCATGTGGAAGCAGTATCACCCTGATGAGAATGCAGTCCTAGAAGCAGATGACCTAGACAGGGGGAAGGTCAGATCTTCCACCCTGTGGATGGGATGACCATAGAAGTCCCTTGGGTGTCTGATGCTGGACACAGAAGACAAGATGGGAAAGGGAGCACCTTCTTCCCATCTTGCTTGGAGACTCACCAGGCATATGGATCTTCTCTGTGAGAAGATGGCTCCATTTGGAAAGGCAGAAACTTGGATTTGTCCCAAGGAGAAAGCCTCATCTTTAAGCAGCCAGTGAGGCTCTTACAGCATTTTGGAGAGGCCAGGGGTGGAGTGCTACAATTTGTATCTTGAATAAGAAGAGAAAAGATGAAGCAGTGCCCTCTCAAATACCAACCACTGTGGAATCCCTGGAGGTTCTAATTTTCAGTATTTCAGAATGTACTCTGGAGAGATTGGCAATTATGCCACTTTACTTCTGCAGCATTTTTGTAAAATTCCTGGTGTATTCCTCAGAAACCAGCCTGTGGGTTTTGTCCATCAGGTGCATGTTGTTGCAGTCAGCTCCTGGTTTAACTTTTTGTGAATAAGGAAACCCCATTAATGTCTGTCTCACATGCTCTGGCACTAGGCCATCCACTACCAATCCCACAGAAGTCATATTTCCCTCTGTGGTGAGTTACCTTTGAGGAGAACCAAGGCCTTGAATCACCAGCTTTTTCAGGGGGTATATCAAGTCATACTGCTGGGTGTAAAGTTCTGTGCTACCCAGAAGTTTGCTGGCTTTCCAGAAAACGACTCTTACAAGACTTGACTTATCTTCCGTCCTACGTGCTTCAGTGTGGAGTGGAAAGGAAAGCCATTCTCAGAGCAGTCTGCCAGGGAGAAGTTTATCACCTGACATGCTTAGAGGTTTTGTTTCAATTTCTGCCACATGAATGAGAGAAATCTTTTATTACAAGGTCCTGTAGTCCCTTTTATTGATGCTTCTGAGACATCCTTTACTTTCATTCTAGAAGAGGTTGGTAGAAGCAGTTGTCTTGTGAACTTCCCTGTGCTGGAAGAAGAGAACCTGAAGGTTGGTCTCCAGAAGGACAAAGCCTTGTTAATTTCTCTCCAAAAAGAAATCTGCACATTTCTGGCAACACCAGCTGACTCCTGTGAAGGCTACTCCTGCTCCTGTGTTAGGATGGATACTTGGATTTCTGTATCTCTTCTCTGATGGCAGAGGCTACCCCAGTGAGTCAGACCTTGCCAAACACAATGACACTTAGGAAAGACAGTTAAGAGTAAACCGTGAGTTCACTGCAAAGTCTAGATGATTCTGGAGTTGCTGGATACAAGTAACTTTGGTTATTATTAAAACACACCCACACACTCCTGGCTGTCAAACAGTAAACCACAATTTCACCTTCTTAGGCAAGCCGTCAAATTGTAGTTTTTTTTAAGCAGCATTACTTTTTGGTTTACACATAATAAACATTAAAAAGATAGCAAAAGATATATAATTCTTTATAAAGATTATTTCTGTTTATGTGAAGGTAATAAACTTCCAATGAAATAAAATTAGTTATATGAAAACCTTGTGTTTCTGTTTGTGTATGTTTTTCTGGAGAAGAGATCCATAACTTTTGTCCTACACTTAAAAAGGCTTATGACTCAAAATACAAGAACAAAATCAAAAGCAAAAGATCAAGAACATGCTACCCCTCTGCTGAGAAGACAGAGACAGTTAAGTAAGGATTTTATAAGACTATTTTTTCAACTTACACTTTTAGTATCTTCTGAGGTTAAATATGAGAATGTTAAATATAACGAATAGCAAGTTTACATAAAATATGGAAAGGTCTGTTCGTGAATAAATGACTTTCACAAATCACATTTATCATAGTATTAAATTATAGAATATATACTGTGTTCCTGGAAAATACACCAATGAAATAGCACAGAGAATTTATATTCACATTAATAATGGCAAGATGGACAAAATAATCTTCATCTTCTTTTTCAGAAAGATGTGTGCGGCCTTCATAGTGGTGCTATGGTGATATTTATAGGGGAAAAATTATTTATAGAAAAATTAAGCTATTTCATTGAAAGTAGGAATAAAATACCTTGGATTCTGCATTTCATATAGCAAGACCCCTCCAAAGAGGAACTTACATGCCGTATGTGTGTGGCCAGAACCCCAAGGGGAAATCAGAGTTTTATGTTTATATTTGACAAATGGAATGAGGGTGGAAAAGACACTATTTTTGCCCTACTTTGCCTTTTCTAGAGTTCAGTTCTACAGGAGGGGCAGGGATTTAGAAACTGTTTTTTATTATGACTACTCGTAGTAATTCTGCTACCACTGCTACTCCTAAAGGCCCCTCTCATGCGTCTGCCCATAAAATGTTGAGTATTGGTGCATGGAACAGTTTTATGCTGGTCCCTGAGGAAGACTTAGGCATAAGACTAGAGGGTAGAGAAGTTTGGCTTTTGTCATTCCAAGTCAAATGGACCTAGAGGCCAGCTCTCCTGAACCAACCTAGGTTGTCAGGTTTCCTTAAGGATGTCCCTAGAAACCTGCTGTTTCTGATCATATGTTATTCAGGAAATGCTGAATCACAAGTCTATTACTGGTCAAATCACAAGAGTCTATGACTGCCTTCCAGGAGTTATATGAGATATGAATGGAAGGATAGATGGATATTTGTGGTGTGAGAAAAGCCAGCTCTGTGAATGATAAATAGGGAATGGGGGCATATGGTGAATTCAGTAGGAGTTCAGCCATCTACCTTATGTGACCTTTAGTATGGCCCGAGCCTAGAGATCCTCTGGTCTTCCAGATGTGCTCAGAATGCATCACTTCAGACTGGAGGGCTTCACCAACCCCATTTCTGTTTGGACCAGTGTCTCAGAGGCTGACTTGGGGAAGAATAAACCACTTAGCCCACAGCTTTATAAGGATGCTTTGGTTCCTTGGGTCTCTTGGAGACCTGGTTCTAAGTGACATTACAGAAGACATTCACTTCTCTGGAGTCTCTGGGCTTTCTGAGTCTCCCAGAAGCTAAGAATTAAGGACTCTGGTCCACTCTGGCGAGGTGCAGCCAAACCGTGTTTGTTCATTTTTTACTAAATCAGATTTTATCAAATCTGATACGTCTGTAAATTCATAAATATGGAAGTTCCTTGGAAGTATGATGTGTTATGCAGATATAAAGGACTTCTGTTAACCTCTTTTGATTTTTCCTGCTATAAAACTAATCGTACTCAAAGAAGTCTTACATTTACTCGCGTTTTACTGGGGCTTAGTGTATGTGCTCAGTTATATTTATCTCTTTTGGAAAGTTCTTAGGCAGCATAAAGGGTGTAGGACTTTGGAGGCAGAAGGATTTTTAGCTGTTTGGGCCTCTCTGAGCTCACTCATCCTCTCTGGCCCCCATCCCTCCTCTGTAAAGCCAGGATAATAATAGGGGCATTCTAGAGTTGTTTTGAGACAGAAATCAGTGTCAATAAAGCCCTTGCACAAACCCTGCACTTGGTGGGCACACACTAAATGACAGCCTTTACCTTGTTCCCCAGTACACCTTGTCCTAGACACACAGAAATGCTGAATTGTGTTTGCTGGAGGTGAATGCTACGCCTGTGTCAAAACTTCATCCTTTCACATTTGAAATCTTATTCTTTTTGCCACCTCTTGGTCCATGTACTTTTTTTTTTTTTTTTTTTTTTTTTTGAGACAGAGTTACTTTTTTGCCTAGGCTGGAGTGCAATGGTGTAATCTCAGCTCACTGCAACCTCCACCTCCCAGGTTCAAGCGATTCTCCTGCCTCAGCCTCCCAAGCAGCTGGGACTACAGATGCATGCCACCACACCTGGCTAATTTTTTGTATTTTTAGTAGAGACAGGGTTTCACCATATTGGCCAGGATGGTCTCGAACTCCTGACCTCAGGTGATCCACCTGCCTCAGGCTCCCAAGGTGCTGGGGTTACAGGCATGAGCCACTGTGCCTAGTGGTCCATGTACTTTTTAAGCTTATTAAATCAGGAAATCTGCCTGCTTATATCTTCCTAATACCTTATTGCGCATACAAGTAACAGGTACTGATGCTTCTTGTAAATAAAGCAATATACTAAGGGTTACCTTGCCCTCAGTGGGCCCAGAGTAGATGACACGATGTGGGATAAGAAGTGGCCCATGCACAGAAGGAGAGACTCCTTTTGTCTGGAGACACTATGGCGAGTTTCTTAGACAAGGTGGTATCCGAGATGAGTTTGCAAACGTGTGCACGATTTGATCATGCAGATGTGGCAGGAAGAGCATTCCAGATAGGAGGAATCACGTGAGGATGAGTATGGTGGCAGGAAAGGGAGAACCATATATATATAAGAGAGGAAAGGAAGTGTTAGATAGGGTGTTGCATGCATGAAAGGGAAGAGGAGGAAGAAATGAAGTTGGCAAGACAAATCTGAACCTGATCTGGGAGAATCTTGACTATCTCATGATTTTTGAGAGCTGGAGCACAAAACATCTGTCTTGTTTACTTGCTGGAATGTTGTGGCCTGTCTGGTTTTGCTTTTTAGACTATGAAGTTAATTTCCAACAAAATAATTCTTTATTTTATGATTTTTTTCCAAAAATGAAAAGACATTTCACATGCTAAAGACTTAAAAGCAATATACACATGACAAGTCTAGTTAGCACATGTCTAACTTTGGACTGAGTTGATTATTGGAATAAACTTTAAAGCTGCTGCAATGCGCCTTTGAACTCAGCTAGAGCTGCAGCGACGGCACTTTTATTTAGTGCCTGCTTTATTCAGAAAAAGGTATAAATCTTTACTTATGAATCCTATGTGGGTTTTTTTTTTCCTGAATATTTGTTCCTATGTCTAAAAAGGGGGGATTCCAGTGACTAAATTCTGTAATTGGAGTTCTTTGAAGATAAATCCTGAGTAATGACTCCATGTATTGTAGATTATTTTTAAGCCATTAGAAAAGTTTGAAGCTCATCAGCAAAAGCACCGAGTCTATATGTGACCAAGCCCTCAAATCCAAATGACTGACTCATACTCTTGTCATGTTAAATGCTTTATACTTAAGAATACTTGGAAAATATTTTTAAAGGAATTATTTCAGAAAAAGAGAGCTCAAAGATAGAATATCTCTGCTTGCTGTCTTCTTTTTCAATTACTTTTACTTCAGACTTATTTTCCACAGCACACAAATGTATGTCTTATTAATTGTGCAGTTATTATGAAAAGTAGTTCCCAATGAAAATTAACATAAACCAAAAACTTGAAAATATTAAACTAATTCTAAAAGAATTAAATGGCAGAATTCTTTCTCCATACCCCTTTCAGCCTCCCTCCCTCTGTCCGTTCCTCCTCATACCTGCCTCGGTCTGACTTACCTCTTGCTCTCCAGGCATTCCAGTCTGGACACTGGTGGGAGCACTGAGCCAGTGCCGAGCTCACTTTCTGCAGAGAAGGGAAAGCAAGAACTGCAGTATGCCAAAAAGGATAGCATTGATATTGTTGAAGAGGAAACCTAGGGTTCCTTGTGAGACAAATATGAGGAGACAATAGGAACTTCCAAAAAGCAAGTAAAAATAAGTCCTGGATGTTGCAATGTGGCCCAGCATGAGTGGTGGGTCGTGGAAGAGGTGAGAAGAAAAGACAGCCCCACAGATCATTTGCCAGGTTCTCAGTGCACTAGGTGAAACGCTCAGTCAATGTTTACTGAGCACCTCATGAAAGCTCCATACTGCCCTGCTTAAAGCCCAGCCAGCGGGTTCCTCCTGCCCTCAGATGAAGCCGGGAGTCTTGAGTGTGGCTTACGAAGTCCTTCTTGACTTCTGCGTTATCTCTCTGTTGTTGCCTCTCACGCATCCTGTCCTTATACTCTGCACCCACCTGTTCTGGCCCTATCAGTCTTCCTGCTTGGCTGTACCTTTGGGCTCTTCCCTCTACCTAGAACAGTGTTATCTCCCAACACCAGCCCCTGTCCTCACCTCCCCCCTGCAAATTCCTGCTCTGTATGCAAGTCTTGGTTTATAGCCTTTACCCACTGGGGGCAGATAATGTCTGTGCTACTCCCATTGTAGCATTCATGACTTTGTTTTGTACATTTTTTAATTTATTTTACTTTTCTTCAACTTATATTTTCATGTGTACATGTGCAGGATGTGCAGGTTTTTTACATAGGTAAATGTGTGCCATAGTGGTTTGCTGCATAGATCATCTTGTCACCTAGGTATTAAGCCCAGCATCTATTAGCTATTCTTCCTGATGCTCTCCTTCCCGCCACCCCCAACCTCTAACAGGCCCCACTGTGTGTGGTTCCCCACTATGTGTCCATATGTTCTCATCATTCAGCTCCCACTTACAAGTGAGAACATGCAGTGTTTAGTTTTCTCTTTCTGCATTAGTTTTCTGAGGATAATGGCTTGCAACTCCATCCATGTCCTTGCAAAGGACATGATCTCATTCCTTTTTATGGCTGCATAGTATTCCATTGTGTATATGTACCACATTTTCTTTATCCAGTCTATCATTGTTGAGTATTTAGGTTGATTCCATGTCTTTGCTATTGTGAATGGTGCTGCAGTGAACATACACATGCATGTATCTTTATAACAAAATGATTTATATTCCTTTGGGTATATATCCAGTAATGGGATTGCTGGGTCAAATGGTATTTCTGCCTCTAGGTCTTTGAGGAATTGCCACGCTGTCATCCACAATGGTTGAACTAAATTACACTCCCACCAACAGTGTAAAAGTGTTCCTTTTTCTCTGCAATCTCATCAGCATCTGTTGTTTTTTGACTTTTTAATAATAGCCATGCTGACTGGCATGAGACGGTATCTCGTGGTTTTGATTTGCATTTCTCTAATGATCAGTGATGTTGGGCTTTTTTTCATATTTGTTGGCTGCATGTATGTGTTCTTTTGAAAAGTGTCTGTTCATGTCCTTTGCCCACTTTTTGGTGCAGTTGTTTTTTTCTTGTAAACTCAAGTTCCTTGTAGACTCTGGATATTAGACCTTTGTCAGATGGATACATTGAAAAATTTTTTTCCCATTCTGTAGGTTGTCAGGTCACTCTGATTATAGTTTCTTTTTTTGTGCAGAAGCTCTTTAATTAGATCCCATTTGTCAATTTTTGCCTTTTTTTTTTTTTTTTTTTTTGAGACAGAGTCTTGCTCTGTTACCCAGGATGGAGTACAATATCATGACCGCGGCTCACTGCAACCTTTGCCCCCCGAGTTTAAGCATTTCTCATGCCTCAGCCTCCTGAGTAGCTGGGACTATAGGTGTGTGCCACCATACCTGGCTAATTTTTTGTACTTTTAGTAGAGACACAGTTTCACCATTTTGGCCAGGCCGGTCTCAAACTCCTGACCTCAAGTGATCCACCCACCTCAGCCTTCCAAAGTGCTGGGATTACAGGTGTGAGCCACCTCACCCGGGCAATTTTTGCTTTTGTTGCAGTTGCTTTTGGTGTTTTCATGATGAAATCTTTGCCCATGCCTATGTCCAGATAGTATTGCCTAGATTTTCTTCCAAGGTTTTTGTAGTTTTGGGTTTTATATTTAAGTCTTTAATCCATCTTGAGTTAATTTTTGTATATGGTGTAAGGAAAAGGTCCAGTTTTAATTTTCTGTATATGTAGCTAGCCAGTTCTTCCAGCACCATTTATTAAATAGGGAATCCTTTCCCCACTGCTTGTTTTTGTCAAGTTTGTCGAAGATCAAATGGTTGTAGGTGTGTGGTCTTGTTTTTGAGTTCTCTATTCTGTTCCATTGGTTTATGTCTGTTCTTGTACCAGTACCATGCTGTTTTTGTTACTGCAGCCTTGTAGTGTAGTTTGAAGTCAGGTAGCATGATGCCTCCAGCTTTGTTCTTTTGGTTTAGAATTGTTTTGGCTATTTGGGTTCTTTTTGGTTCCATTTGAATTTTAAAATAGTTACTTCTAATTCTGTGAAGAATGTCATTGCTAATTTAATGGGAATTGCATTGAGATGGCCATTTTCACAATATTGATTCTTCCTATCCATGAGCATGGAATGCTTCTTCATTTGTTCATGTTCTCTTTGATTTATTTGAGCGGTGGTTTTTACTTCTCCTTGAAAAGGTTCTTCACTTCTCTTGTTAGCTCTATTGCTGGGTATTTTATTCTTTTTGTAGCAATTGTGAATGGGAGTTCATTCATGATTTGGCTCTTGGCTTGTCTGTTGTTGGTGTATAGGAATACTAGCGATTTTTGCACATTGATTTTGTATCCTGAGATTTTGCTGAAGTTGCTTATCAACTTAAGAAGTTTTTGAGAGTATCATTGGTCAGGCGTGGTGGCTCACGCCTGTAATCCCAGCACTTTGGGAGGCCAAGGCAGGCGGATTGCCTGAGGTCAGGAGTTCGAGACCAGCCTGGCCAACATGGTGAAACCCCTCTCTACTAAAAATACAAAAATTAGCCAGGCGTGGTGGCGTGTGCCTATAATCCCAGCTACCCAGGAGACTGAGGCAGGAGAATCACTGGAACCCGGGAGGCAGAGGCTGCAGTGAGCCGAGATTGTGCCACTGCACTCCAGCTTGGGTGACAGAGCAAGACTCCATCTCAAAAAAAAAAAAAAAAAAAAAAAAAAAGTTTTTGGGCTGAGACAATGGCATTTTCTAGATATAGGATCATGTCTTCTGTGAACAAAGATAGTTTGACTTTCTCTTTTCCTATTTGAATACCCTTTATTTTCTTCTCTTGCCTGATTGCCCTGGCCAAAACTTCTAATACTATCTTGAATAGGAGTGGTGAGAGAGGGCATCCTTATCTTGTGCTGGTTTTCAAGGGGAATGCTTTCAGCTTTTGCCCATTCAGTATGATATTGTCTGTGGGTTTGTCATATATGGCTTTTATTATTTTGAGGTATGTTCCTTCAATACTTAGTTTATTGGGAGTTTTTAACATGAAGGGATGTTTAATTTTATCAAAGGTCTTTTCTGCATCTGTTAAGATAATCATGTGGTTTTTGTCTTTAGTTCTGTTTATGTGGTGAATCACATTTATTGATTTGCATATGTTGAACCAACCTCGCTTCCTGGGGATAAAGCCAACTTGATCATGGTGGATAAGCTTTTTGATGTGCTGCTGGATTCGGTTTGCCAGTATTTTATTGAGGATTTTTACATCGGTGTTCATCGGGGATATTGGCCTAAAGTTTTCGTTTTGTGTTGTATCTCTGCCAGGTTTTGGTATCAGGATGATGCTGGCCTCATAGAATGAGTTAGGGAGGAGTCTGTCCTTTTCAATTTTTTGGAATAGTTTCAGTAGAAATAGTACCACCTCTTCCTTATACGTCTGGTAGAATTCAGCTGTGAATCTATCTGGTCCTGGGCTTTTTTTGGTTGGTAGGCTATTTATTACAACCTCAATTCCAGAACTTGTTATTGGTCTATTTAGGCAGTAGGTGCTTGTGTATTTCCTATATGACTTTAGTTCTAATAACAGTAGCAACACCCTAATTATTAAAGGCCTCTAAATCAGCTTTTATTGTAACATAGACAAGAAAAATAGATTAGAAACTTTGGGCTCAATGGAAATTCAAGATGGAAGCATTAGATTATAGTGCAAGTCTGTTAGCCTTCCAGGCAGCCCTTTTCCTCTCCATTCTGATCTCTCTCCGGAAACTGTGAAGTGGCTCATGGCTGTGCATTTTTGATATGATTGGGTGTGTTTGCCTGTTGCTATGCATGAAAACTCATAGACAAGCTTGATTCCAAACCCTCAACTCATTAATTTACTCTCCCCATATGCTTCTGTACTCAACACCAGCCAAGAACTTAAAAGGAGTGAGGGAAACTTATTAAACCATTATGGCAGTTTATTCCAGTTCTTATCATAAACTGTATTTAAAATTTTTTCACCCCAAAATCACTTCAATTGACTCGTCTGCTGAAATGTGCTGCATTGGCTTTTAATATAGTAAAATTTGTTATAATTAGTTCAGGAAGCTCCTTTTTGACTTTGTGAGACCATTTTATAGATGCTTCATGTTCCATTTCATTTCTTAATATTAGAAATTCTAAAGTATATTATTGCCATTCATTTGACTATTTGTGTTGCTCCTCTGAGGGATGAATATCACCCTTCATAGGAAAGTAAGCTGTAGGAATGGGGTCTCCGTGGGGATGCTTAGCAGGGCTTTCTGGTTTGGAGCCTGTAGGACCAAATGTGGCTGCCATCAAGCCACTTGCCCTGGTTTCTTGATTGCAGGCTGCAGCCCCGAGCTCTTCATTTCCCTTGTTCTCTACCCTTCTTGTTCTTTTCCCTTGGTCTTTACCTTTACAGGTTGGCTGCATCCTACCAGCCCACAGGTTGGATTTAGCACTGCTCCATTATTCAAGGCCAGTGGGTCAGGGCAAGATCTTTTCAGAGCTGCAGCAGAAGCACAAAAGTCCAAACCCAACCATTCAAAATGCATTCCAAGCCTCTGCTGCCATTGTATCCACTCACATCCCATTAGCTAAATCAAGTCTCATGGTTGAGTGTAAAATCAAGGAGGTAGGAAGTATCTTTATCCACCCTGAAGTAAAAAGTCACATGGTCAAGCCGAAGTGAATATTTGTTGGAAAATAATATAAACTATCATACCATCACA
Organism: Homo sapiens; assembly: GCF_000001405.40. Classification (NCBI taxonomy): domain Eukaryota; kingdom Metazoa; phylum Chordata; class Mammalia; order Primates; family Hominidae; genus Homo; species Homo sapiens. Next base: position 41,341,289 of record NC_000003.12, on the reverse strand, counting down.
GGGCCTGGCTATATAGGTAAATCCTATATCAGTCTGTGTTCCTCCCTTGCTGTTTATTCTGAAACATGAACTGCAAAAGTCTTAACATCTTGATGGTATAGCTGCAGTGTTTAGTGGACGATTATTAGCTCACACATTAGAGAACATCGTAGCTTCTTAATCAAGATGGAATACCAGTTATGTCACTGTCCTGAGATGCTCCCAGCCGTGAGATGGCACACAGCTGGACTTCCATTTGGATATTTGAGGAAGATGGCTCTATATCCAGCTTGGGAGTCATTCTCTTACCCCCATCCTCAGATATCCTGTTTGTACATATGTTCGTCTCCTCAGCTGGACACTTCAGGAGGAGAAACTTGCTCCTTTGTCCCCTGTGTGTCCACCCCAACCCCATCCATTTCCATATAAGATTCCCACAGAATGTCAGAGAATGTTTATAAAGTGACAGAAACTTCAGCTTAACACTGAGAGTGGTTACCATTATGAACCTGGGCTTATTTTCACATCATTTTAAATCATAGCACATCAGAGACGAAAGAACCTTTGGAGATCGTCTAGTTCAGTACTCTCCAGAACTTTCTACAATGATGAAAATGTTCATATCTGTCCTGTCCATTATAGTAGCTCCTGGCCATAAATGGCTATTGAGCACTCCAGATGTGTCTCATACTGTTGAGGAACTGGATTTTAATTTTTATCAATTTTTACTTAAATTTAAATAGCTACATGTGACTAGTAACTACTATATTAGATAGTGCTGATCTAGTTAATTCCTTTTTGGCCCAGAGTAGACAAGAGTAGATGTTTCTCAAATGAACAAATGAATGAATGCAAAGGAGAAATGACCCCCACCCAAGGTCACATAGCCAGTGCATGGCAAAGCCAAAACAAGGCCCCAGAACCATGGATAACCTTGCCTAGGCACCTGCCTCCCCCTTCCCACCTTCTCTCCTAGAGGCCTGTATTTGCATTAGCTTGGCCTTAATTTTGTACTTGTTACCTTCTAACAATATCTGAACACCTCTTGGTCAAATAGGTTGGGGAAAAAAAGGACAAAAATAAAACTATTTTTCTCTCTTCAGTAATTTGAAGGGTGAGCATTAAAAACCCAATCAAACATCAAATAATTTTTACACAGTAGAAATAATATATACTTTCCATCCAAATTAACACACATGCTTCCAGCAATTTAATTATGCAAATGTGATATAAGCAGCAGTGGAAACAGTGTTAAAGGGGAAGAATGAAGATTGATAAGCTAAAATTTCTGGTGACATTTTCCTTTTTCATTTCCCCTTTTGGTTAATATTATGCTGATTTTCATGCAGTGCTTAGGTGGATACTTTATTTCTTTGTAACAAGCGCCTCTACAAATTTATGCAAATAATATCAATCACTGTTGAGAAAAACATCAGACATTACCATCCCTACTGCCCACAGTGTTGGGCAACAGTAATAGATGGGTCTTGGGCTATGAATATGATTAAATACATTGGTAAGCAAAGCTGCTGTCTTTAGAAAGGGATGTTTTTCCTCTAGCTGCATGGAGAATTCGAAATTCTAAAATATAATTCCCACCTTTACTGTATAAGAGTGGCAAAATATTGAAAAGCAGGTGAGATTGTTTTGTTCGTACCTCATCGGAAAAGCCCCATTCCACCTGGCCCTCACCAGCGAGGAACTCTGTCTTCACAAGCAGACTTTGAGATGAGGATTTGGGAATAAGTTGTATATTGAGGAAGTGCTCCCAGGAGAAACCTGTAATGGAGTGGGAGAAGCAGGAGAGGGGAGGAAACGGAGCACAGTAGGAGCCTAGCAGGGACATGTGGAGGGTGGCTTCATCCTGATTCCACAGGGAGTGCTGGATTCATCCTTAGAATTTGTACCACTTGAGGCCAGGGTCCTGGGCTTTTCACATGGCACTCCAGTCAGTCATTGGCAAGGGGCATTGTGTGGGATGTAAATCCCCAGGTAGTGGCAGCTCTCTGGGAGTGCAGACAGAGCAACTGGTAGGCTGAGCGCAGTCCTGCTGCGAGCTGCTGGTGCAGGCCCCTGGACAGGGGTGAAGACCAGAAAAAAGACCCAGGGGATTGGGGAAAGCCCTGGCAATGTCCACTAGAGCCTCACCCTGGCACCTGCCCACAGCTGAATGCCCCATCTTTCTGCTTGTGGTAGCTAAATTATGTCTCAACCTGACTGGGTTGGGAGATGCCCAGATAGCTGGCTAAACATGATTTCTGGGCGTATGTATAAGGGTGTTTCTGGAAGAGATGAGCATTGAATTGGTAGACTGAGTAAAGCAAGTGGCCCTCCCCAGAGTAGGTGGGCATCACCAATCCATTGAGGGCCTGAATAGAACAAAAAGGTGGGAGAAGGGAGGATTCACTCTCTTTACTTGACTGCTTGTGCTGGGATATCAGTCTGCCCTTGATCTTCTGCCCTTGGCATTCCTGGTTCTCAGGCCTTCAGGATCTTACTGGAATCTATAACATCTGATATGTATATCATATATATATATATGTCATATATATATGTGATATAGATGTATTATACACACACACACATATATATGTGCACATTATCCTACTAGTTTTCTCTGGAGAACCCTAGCTAACACACTGCTGTACCCTCCAAAGTACACTGGATCTTTTCCCTGGACTCCAACTAGGGACTGGAGAGCTTCCTGGTAAATTATGTCCAGGCAAGTGGGATTTTTTAAATAATGGCTTTTATTCCATCACCTCACATTAGGAATTTTAAAGCAGAGGGGTGAGCAATAGAGGAAATATGTAGAAAGGCTTGTGGGGAAAGTGTTCAGATTAAGAGAGCTACTCATGGGTAAGGCTGGCTGAGGAACCCACATAATCCAGAAATTAATGTTTGTGTGTTTGCTCCAGCATCTGAGAATTCCTGTATAAAGCCTGGGACTGCTGCAGTGGTTTCTCCCTTTTCACAGTTAGAATGTTGAGGGCTCAATTACACAGAAGAGACTGTCTCCAGGGGCCGTTCTGCCCCATCTGCAGCAGCCTCCTCATGCCTGTTTCAAGGAGGGGAACAGGAAGCTGGAATTCCAGCTGCCAGGTACTCTTATGTCAAAGCACTACAATCCTATTGGAGAAAAATTGGAGCTGCGGGCACTTTCTCTCTTCTTATTTACTTCCTTTCAAACAAGTTGTCTCTCTGAAAGGCTCTCTTTGCAAAGCAGAAATGCTATTTTGAAGGTGAACATAAAAGCTTTCTTGGCAAAGAAATTGCTTTGTTCCATTTGAGAAAACTCTCTGCTTTTGAGAGAAGAGAGGATATGAGGCCATGGGAACTTGATTAGCTCTCATCATCTTTCCCTCTGGTTTTCAGAGACGAGGCTAGACAGAAAGGCTTTCAGTGTCCATCTTTACCAGCCTATCCCCTGATGCAGAACTTCAAGGGCTGCCATACCTGGAGCAGCTTGAGATTCTGGGATTCCTATTAGGATAGGAAACCCAGAGGGCTGAATTTAGGGCCCATGCAGTGGGAGAGGAATCAAATTTGGATTTTCTGTCTGTGGTTGAGGCTAGTTCTGCTGCTAAATGGCTGTGAAAATTCCATCTTATGAAATGAGGACAGCAGTACCGCAGCATATTGTGTGAAGGGTACAAAACAAATTCTAAAGTTCTGTGAAATTTTAGTTGGTGGGCCCCAGGACCTTAGAATTCTATATATATGTGCATGCATGTGCTTGCATTTGTGTGCACATGCGTGTGTGTGTGTGCATGCACGTCTGCACATACCTGCGTGTTTTTCCTATCTTCCCTATCCTAGCACATGTAGTTGGTGTTGGTGTGCCCCTCAGCTACCAGTCATCCCCCTCCCTTCATCCTCACCCCTCAGAACAGAGCAGATGAGGAGGCCTCGCCCTTACACAGGTCCTTCCAGACAGCAACAATGACAAGAGAGATGACAGTTCTTATTCCTGCATTCCTCTCTCATCCCAACCTCATACAGGGAGTCTTTCAAATCAATGTCAATTTTAATTTACCAAAATTATCAAACTTCTTATTTTTATAGAAATATAATGTATATTATAAAGTAATACTTTGCAGCCAGAAATATAAAATTCAATATAAAATGCAATCATCATAATTTGAGGAATATAGGACCTTAAATCATAAGACCTGGATCTAAGACCTGAATTTGCTGTTGATTCATGATGCGGCATGTAGTCTCTCTGAGCCTCAGTTTCCCCATCTAGAAAATGGAGCTAAGGCCCAAGTAGAGGTATTTTTGTGACAATCCAATAAGATGACATTTGAGAAAATGTGACCTGCACAGCATTTCTCATACCAAGTTAGTGTCATTAGTATTCTTAGAATGGTTCACAGCTGCAGTATAGCCCCCTGGTTTTATAGATGAAGAAGCTGAGTTCCAGATTGGTTAGGCTCCTCCATGTTACTGACAATGAGCTGTAATCACACAGCTTCCTGATTAGTGCATCCCATATGCTCCAGATACACAGCGAGCGTTGATTTGAACCGCCAGTCTTCCAGACTGCCCAGGAGACCCAGTCCTTCCAGGTACCATCCAATCCCAGGCTTTGTGGAAATGCTGGAGACCTATCCAAGAGAGTTAGTGGTATGGCCAAAGACACACACCACGGGCATTTGTAAAGGAGGTGGTCATGAGCTTTAGAGTAAAATAAGAGCTTCAGATGTTGTTTCTTCTTCTGCGCCTTTGAATCAGCCCATGCCTGCCTGTACCAGCAAGTTCTCGCCTTACGCCATAAGGCATGTGTTGACTCTTCCCTTAGAGTCAGTGAGGAGAAGTAGACTTCTGTGCTTGTCCAGAAGAAGTGACACAGAATAGAAGTCCATAGGACCTTCCTCTGACACACTTTTTCTTCCCTAATTTGGACCCCAGTAACATTGAAGAGTGTTTCAGAGGGAGCTTGAAGTTCTCCCTCCATCATTTTCAGATACGTTTCCTTATAAGCTTTAAACTGATTGTAGAGGACACTTTGCTGCATGTTATTTTCCCAGAGCTCCTGCTAATTGATTTGTACAGAAAGTGTTTTTCTCCAGAGATAGTTTCATTGTTGTGATGGTTTTCCTGGTAGCAGAACTGGGGTCCTATTGGGGAGTCCAGACATGTTGCCGGGGATGGTGAGCTGAGCCCTCATTCTCTCACTTACACTCTTGGCCTAGCCTGGTCTCCAGAGCTGAGTAAGTTTAGGTCAAGGACGGTTCTTCATGGCAAAGATCACATAGGCATTCAGCTGTCATAGCTTGTTCCTTCCTCCCTTCCTCTGAATATCCCTGTATTTTTCAGAAAGCCTTGTTCTAGGACAGGCTTGTGGCTGTGGCACAGTTTTTCCTGTGTTTAACCTGTTTTTCACAGGTTAACTATTTCTTTAAAAGAATGTAGAGCATTTTTATTTGGGTTACCTGATGTTGACGTGTTCCTTTCCACCTTTACATATTCCCTTAGAGGCTTGGGATGGACTCTTTTAAATATCTAAAAGAATAAATAATTTGAGATGAGAATTTTGGTGATATTTAAAAACCAAGAACATTTTTTTTTTTGCCCTCATGCTGCTGACATCTAACTCCTATAAATTTTTTATGCGTCTAGGACACAGCTGTTTTGTAGTTACCAATTTCCATGGGATAGGTTAGCATCAGGCAGTGTTCTTCAACAAAATAGCTGTTTACACACATCACAGGCCATAATTTTCTTATATCTTGTGTCATCAGTGGTTGTGATGTTTTTGCAAGGGGAAAAAGTCTTTATCTCACTATTTCTCCATTTCTTAGTGTGTTCCCAAGAAACATAAGTTACCACCAAGATATATTTTTACCAATTTCCAACCCCATTAAACTTGATGATAATATGAAGATGGAGTTATTCTTACCTAAATAGTCAGGAACTTATTAAATAAATGAAAATAGGGATTCTAAGCTGCTGCTGATTTCTGTCATCAGTCTTTAAATTCCAGGCCATGAAATGTGATTCTTTACAAGGAGCAGATCATCTTTACTGTGAAGTTAACCAGCATTAAATGACCTGTGCTCAGTGCCTAATTTAAATTAAGCTAATTTAAAACTTCACTGTTAATGAGGATACTTAATATGATTGGTTCATGACTTAATTATCCGTTCTACTTGTCTTGCAAAGAACACTATTATAAAGAAGAAATTGTGTGCCTTTACTAAAAACATCTTTAAAAAATCAGTGTAGAATGGTCAAAGTTTTGTTTTTCTTATTTGTGTAAATAGCAGTTTACTTTTGTTGACCTTTCTCTCTTTCATCCTCAACTCTATATCTTTTATCCTGCCTTAAATTCTCATCCCTGGTAAATGGGCCACCATTTTGGCAGTCCCTTCCCCTCTAGCTATGACATTTGGGGCAGCTTCTGCCCTGTTCACTTCTTCCTTCCCTCTTTGAGTTTTCTTTATCTCTACTTCTTCAAAGGATGAATTAAAACAGAAGTTAATTAAACATGAAACTTACTTTGCTATTTGTGGTTAATTCTTTTCCACAAATGTTCAAATATGTTTTCATGTATTAAAATACACATCTCAGACATATTTCTGTAGGCAGTACACTTCAAAGACCTAGAACTCTTTGTTTTAATGGTATGTAGCCTCACAAGCAGACTTCCTGCTGCCCCATTTGGAGAGCCCTGGAAGTGGAGGAGGAGACGCAGCAGGCTCCAGCAGAGAGGAGTACCTGCACAGCCCACACCAGAGTGTCGCTTCCTGTGGCTCACTTTTTATATATATTTATGGGCATGCTTTAAAGTATGTGTACCAATTTTTTTCCCACATGGCCTGTGCAGAAAAATAGCCCATAAAAAATCCTCCAGAGTCATCATATAGGTTCATAAATTTAGAGCTGGAAGAATCCTAGGATGTCGGGTGGGACATTCTCTCTTTGTAGCAGAGGCTTGGGATCCCCTCAGGATGATAGAAACAACCAATACGAGTGACTAATAGAACCTGAAGAGATGCAACGGGCCTCTGATGGAGACTAGATGAGGCAGCCTCTCAACCCAATTCGCAGAGATAATTTCAACAAGATTTCTATAGGTTAAGCCCTTGCCAGTTTACAGCCCCTGTGACAAGCCCTCCGTGTTTAGCCCTCTTCCCATCACCACAGCAACCATCTCTCATAATACACAATTGGGGAAGAAGCAATTCTGCAAATGTGACCTTGTCCTACCTTCAGTTTTGCCGGTGTGTGTGTATGTGCGCATGTGTGAATCTGCGTGTGTTTCTTAGTTATCCTGTCCTGTGAACTTTTATTCTCCTCTCAAGATCTTGACATCTTATAATAAATAAGATGTTGTATTAAAATAAGAAAACCAAGTCTGGAAGCTTTATTAACTTGGCACTATTTCACCTAGATCAGTAGATCCCCAATACCAATCCATGGCCCAAGCTTCTTTGGAGTCAGTTGAGCCACAGTCCAGACTAACTGAATCACTGAGTCATGGTGTTTAGGATTCTGAATTCTTAATGTTCCCCGCGATTCTGATGTGCTGCCAAATTGGTTTATTTTCTACTGTTTCTATCCCGAACAGCCAGCATCCCAGCCCTGTCTATATATCCTACATAGCAAACAGGTGAAGAGTAAAACAGCTCTGTTCAACTCTTGCCTAGATCACAAAAGAATAAAAGAAATGTTTTAGACTAAGAAAAATGAAACTTGTCACAAGGTGGCACTACCCTTGCTTACCCTTAGGTAAGATGTGCAAGATTTCAGGACTAAAAAGGTAGCAGACACCAAGACAAAGAAAGAGTAATGCTGGCCAGGGTGAGTGAGAAACATCCGCTGATTTTGGTTCTCTTTCCCCAAGCCAGTGCCCAGTAGAGATCCCCCAAATCTGATTTGTATCCAACTTCTCAGAACTAATTTTTCAGCAATTTACAGTATGTCTCTGTTGAAAGGAATGTAAAAGGTATCCCAATCACAGATAGAAATGAGCAGTGACTGCCAAGCACCAGATCCTCTTTGTGAGTACAGGCATGTTGAGGCTGCGTGTGGTAGCTTGGGCTTTGCTGTCATAACATTAACTTCCATGGTCCCACTGGCCATTAGTTTTCATTTTGAAACTGTCTAGGCCACATTTGTCCACAGGATCCAATTCAGTGCTTACTCTGAAATACCTGTAGATGATATCTTCAATTTATTCTGCTTCTGATACAGATGGAACCTTCAAGAAAGATTCTTTCTCATGTTGTTGGGGTTTATCATGGCTTTGCATAAATTACCTAGAAGTGTGTTATTATCGCATCCTCTGGATCTCACTGTGCAATGCTTTGTTGGAAAAACATTTGTTCTTTGTTTCAGATGAGATGACTAGAAAATATTTTTAAAAGTTGGTTAAACGCAGAAACAGATCACCAAATACTGCATGTTCTCACTTGTAAGTGGGAACAAAACATTGGGTACTCCTGAACATAAAGATGGCAACAATAGACACAGAGGACTACTAGAGGGGGAAGGAAGGGAGTCAGGGGAGAGGGTTGAAAACTAACCATTGGGTACTGTGCTCACTATCTGGGTGACAAGATCAATCATACCCCAAACCTCAGCATCACACAATATGTTCACATAACAAACCTGCACATATACCCCCTGAATCTAAAATAAAAGTGGAAATTATTACAAAAATATAAGATTCTTTAAATTTTGGTTAAAGTTGTCTAAAGATTTCAAAGATAAGTACTAACCTTCTTAAAGAAAAGATCTTAAGTGACTTTTATATTGCCTGCCACGCCATCTGCTCATCCAAGCAAAGCAGTACAGACTTAACCCGTTGAGCAGTTAAGATTTCTAGCTTCCCATCAAGACTGCCATTGGGAAGGTGGGAAGCTGAAAATATCATCCTTTTGTAGCACAAAGTGTCATAACCATGATGAAATCAAGTTGATTCATGCTTGGAGTTAACTATTTTCCAGAACTTTCCTAAAATCATTTGAATGTTTGATTGGAATTCACAAATGTTATTGTAGCCCCAGATCTGCTTTATAATCGGTGCTTTTGGAATAGATAAGCTTTGAAATGGAAACATAGGTTTCTTGGTTTGTTTTTTGTTTTTTTTTTTCCTCTTGGCTGGAGAATCTCTGCTTATTAGAGCAATCAACCCTATCCTGCACTCTACACAGTGGCCACACTCAGATTTCCAATGGGTACTAAAGAAAGAGTCATGAACTTTTAAGATTGGACATCCCAAGATCTAAATTTAATTAATGGCTTGTATTTCTACAGCCTATACAATTTCACATTTTATTTTAACAACTATTTATTTTAGCATATAGAAAGCTTTGGAAGATAGTCAGGTGAAAAGAAAAATCATACCATAGTCCTAGATAAATTATTAGTTATAATTTTGGTATATTTCCTTCTAATCTTATATCTACTTAATCCATATTAACAAACATCCATTGATCACCTGCTGTTTATAAGGCACCAAGGAAGAATCAGAAGTAATTGACAGCCAGTCAAACAGAGACTAATTGAATTTTCAGGGAACACTCATTAAACGATCCAGATGGATGAAACTAAGTGCTAAGAAATTCGTCTCAAAACAACTTTAGAGATTCTGTGAATTTGGCAAAGATGATGGTGAGTGGTGAGGGAAGAGGATCACACAAAAAAAGTTTATTTCTACCTTGAATCTGTAAAATAATTAAGAAAATGTGTAAATAAATATAGAATAAAATGAAAAACCGAGGAATCCTAAATGATGTTGTGACACTTTCGGTATCCTGGGATTGGAGATTGGACAGGAAATAAAAAGCATTGGAAAAACCTTAGACAGATATTTTTCTTCTTGTTTTCACTTTTTACCAAGGATCTAAAGGCAAGGAATTAATATTAAACAGTCAGGTTTTATTCTGTAATTGCACACATTATTATCCCAAGAACACTCCATTTGCTTTAGATAATTGGAGTAGATTAGCTGTCGAGAACCTTAGAGTACACACCCAGTGTGAACTGACTTGGCCAAGTGTTTCTGCTCTCTTAATGTCTCTTACATGCATCACTGCTGTGCCATTTCCTCAGTTGTGGGCCAGAAGTGCTCCCTGCCCCCAGCTGGACATCTGCTTGGTACAAGTCAGACTAACTAGATCTTGAACCCTAATGAATACTTGCCCGCCAGACCTACAGTGCTAACAGATATCCAAGTTGGCTTGCGGGTAGCTGCCTTCTTTCACCCAAGTGGCTACTGTGCCTAAAAGAGTTCACTAGGGAGTTTAGTAACAGCCCAAGAGCAGTGGCCTTGAAGCTGCTTTGGTGTTTTCAGGAGGTGTGTATGTGTTAAATAAGCAGACCCTTTAGTCTTGGGAAACTGCAATGCCAAATGCTAAGCTGCAGATCTCACATGACACCCAGTAGAGACTGGCAGAGATTGGCCACTTCTCCTGGCCTCTTCCACCTTCCTTTGACCTCCTCACCCTGCTTCTCTCTGACCTCTGTAGCCAATGTAAGCATGACAGCATGACATTGTAAAAACCCAGAACCTCAGACTACTGCCATGGCCTTGGCTAGACTACTCCCAGAGCCTCAGCTCTGCTGCCTGGAACTACTATGAGGCCTAAGTGTTACCATAATAAAAGGTCTTTCAAACCACAAAGTGCTGGGGACAAAGGGTTCTTTGGATATTTTTAGATGACTTAGGGGTAAACATGGCTTCTCAGCCTATGACTTGGCTCTGACCCTCTGACTAACCAGTCACCCCTCACCAGGGTGATGTACAGCTTCTTACAGCGTCATTGATGGCTTTTGTAACTGCATTTCCATGCTCCATTGGTGTCCCTGAATCCTCATTCCTGAATAGGTTTGCAGAAAAGTGGGAGAGTAGTTAGCCATAACCTAATTTTAGTTTTGCCTGTAAGAAATGTCTAGGTAAGCATTGCCTGAGGAATTGGGATGGGATGTGAGTAGTGGCCAGCCTTGGAAAATGTCCAGAAGTGCTCAGATTGTCAGATAATTTGTAAAACTTGGAAAAGGCAGTCAGTATAGGGTTAATTTCCTTGGGAAAGCATTTTGAGACTCCAGAAGCTTGGGAGAGGAGGCAAGCGAATAGAAGCTGGTTGAATGAAATAAGGAGGAAATAGGAGTGAGGGGTTTGGAGAGATAGGGCACATCCTTGTGCTGGCAAATTCTAATCTCTCTGGCATTGTCTCCAGTCCACTGAGTGCAGAAAGCTCAGCGACAGCAGGATTGTGAGATCTGTGGCAGGAAACAGCTCTTTACTTCAGGGGAGAAACAAGTTTAACTATGTAGAGAGGAACCACTAGGCCTGTGGAATAAGGTCAATTAATGTGATATTAATCTGAAACATCTTCCTGTTAGTACAAGTTAGGGAATTTTAATTCAGGTCAGTAATCTCATATGTTTTTGTATTTTTATTTCCTAAATACCATTTGTCAAATCTAATATGCTCTTCTAATAAATACCCTTTCTTATGAAGAGCTTTATTTTTTCACTCAAATGATTAAAAATCTCTAAGATATATAAAGAAAGGTGTTTATTGCTACCTTGTATTAGTGAAAACTTGGAAACAATCTAAATGTTCGTCAGTGGAATATCTATTATGTAAATTTTGGTCCATTTTTATAGTGGAATACTGTGCAGTTCTTAAAAATAATGAGGTAGAGCTAGATGTATTGATAGGAAAAGATGTTTATGACACTGGGTTGTACAACTATGGTGAGATTCAATTTTTTATAGATTTCTTTCAAACGTAACAAAATAAGTTCAGAAAAGAGTCTATGAGGAATTGTTGTCAAACCATTAATGGTGAAAGTTGTAAAGGGAAATTTTTATTCTCTTATCCATGTATATATGTATTGAACTGAAGCATTTGGCCGTTTTCAATGAGCATGCATTTTTTGTCTAGAATTAAAGTTCCTGTAAAAGTAAACATCAATACAAAGAGATCACTAGAGGCAGTGGATACTATAATAATCTTTAAACTGAAGTCACTGCTCCCCAGATTGAGCCAAATTTGGAAAACCTGAAAAAACAGAGATTTCAGAGTAGCCAGTTGATGTTCCCCATCATACTCTGTTTAAGAATTTGTAGTATTGATACGTTGCAGCAACTTGGATGAATCTCAAGAGCATTTTACTGACTGAAACAAGCCAGTATCAAAAGCTTACATACTAAGTAATTCAAATGGAATTTATAGGACATTCTCAACATGACAAAACTATGGAGACAGAGAAGATATCAGTGATTACTAGGGTCTGGGAGGAGGGGCAGCACAAAGGAATTTTTTCAGTGGTGGAAAGTTTTTTATCTTGATTGTGGTGGTGAATGAGATTAACATGTTAAAATTCGTAGAACTATAAACAAAATCAATTTTATTTGTTAATTTAGTAAAAAATGTAAAAGCAAAAAATCAAATAAAGGAATAAGGAACCAGAGAATATCATGTGTCTGAACCCACATAAGAACATGGCTGTGGATTTCTGGTTGTTCAGCACCACGTGCCCACCCCACTCCGTGGGGCTTTCTCTCCTTGGCTAAATCCCAGAGCCAGCCTCACCCTTACTTCTGCCTGGGGGATCAGTTCAATCCCGAGAACTGTAAGGGATTGTCCACTTTCTATTTAAACAAATCTCGTATCAGGAAGCTCAGCACCTTTCAAGAGTTTATATTGGATTTACATATATTGCCTTCTACGAAGCCTGCAATTTCTCACTGTAACTTCTACCAGTGGAATCTAATTTTGCTCACTGGCATCACGTAGAATTAATACAACTCTAGAAACTATCAGTATGTTGCAGTCACCTCTCTCTGCTCTTGCCTCTCTCATTTCTCCTCTGAACTGCTTCTTTTCTCATCCTGGTTTCTACACTCTCCACTCCTCTGGTCTCTTTTGTCTACTGTCTCGTTTTTTGCATCCCTCTGAAAATGCGTTGGTCAGAAGTGAACATGATTCTCCATCTGTGGTCTGATAATAGGAAACAGAGCTAGTTGGCCCTCTTACTAATCCTAACATGGTTTTTCTATTGATGATGCCAGGGTCACAGGGCCACCTCTAGAAGCCATATCACTCTGTGGACTCAAAGTGCCCAGAGATTGTCTTTTTGCACATGCTGCTGAGAACTCCCCATAATGTTCGACAGGAGTAGGTTTTTTGTCTTTCACTGTAGAACCCTGCATTTATCCCATTCAGTTGCATCTTTTTAGGGCTGGCCGTTCCACTCTTCAGATCATTTTGCATCCTGCAGGGGTCTGACATCTGGCATATCCACCATTTTTCCCAGTCTCAGGCTCTGACTTGCCAAGTCTTTATCTTTGTCAGTAGTATAGTCCCTCTTTCCAAACGACTTAAGAAGAGAGATGTTTGACTTTGATTTTTGTGCCGTCACCTCTGACTCACTGGAACAGCCTGTTCCGCAAGAAAATAAATGCTGACATGTCTTAAGCTTTCCCTCTGCCTGTGCTCCTTTCTGAAAAGGTTCCTCTTATGTTCTGAATGTTGTACCTCTTTATATGTGACTGTTAATTGTATGCCTTGATGCTATTATAGTTTGGGTTGCTGGGGCAGGATGGCGCCGCATAAATACAACTTATCATCCTAATTAGCATCACTGCATTCTTAAGCAGGTCTGAAACCTGCAGTCTCCTCTGGTGCTTCATAGGTGTATAGTTATTATGAAATTACTACACATCTGGCTGTCTTATTTCCATAATTGCTGCAGTTGAAAGGTGACTACCGGCCTATTCTACAATGAAGAGGTGTTAATTATGTTAATAATCAGGAATTTGGAAGCAGCTTCCCTTAGTGGGTCCTGGACGTGTGTGGGCTCTGGAAACTACAGAGAAGGTGGGTAGCCAGTGACCAGGTGCCAGAATACGGGCAAGAGGACATAAGAGGTAGTAGAGACTCTATAGGAAAAAAATGAGAGAGACTAATCATAAATGACCATGGAGGCAATTTCTTGGCATTATTTAAAAGTGCATTTGATGTAATAAGGTAAATTAAAAGGCCAGGGATTTGGTGTAATTTGCTCCTGAAAGTACCCTATGGACTTTCTGTAACAAGACACGTTCTTCCAATAGATTGCTCAGGATGTGAGGGTAAATGGAGAAGGTTCTAGATCATCCTTTTTTCCCCCTCCTAGAAGCCGGGGATTTATTTCCAACCCTCTTTTTTTAAAAAGTCATTTCACCAAAAGAAATAAAATAAATAGCCCCAAAGCAAAAATTCTATGCTGATCTACCTTATGAAAAGCTTGGAAACAGTAGGGCAGAAAGCCTAGCATGTAAATGCAATGTTACCAGGTACTGACCTGTTTTATATAGTTATTCCTAAACCAGTTGACCAAGAGATTGCATTTAGTCAAGAGCCCTTACGTGAAACATTGCCACAGTGTCCTTAAAGGTCCTGTTCTTAATGGGATGAAAAGGGAATCTGGCTGCTGAGTCGGGGGTCCCTCTGATTGCTAGGCTGGCTAATGGATGTCCCTGTCTTCTGTGTCTTTTACTGTGTCCCTCTGAAAGTGTCATGCACTGTCAAGACCATTTCTCAATAGCCTTGAAATAGTCAAACGATCTGTCCTCACTAATCCAGGTAAAGTGAGACAGAGAGGAAGAAACCATTAGAAACAGCTTAAAACTATGTAAAATGTACTTTACACATGACTGCCAAAAAACACATTTCAGGTAACCTTTTTCTTTTATTCAGAAATCCCCAGACTTCTACCCTGTTGACTGTCAGCTTCTTTTCCCTGAAGTCTGCCTTTCACCTGTTACTTTCTTTTTGCTCTTTGTTAACAGAGGAGGTAACATATATTATTATTCTATGTATGTTTTCTTGTATGTATATATATATATATATATGTATATATGCATGTAAATATAACTCTCTTTAAGGTTAATACATTTTTTCAACATATGTGGGGTAATCTAGTTAAAGAGAACTGGGGATTGTAGCGGGCAGGCATTTCAATCAAAGATTCTAAATTGCACTTCAGTTAATAATGAAATTCTTGCAGGAATTAGCTGCAAACTTGTATTTAAGAATCGAATTTGAAGAGTTGTCTGTATTGATTTATGAGGTATAATGGTACTACTCGTGATTGGAATGCTGTAAATTTGCTGCCTACAGAGAGAATGAGAAAGATCAGAGCAGTCTGTTCTTGGGGAGCCCCCCCCTGCCCATGCTTATGGTGTGCTAAAGCCAATGGTCCTAGCCAGTGGAGGTCCAGGAGCCCAAACATTGTGTAGAGTGATTTTTCCTGGGATATGATAAAGACCTGATTTTATTTTATCATACATATAATTCATTACTTATCCATTTGTTTATACATGCATTCATATACATATAATTTATTTATATCTATATATCTATTACTTATTTATTTATTTATTTTGAGATGGAGTCTCGCTGTGTCACCCAGGCTGGAGTGCAGTGGTGCAGTCTCGGCTCACTGCAACCTCCACCTCCCTGGTTCTAGCAATTCACCTGCCTCAGCCTTCTGAGTAGCTGGGATTACAGGTGCCCACCACCATGCCTGGCTGATATTTTTTGTATTTTTAGTAGAGACAGGGTTTCACCATGTTGGCCAGACTGGTCACGAACTCCTGACCTCAGGCAATCTGCCCACCTCAGCCTCCCAAAGTGCTGGGATTACAGGCATGAGCCACTGTGCCCTGCCTATTATATATTTTATATATAAAATAAAATCCATCCTTTTATTAAAAACACCCTCTTCAGTGTCATAAACTTTTCTCCTCACATGCAGTTTTAGTCTCTTTGAAACCATTTTCACCAAAACAATAACGTATATTCTAGAATTTACTGAATGGATAAGTGTTTGCATCAAAAGTATGTGTTTATCACATAACAGCATGAAATCTGATTTCCTTTTGATAAATGGAGTTCAATTCTGATCTTTCTTTTAGGAAACCAGTGAAGTATTTATATTTAGGTTTTGAAAAGTTTTTTCTGTCTCCAGTTTACCTGTAGCTCATTTTCATTCTTCAAACTCCCCAGATACCCCCACCTCCTGGGTTTCTTTTCTGAGTGAACAACCTCTGATATTGTCATTTTTTTTGAAAAGGGGTGGTTATCTTTGTAATTTCTGGGAGAATATTGCCATTATACCCATCTTTTAGTCACTAGGGACTGAGCGTATGATGTCAAGCTGTACTTTAATGAAAAACATATCATTTAAAGCATCAGAAAATTGTAGGTTACACTGTGAAGAAATCAGGGACATTCTCACCACCGTAACAGGCCCTACTGGTCCTCCCCCATCTTCCTGCTGGTGTAGATGATCTCATTTGGCTGGGTAGTTACCTTCTTTGGAAAGACGGTCATGGTCATTTGTTTTTACTCTCGTGGTGCCTATGTTTTTCCAACTTAATGTTTTAGTATACTTCCTCCACTCAAGAGTGAAATGTGCATAGTTTATCATGAGGCGCTGGTTGGAAAACAAGAAAACCAAAAGAGACTCTCCTAAGATCACAATGTACAAGATGAAGAAGGAAGATGCCGTTGTATTGCCTGTGATGAGAGGAGAGAAAAATGCTGGCAGGTGGAGGCCCAGAGAGAGAAGGTGACCTTCCACTCAAACCTTTGCTTTTGTTTATGTTGTTCCCCCATCATGCTTTCCACTTGTTCAAACCCCCTCTGTCCTTCACAGCCCATGGCCACTTCCACCTGCCTTCTGAATAGGTGAGCAAGCCCCCTCCCCTTGTCTGCACTCTAAGTGCCTGCTTCTCTAATTGGCAGTGAATCCTCTCTACCTGATGGTAGTTTTATCTGATTCTTGAGCTTTTACTAACTTCATATTTTCTTTTCCTGGCAAAATAAGGCATGGATCCTTTGTATAGTTCTGTGCATAGAGTATATAGGCCTTTGTGTACACAGAGTACACAGACATTTGTATAGCTCTGTGCAGAGTAGACACTCAGTAAATGCAGTGAATTGGATAAAAGATCTCATAAAGGAAGCAGGTGTTCAGTGGTCCCCCTCAGACAGTTTAGCTTTCTTATTTGCAGACAACTGATTAATGGCCTTTGCACAGTAGGTGTATAGTGACACAACTAGATGTCTCCTTCCTAGGAGCAAGGCCTACATCTTCTTTATGTCCCTTTGGGTCCTGAGCACAAGCTGGGCACACCAGAGTCTCAGAACCTGCTCAGTGAATTGAAAGGAAGAGAATGGGCTGCCTTCTTGATGCTAAGGCCCCAGCTGAAGTAACCATGACCTCAGAACCCTGAGCTTGGGCTGACCTGGCTTCCTGCTGGGCTGGTCCTGCAGTGACAGGCATAATCCCTTAAAGTGAAATAACAGAAATGCTGCTGGATCATGAAAAAGCTGAAGATAACCAGGTGCAAGCTTCGGTGCCTTCTCAGTTTATGAACCCAGGGAAGTAACTGACCTATGCCATTCACAAAAAAGGGGAAACATTTCAAATCTATTTATTTTTCTATTTTTTTTAAATCCTAAAGTCTCTCTATGCCTTGGTGCTTTTAAATTGCAGTTTTTGCTTGTTACTTTCTGTTGACTCAATAGAAACACCCTTAATGCAACCCCCTTACACTGTGTCTGCTTTTTACTCCATCTGTAAGCACTCGTGGGAGTGAGATTTGGACAGGACACTGGGAGGGGGGTCGGGGGCAGAAGGCAAAGCTATGTGCATGGGTGTGGGTTTCCTGGATCAGCTCCTGGCCAGCTGGTAAAGAATTTGCTTTCTATGGTGTAGTAGTGCTGAGACCAATGAAGATCTTTAGTCAGTAGTATAAACCCTAATTAGCAAAAATCTTCATTTCTCTGTTGTATAGCTAAATTTAAAGTTTTTCTCACTAGACAGAAGTACCATGCCTCTGTTTTTTTGGTTTTTGGTGTGTGTGTGTGTGTGTGTGTGTGTGTGTGTGTGTGTGTGTGTGTGTTATTGTTCAGGAAGGGGTCGGGATTTAATTTTTTTTCCTTCCCCTTCAATATTCACTCCCATTCCCCCATCCCCACTCTAATGAATTTAATATATGTCCTTGAATATGCCTTTGACGTGTGTGTGTATGGCAACATGGAAGGAGTTTAAAAGAATGGCCGGGCATGGTGGCTCATGCCTGTAATCCCAACACTTTGGAAGGCCAAGGCGGGCAGATCACCTGAGGTCGGGAGTTCACGACCAGCCTGACCAACATGGAGAAACCTCATCTCTACTAAAAATACAAAATTAGCCGGGCATGGTGGTGCACGCCTGTAATCCCAGCTACTCAAGAGGCTGAGGCAGGAGAATTGCTTGAACCTGGGAGGCAGAAGTTGCGGTGAGCCGAGATTGGGCCATTGCACTCCAGCCTGGGCAACAAAAGCAAAACTCCGTCTCAAAAAAAAAAAATGGTACACACACACACGGCTATTATATATACTTGTGGAGCCTTGCTTAAGAAGTCTTTCCCTAATCCCTAGTCATAAAGATAACCTTCTACAATATGCCTTGTTCTCACCATAATTTTTGAAATGTCATCCTGTAAATCTTTGGCACACATTTATTTCTGGTTTTGTTTGAGCGAAGTAAAAATATTGGATACAGTTTAATATGTTTGAGATGTAGTCTAGCAACCAATATCTGCTGAGCATTAAATAGCTTGGAAAGAAGTAAGAATTCATTATTTCTTATTCCATCGGCTCTCAAACATTAGTGTTTGTGGGAATTACCAGGGAGCTTTGAAGAAATGTAGCTTCTTGATCCCTGGTGAGATTCTGGTTCATTAGGTTAGGGTGGGACTCAGTAATCTGCTTTTTATCCAGTGCAGGTGGTCTGCAGTTAGTACTTTGAGAGATACTATCTTATGTGGGTCAAATTGTTAGCAGCAGCGAATCCATACGGGTCTACAGCAACCTCAATTATTGCCTCCTCAGAAAAATTTGTCTGAGGGGCATAAGGCAGAGGGAGAGACGGAGGCAAGTTTTAGAGCAGGAGTGAACGTTTATTAAAAAAGCTTTAGAGGCCAGGCAGTGTGGCACATGCCTGTAATCCCAGCAGTTTGGGAGGCTGAGGCAGGTGGATTGCTTGAGGCCAGGAGTTCCAGACCAGCCTGGCCAACAGGGTGAAACCCCATCTCTACTAAAATTACAAAAAGGAGCAGGGCGTGGTGGTGCACACTCGTTGTCCCACCTACTCAGGAGGCTGAGGCACAACAACTGCTTGAACCCAGGAGGTGGAGGTTGTAGTGAGCCGAGATCGCGCCACTGCACTCCAGCCTGGGTGACAGAGTGAGACTCTCTCAAAATAAATAAATAAAATAAAATAAAATAAAAGCTTTAGAGCAGGAATGAAAAGAAGTAAAGTACACTGGAAGAGGGCCAAGAGGATGACTTGAGAGATTCAAGTGTGTGGTTTGACTTGAGGTCTTGTAGGTTGGCATACTTTGGAGGTCTGCATCTCTTCTCCCCTGATTCTTCTCTTGGGGTGGGCTGTCCGCATGCACAGTGGCCTGCCAACACTTGGGAGGGGCCGCAGGCACAGAGTGTTTACTAAAGTGGTACGCATGCTCACTTGAGGCGTTTTTCCCTTACCAATCAAGTGTTCCTCAGGAAAGGTCATACACTTGTTAAACTCCACCATTTTGCCTCTTAGTGCACATGCTTGAGCCCACTCACCCGACTCCTATCAGGAAGCTTCTGATCACCAGTTTCAGGTTTTATCTGTTGGGAGACTGACTGTCTTTCCCTCGCTCTGGCTGAGAACAGTTATGGTTTTAGAGAGACAGTTAACAACTGCCTGACCATCACGTGATGGTCGCCTCACATTCCTGGGTGGTGTGGGGAGTCTCCTGCCCTGCTCATGTCTGACTACCTACTGTAACACAATCATAGCAGATATATCACTTTAAAGGACACCATCCACGACAACACAAGTAAGGGACTTTGAGCAAAGGGAATGCAGTGGAAAATATACCTGCTACACCAATCCAGCCACTGGGTACTATAGTCATTGCAGTAGGGTTGTGGGAAGCAAGGTTTCTACACGGAAAAGTTGTTGAATATTTTATATCCCTATCTCTTTTCACACTAATGCTGAGTTTCCAACAGGCACTGATTCTTCTGAGGACTAGAAAAGGGTTTTTTGAGGCTGTTACCACCCTAATTAACACCTCTTCTCTTCTTTTAAAGGGGCCCCCTGAGGTCGTTAATAGAAATGTGAGATCTTGGGAGGAAGCACCTTCCCGGGGTGCAAGTTCGTTGCATTATAAAGGGAAAAAGTAAGAACCAGAGAGGCCTGGCAATTAAGATCCATGGACAGTTTCCAGGCTTAACAAAAAAAAAAGGCAGTGAGATATCATTGCATTAAATTGCTGCATCTTAAAACTTGTTCCAGAGCAGCCTACCTGGCTTATTTATTTTTATTTTATTTTATTATTTTGAGACAGTGTCACTCTGTCACCCAGGCTGGAGTGCAGTGGCGCGATCTTGGCTCACTGCAACCTCTACCTCCCAGGTTCAAGTGATCCTCCTGCCTCAGCCTCCTGAGTAGCTGGGATTACAGGTGCGCACCACCATGCCCAGCTAATTTTTGTATTTATAGCAGAGACAGGGTTTCACCGTGTTGGCCAGGCTGATCTGGAACTCCTGACCTCAAGTAATCCGCCTGCCTCAGCCTCTCAAAGTGCTGGGATTACAGGCATGAGCCGCTGCACCCAGCCCTAGATGGCTTATTTAAAGGATAGGCCTCTTGGGATCACTTGAGAAGAATATTCAAAATTGAGAAGGATTCTTGTCCAGGACAGTGGCAGGAAGAAGTTGTTCCCCGTGGCCAGCCTAGGTTCTGGGGCCGGGCAAGTTCGGTGGCTTCCTCAGCCCCATGGAAACTGGAGGAATTTACGCTAGACTTATTAGGCTCTCCGGGATGCAACTACTCTCCTTGTTATTGAAAAATGGGTTATGATCTTGCAACAGTTGACTTGTATTATCACATTTGTCATCACTATCAAGGTAATAATAGTGGCATCCCTGCGTTACAGAGCATGGTTTACACAGGACTTTCCCCTGGATTATCTCATAATTATAATGGCTACCCTTTGTTGAGTGCCCAGGAAGAGGTGAGTACTTCATATATACCCTACCCTTCATCCTCCTGAGAAATCTATAGTTGGGGAAACAGAAGCTCAAAGCCACTAGAAGAGTTTTCTTTAAGTCACATAACCAGTAAACAGCAGAGCTAGAATCAGAATTCAAGCAGCAGATTCTCCAATCATGTGTAGCATATTCCATAATTTGAAGAAAACACAAGTTTATTATCGTTTAAATCCTTAAACATATTTAAAATATAACATATTTATATCACTACTGAACTTTAAGTTATGAGAAAGTTTTGTACGTGAAGAAACTATGGAATCAATGGCAGTTGATTTTACTACTGGTAGAATAGTGATTGGGCTGTTGTCAATAACCCAATAGAAGGCTTGGGCTCTCCATTTATTAATTCACTGGCTCTGGCTCCACCATTTATTCATGTAATGTTTCTGGGAGAGTTATTTAACCTCTTTGAATCTCCATTTCCAGATCAATAAATTGGACACAATAGTAATACTTCTCCCATGTAGTTCTTATGAGGATTACATGAGATTAATACATATAAAGTATTTAGAAAAGTATCAGGCACATGGTAAACACCAAATAAATGTTAGATGTTTAAAAAATGAATATGGTGATATGATAGCCTTTGCTTTGGCAGATTGGACATGATGGTATCCTACTTTGACCATGTACCAAGATGTGTCTAGTATAGTAAAACAATTAATGTGAAGGCTTCCTCTTATTTAATAAAACCTAGATTTTCAGAGTCAGAGGCCTGTAGGTTCTCCCTTTTGATCTGGACTCTTGAAATTGACAGTACTTAAACACTTGGCTAATTCTTGATGAATTATGATAATCAGATAATCATGGACATATGAAGAGTGCTTTTAGCCTTTTTGAGCCATTGAGAACTCAGTAGAAACAAGGCATCCTAACAGCTCTTGGGATGGAGACCATCTTGTGTGTAAATTGAAGAGTATATAAGTTGAAGAGTTTAAGTCACAAGCACTTCATTGTACTAGTTCGTAGTGCCCCCACACGAAGATGCCCAGGTGCACCTGGCAGAATAATGCAGCTTGCAAGTCCATTCCAAAGGTTGCCATAGCCTCTGCACTGCCAGTTAAATGTGTTGCACTACCTTTAATATTACATGTAAGTAAAATAAAGACCCTATTTCTAGAAGTCATGCAAGAAATACCTAAACTCATTTTCATAGACCTGTTTTACAGTTAATCATATCTTTTCAGACCCAATCTTTTATTTTCCCAAATCCACCATAATATAATCAGTGTTACTGATTCTTCCATACCGTAGTTCTTTTTAGAACCAAATTAACATACACTGGAAGTAGGTTTGAGTTTCTGGATGGATCTGTCATCTTTTACAGGTTATAAAGGGGCATCACTGATTAAGTCCTCTTCATTCCAAATACAGCTATTTTCTTTGCAAGCCATGACTGGATCCAGAATATCGATCAACCACATCCAAGTTGTTTTTCTAGAATTGCTCTGACCTCACAGACCACACACTGCCTATTGCCTGCTGCTGTCACTCCGGGATGACTCAGGTGGCTGGCTGACCCTGCTCATCAGGATTTCCCTCAGGACACACCACAAGCACTGGACCTTTCTTTGTACTAGCACTCTGCATAGTACTCTAACTATAGAGAAGATTCTCATTAAAATATCTTAGGATAATAGCAGATGCAATGCAAAACACAGACCCTTTTTTTTGTGGCATTTCTTCCAAATCTTTATTTTGACTCTCAGTACTAATTAAGTTTTAAGTATACTTAAGAAAACTGAAGTTTTGAACACAAAACTAGATACAACTGTGCCTACTTACTGAATTTAAACCCAAATCTAATTATATATTTTTACTAAAATATGCAAACAGTTGTTTTTAAAAACAAACCTAACAACCCAGTTCAAACCAATGTGGACTTCTTAAAGTTAAAATACCAAACTTGTCCTACAAATTGAATTTTTTTGAGACTCTAATTAAAAAAAAATCTTCTTAACTCTCTATGCTAGAGAAAATGCCATCTATTACTATTTATTTCTCACAACATTCATGGAATGGAAGAACTGAGGAAAGTCATTTTTTCTATCTTATTTTTTTTTAACTATAATTTCCCCCATTAGGATTTTCTCAAGAGATAAGATAAAGAGTTGAGAGCAACTTTTGCCTTTAAACTCATTAATAATTTACCTTAACCTCTGGGACAACAGTGGTAGATATAGCGATTAGTTTAAAGGGTCAATGAAATGGCACTGCCAAGAGGAGGGAGGTCAAGTGACTAATTCCCTGCAGCATTTGTGAGTTAACAGGAAGAAGATATAAAAGGAGAAGAATTAGCAGCAACTTTCCCAACCTCAGGCCTAGAAAGTAAATCTTTCTTGTCTGTAATCACTGGAAGGTATTCTGGTGGTGGCAGAGCCTCAGTCTGTGGTTTGGATAGCACTGGGCTACAGGATAAATCACCTTCTGGAATAGTTTGGTAATTTTTTCCTGCCAAATTGTAATTCTGTTCAGCATCAGCTATTTATCTTGAGTTACTATTCTAAGAAAATCAGTGATTTGTTGTTGTTCAGAGGGATATATTATTTGACCAAGAGAAAAATGATTGTTGCATTTTGGTAAATGGGTGGGAGGGTAGAGGAACATGCATCTGGAACTGGCCTGGGTCATCTCCTCTTCTTTCATAGAAGTTTAACCCATCCTTGTGTTAGATCATTTATCATTATCAATAATCATTATCAATCGTTATCAATAATATCATTATCAATAATCTGTTCTGTGCACAGACTGAAAGAAAAAAGTAAAATGACAATGTTTCAAAAATCAGAAGAAATGAGTTTGAATTGCTGAAAAAATAGATGTAATTGGCCGGGCGCGGTGGCTCACGCCTGTAACCCCAGCACTTTGGGAGGCCGAGGCAGGTGGATCATGAGGTCAGGAGATCGAGACGATCCTGGCTAACAAGGTGAAACCCCGTCTCTACTAAAAATACAAAAAATTAGCCGGGCGCCGTGGCGGGCGCCTGTAGTCCCAGCTACTCGGGAGGCTGAGGCAGGAGAATGGCGTGAACCCGGGAAGCGGAGCTTGCAGTGAGCCGAGATTGCGCCACTGCAGTCCGCAGTCCGGCCTGGGCGACAGAGCGAGACTCCGTCTCAAAAAAAAAAAAAAAAAAAAAAATAGATGTAATTGCCTATTTTACATCAAAATTTCCAATCATTAAATAGTACATATAAAGAGAGTCCTAATGTTTTTAGAAAATATGTAATATTAAATTAAAATTGCATAGAAAAATATGTGAATAGAGAGCAAAAGTCTAGAGGGAAATATTTGAAGATGTTAACTCATTTACTTAATAAAGATTTGAGTGCCCATTATATGTCAGACACTGTTCTAGATGCCAACATATATGGTGGTGAACCAACTAAAAAAGGCGCTGCCTTCATGGAGTTTGCACAGTAGTTGAGAGAAGGGAAAATAATATATCCATTTTTTAAATTTCAAGTTTGATTTTAGATACAGAGGGTACATGTGCAGGTTTGTCACATGGTGAGTATATTGCACCCAGGTAGTGAGCATCATACCCAGCAGGTAGTTTTTCAACCCACACCCGCTCCCTGTCTCCCTCTTCTAGTAATACACAGTGTCTGTTGTTCCCATCTTTATGCCCATGTGTGCTCAGTATTTAACTCTCACTTATAAGTACGAACATGCGGTATTTGATTTTCTCTTCCTGCATTAATTTGCTTAGGATTATGGCCTCCAGCTTCATCCATTTTGCTGTAAAGGATATGATTTTGTGCTCCATTTTTAAAAAATAATAGCTTTATTGAGATATAATTCACATATCATACAAGTCACCCATTTAAAAGGTACAACTCAATGGTTTTTAGTGTATTAGCAGTTGTGCAGCCATCACCACAGTTTTCAAAATTTTTATCACCCCAAAAGTCAGCCTCTTTTGTCTGACCTCTTTCACTTAGTATAATGCTTTCAGATTTTATCTATTTTGTAGCATGCGTCGGTGCCTCTTTTTTTGCCAAATAGTATTCCATTGTATGGACATAGCTCACATTTTGTTTATTCATTTATCAGTTGATGGTCATTTGGGCTTTTCCCCCTTTTGCTATTATTAATAATGCTTCTATAAACATTTGTATATGTGTTTTGTGTGCACATATGTTTTCATTTTTTGTGTGTTCATACCTGTGACTGGAATTCCTGGGTCATTTGGTAACTATATTTAATCATTTGGGGAACTCCCAGACTCTTTTCTAAAGTAGCTGACCATTTATAGTCCTACCAGCAGTGTATGAGAGTTCTGATTTCTCGACCTCTTTATCATCCCCAACATTTGTTACTGTTTGTCTTTTTGGTTGTGGCCATCCAATGGGTGGGAAGTGGCATCTCATTGTGGTTTTGATGTGCATTGTCCTGATGGCTAATGATATTGAGCATCTATGTTTTCATGTGCTTATTGGCCACTCGTACATCTTCTTTGGGGAAATGTTTATTTGGATCCTTTCCCCACCACTGGGAACTGATGAGAGACTGAGCCCTGTGTTCTTGGCTACACCAGCCTAGAGTAGGGTTTCTGTAGTGCCGAGCCGGGAAGGTAGAGGGATGGAGAGGCCTGTGGTTGAAATGCCACAGACTAACACTGTTCTTACTGAGTTTTAGTAGATTTTCTTGAATAAATATTTCTTCATTTGCTGTATGCGCTTAAGACAATTTCAGATGCATTGAACAGTTGTTTTTTAGATAATTTCTACAAGTTATGCTTGTTTCTCTGGGAATGGGCCTTTGTAGCTTCTCACGCCACCATTCCAGAAGCCTGGAACACCATTTTTACTCAAAAGAGTAACTACTGACAGGCAAACCATGATTAGGCTTGAGTATCTGGCAGGCATTTTCTCAGAAATGAACAAAGTCTGTGACTTCAAGGAAAACAGCTGACAGCACTTGTTGCCATAAATTTGAGTTTCCAAGCCAAAATGAGAATTCTAAATTTTAGAATTTTAGAGAACTTCATCCAAAATAATATATCCCAGCAGATTGAATGTAGAAGCAGATATGAGAATCTGTCTTCTAATAAGACAGACATTAAAGAATTTGCAAAAATGTAAAACAATGTCACTCTTGTTCCCAATTTTTCTTGTTTTAGAAAATACATTTAAAAAGACGTATGCTAATTTGCATGGTTTTATTGTTATTTTAAATGAATTTATAAGTAATTTTAAATGTCTTGGTTTTAATTTTCAATATAGTAAATACTGATAAATACACCCTGCATAAACAAAATCCCTTGAGGTCCTCAGTTTTTAAGAATATAAAGGGTCTAAGACCAAAAAGTTTGAAAGCCACTTATCTAATAAAGACCCATATATAATCTCCCTTAGATCAGTGGTTACACACACACACACACACAGACACACTGCACCAAATGAAGATATATTCTTTAGAAGGACACATAGAACAATTACACTTATAGACCATCACCAAATTTTTCAACAAATTTCAAATAAATTGTATACTCAGACCATATTTCTAACTACAGTTAAATTAAAAACGGATAATAAAATATACCACCCCCATCACCACTATTACCACTACCATTATTTGTTTGGAAACTACAGAATATACATATTCTTATGCTATTAAGGTAATTTGATAATCTTAAAATAGAAAACATTTAGAACTGTTCTGGTTTTAGATTGCCACAAAACAAACCATGCTAAAACTTAGTAGCCTACACTATACTAAGTGAAATAACTCGGAAACAGAAAGTCAAATATCACATGTTCAAACTCATAAGTGGGAGCTAAACAATGGACATACAGAGGGGAATAATAGACATTGGAGACTCCAAAAGGAGGGTGGGTGGGAAAGAGGGATTGAAGGTTGAAAAATTACCAGTTGGGTATAGTGTTCACTGTTCAGGTGATGGGAACACTAAAAGCCCAGACTTTACCACTGCACAATATATGCATGTAAGAAATCTGCACTTATACCCCATAAATATATAAAAATTTTAAAAAATATTTAAAACAACCCAATGGTCTAAAAAGATAACATTTATCTTGCTGACAGATCTGTAGTTTGAGTTGGGCTCAGTGAAGTCAACTTGTCTCTATTCCTCTGCTCCACAGGACATCAGCTGGCACATCTCAAAGACTGGGGGGTTGGAATCATCTGAAGGCTCACTCTTAGGTGGCAGTCGACGCTTGCTTGCCCAAGCTGGAACCCTTGTACATGACCTGCTCATGTAGGCTGGGCTTCCCTGGGACGCAGTGGCTAGGTTGTAAGGAAGGCCATCTCACGAGCTCTAGAGCCCTGCAGAAGCTGTGTCACCTTTTATGTCCTAGCTTCAGAAGTCACTTGACTTCAGACATCATACCTTGTTTCTGTTCAAGTCAGTCCCTAAGCCCGGTCTGTATTCAAAATGAGGGAAATTAAATTCTATTTTTGATGGCAGGAGTGTAAAGGAACTTCCAGGTATGTTTTAAAACCACTATAGAACTGAAGAAATAAAATTATATGGTTTAACTAAAGCAGCACCTTAGTACTTTAGCTAGAGATAAATTTTTATCATTAAAGATGAATTTTAAAAACAAGGAACATTGAAAATAAATGTGTTGAATGTTCAACTAAAGAAGCTTGTAAAAGAATAATAGAATAAACCCAAAGAAGACAGAGGAATAAAATGCTAAATGTAAGAGCAGAAATTAATGAAATAGAAAACAATGCAAAAATGAGAAGATCAACACCAAAAGCTATTCTTTAAGAATGTTAATAGTCCCACTATCTAAGAAAAAACAGAAGAATAAGCACCAGCAATAGGAATAACAGCTAACATTTAGTAAGCACTAAATTTATTACTTTTTATTGCCATGGACTGATTTAAGCACATTACATACATTAACTAGTTTAATTCTCACAACAACCATATGAAATTGGTACTTTAGATAACCCTACATTACAAATGATGAAACCAAAGCATTATAGAGGTTAAATAACTTGCTCATGGAAAAACACATTGCCACTAAATGCCTTCCTACTTTTCATCTCTGCTGTGTCTCTATTCCCCTCTTTTCATTCCTCATGGTGTTTTATGTCTTTTCTCTTTTTCACTGGAGAAACCTTTCCAAAGGTTTGTCTTCTCAAACCATCTCTTGCCTTTGTTAACTTTTTGGCATGTGTTCATTTCTGTTTCATTACTCTGCTTAGTAGTTATTATTTCCTTTCTTCTATTTTCCTTGAATTTATTCTGCTTTTCTATTTCTAATTTATTTGTTTGTATGATGAGCTCATTACTTTTCAGCCTTTATTCTTTGCTAATATAAGCACTTAGGGCTAGAAAAAAACCCTCCTGGGGCCACTTACACTGCATTCCACAAGTTTTTTTGTTTGGTTGATTAGTTTTTGTTTTTGTTTTTGAGACAGGGTCTCACTCTGTTGCCCAGGCTGGAGTGCAGTGGTATGATCATAGCTCAGTGTAACCTCAAATCCCTGGGCTCAAGTAATCCTTCCACCTCAGCCTCTTAAGTAGCTGGGACTACAGGTGTGCTAATGTTTTTTTGTTTGTTTGTTTGTTTGTTTTTGTTTTTTTTCTGTAGAGATGAGGTCTCCCTGTGTTGCCCAGGCTGGTCTCAAACTCCTGGCATCAGGCATCCCCCAGCCTTGGACTCCTAAAGTTCTAGGTTTATAGGCCTAAGACACCAGGCCTGGCCCACAAGTTTTGATGTATAGTGTTTTTATTATGACTTAGTTCTCATTTTTTTCTTTCAATTATGAATTATTTTAAAATGTAATTTTAGATATCAAAACCTGTAGGTTGCTTGTTGTTGTTATTGACTTCTAATTGAACTGCATTGTTGTCAGAGAACATTAGCTGTAATGGATTCTGATTCTTAAAAAATTTTGAAACTTGCTTTATGGCCTAGTATGTGATCATTTTTTGTAAATATTCAGCCTGGCGTGGTGGCTCACATCTGTAATCTCAGCTACTCAAGAAACTGAGGCAGGAGGATCACTTGAAGCCAGGATTTGAGACCAGCCTGAGCAATACAGTGAGATCCCATCTCTAAACAATTTTCTAAAAATTAGCCATGTTTGGTAGTACATATCTGTAAGCCCCAGCTAATCAGGAGGCTGAGGCAGGAGGTTAGCTGGAGCCCAGGAGTTTGAGTCTGCGGTGAGCTGTAATCATGCCACTGCACTTCAGCCTGGGCAACAGAGTAAGAACCCACTGCTAAAAAATAAAATAAAATAAAATAAAATAAATGTGTGTTAGAAGAAATATGTCCTCTGTTTATATTAGGGTTATCTAGAGGGACAGAACTAATAGGATATATATATATATATATGAGGAGAGTTTGGCCGGGTGCAGTGGTTCATGCCTGTAATCCCAGAACTTTGGGAGGCTGAGGTGGCGGATCACAAGGTCAGGAGATCAAGACCATCCTAACTAACATGGGGAAACCCTGTCGCTACTAAAAATGCAAAAAATTAGCCGAGCCTAGTGGCACGTGCCTGTAGTCCCAGCTATTTGGGAGGCTGAGGCAGGAGAATCGCTTGAACTCGGGAGGCAGAGATTGCAGTGAGTCGAGATTGCACCACTGCACTCCAGCCTGGCAACAGAGTGAGACTCAGTCTCAAAAAAATAAAAATAAAAAGGAGTTTATTAAGTATTAACTCACACAATTACAAGGTCCCACAATAGGCTGCCTGCAAGCTGAGGAGCAAGGAGAGCCCGTCTGAGTCCCAAAACTGAAGAACTTGGAGTCCGATGTTGGAGGGCAGGAAGCATCCAGCATGGGAGAAAGATGTAGGCTGGGGTACTAGGCCAGTCTAGTCTTTTCACGCTTTTCTGCCTACTTTATACTCTAGCTGTGCTTGTAGCTGATTAGATGGTGTCCACTCAGATTAAGGGTGGGTCTGCCTTTCCCAGCCCACTGACTCAAATGTTAAGCTCCTTTGGCAACGCCCTCACGGACACACCCTGGATCAATATTTTGCATCCTTCAATCCAATCAAGTTGACACTCAGTATTAACCATGATAATGTCCATTAAATTGAGCTTGTTAATTATTTTGTTGAACATCTAGAATAACGTTTGGCAAAATACCTGAGTACTATGGGTCAGCCAAGTTGTCACATAAAATTAACCATCACAGCGTTAATGTTTGTTCTTCCCTCCCTTCCTTCCTTCTTTCCTTTTATTTATTTATTTATTATTATTATTTTTTTTTGAGACGAGGTCTCCCTCTGTTGCCCAGGCTGGAGTGCAGTGGCATGATCACAGCTCACTGCAGCCTCAACTTCCCGGGTTCAAGTGATCCTCCCACCTCAGCCTCCCAAGTAGCTGGGACTACAGGCACATATCACCACACATAGCTAATTTTTAAATTTTTTCTAGAGACAGAGTTTTGCCACGTCGCCCATGTTGGTCTCAGACTCCTGGGCTCAAGCCATCTGCCCACCTCTGCCTCCCAGAGTGCTGGGATTACAGGCGTGAGCCACTGCCCACACCTGGCCCTACACGTATTTCATTTTCCATCCTCTTACTTTCAGCCTTTCTCTGTTTTTATGCTTTTGATAAATTTCAGGTAAATAGCATAAAGTTAGATTTTGTTGTTTTTATCTGCTCTGACAATCTCTGTTTTTTAATTGGTCAGTTTATCCTGTTTGCATTTATTGTGATCATGTTTCGAGTGAGCTTTTTCTTCCGTTTTATGTTGTGTTATTATTTACTGTGTTTTTCTGATTTTCCCCACACCCTGCCTTCCCCCGCCCTCCCAGCTTCTAATAAATTGATTGTAAGGTAAACAAATATATACCTTTATTTCCTCTTTTATTGATTTCAAAGGTAGTCATTTCTTTTATTTGGTAATTATCTTAAAAACTTCTCAGGTATAATTGATTTAATGAAGTTTAAAAACAATGTGGCACAAAGAGTGGCCCACAGATTGGCACCAGTCTAAGGACTGTTGTGTATTAATTCACAATGTGAAAGTATAGAGATTGCAAAGAAGCATTTAGAAACATTTGGTCCATTTGATGATGCCAGTATATCTAAGGATATGATCATTTTCCTAGTGATTTATTTTTATTGTTTTAGAAAAGATCAGTTCATGATGGACTGGAAAAAAGGTTGAGGAGCCTTCACAACAGATGGTTTGAAAAACACTAAAGTTCATCAAGGTTTCTAGCCTTCTCCCAAACAATGCAATGACTTTAAATCCTTCAGTCCTGTTTGCCCCTTTCCAGCCTGTATGTTATTGTCATCTAGTGTTTTAGACCCATTTGTAAATATACCTCTAAAATGTGTCATTTTTTTTTTTTTCCCTAAAAGGCATTGGTTAGATTTACCCATATATTTACCAAAATTCATTTGCTTATTATTTTTTAGTGCAGCTTATTCTTTCCTTCTGGATTCAAATCTGTTTTTTCTAAAATACCTCATTTGGTAATTTTTTTCATGAAGGGTTTTTACTGATAAAACCTGTGTTTTAGAAAAGTATTTTAACCGACTTTTGGCATAATTGTATAACTAAAATTATGGTATTCTAAAGTAATCGTTCTAAAACATTTAGAATTCCTATAATGGTCTTTCAATACTTTTAGAACATTGCCCCACTATCTTCTGCCATTCTGTTGTAAATGTCAAAAAGGCTACTTTGAATCTAATTGCCATTTTTTATAGGTAATCAGTCTTTTTTCTCTAATTTTAAAATCTCATAGCTGGGCACAATGTCATGAGCCTGCAGTCTCAGTTACTGGGAGGGCTGAGGCAGGAGGATTGCTTGACCCTAGGAATCTGGGATTGTAGTATGCAATGATCACACCTACGAATAACTGCTGCACTCCAGCCTGGGCAGCATAGGGAGACCCCATCCCTTAAAATATATATATTCCCTTTATCTTTGTTGTTCTACAGTTTCATTACAGTGTTTCTAGATGTTTCATGAAACATCTAGAGAATGTTGCTTCCTGCAGCAATATTCCTGTAGCAAAATATTGCTTCCTGCAGCAATATTCCTGTAGCAAAATATTGCTTCCTGCAGCAATATTTAAGAGGTATTAGCTGATAATTTTCTAGAAAGTATGAAAGTTATTAATCAATAACTTTCATGTTTTACAGTTACAAGCTTTCAACTTTCATACTTTAAAAATAACTTTCATAAATTTTATTTATAAAATAACTTTCATACAGTAAAGCTGAGAGTCTTCTAGAAAGTATGAAAGTTATGAAAGCAATAAAGCTGCTGTTTCTTAAGCTTTTATTCAATGAATGTTGGATTCTGTGATTCTACCCTCTTCTTATACATATTTTCCTTCACTTTAGCTGTTTTGTGTTCTGAATGGCTTCTTCATACAGGTTGCGTATCCCTTATCCAAAATGACCAGAGTGTTTTGGATTTGGAATATTTTCATATATGTATGGCTTGAGCATGTCTAATCCAAAAATCTGAAATCTGAAATGCTCCAATGAGCATTTCCTTTGAACATCATGTCAGCATTCAAAAACTTTCAGATTTTGGAGCATTTTGGGTTTTGGATTTTGGATTAGGAATACTCAACCCGTATCTATTTTCTGACTTACTTGATCTCTCTTTCTCTATTGCTTATCTACTGCTTAACCCAGTCTTTGAATTTTTAATTTCAGCAACCACATTTTTTCACTTTTTGTATTTAAATGGAGTTTTCTTTCAAATATTTCCAGTATCTGTTTCCAGTATCTGTGTCCTGATCTTTCCTTTTCTGATTCCTTCTTCTATACCTATAATCAACTTAATCTTTTTTTTTTTGTAGTTTTTATTCAGTAATTTGGTTACATGAAGTCCCTTGTGTTTGTAATTTGAGTCTGTGAGATGCTTATCTTCAGAGTTATCTTTTTGTCTGTAGGGATGCTGCACAGGCTGTGTTGAGGATGTGTCCCTCGTGCGCTGTTTTATTTTTTATTCTTCCAGGTACCCTAAGGGTATTACTCTCAGAGACACACTCCTGTGTGTACATGTGCATGCACATGTGTGTTTTCACTAAGTTTTCTGGACCTACTGTAGTTGTAAACCAAACCATATACAAGCCAGGCCATAGCTGCTGATGTCAGGGACATTTAGCTTGGACTCAGTGCTCAGGCCCTGCAAGTCAAGCTTCCTCGGCTGTCCCTGTGTTAGTGCAGGGATAATCTCTACTCTGTTCCTGAGGGCATGGATGTGTTGTTTTCACGTTTCTTCTTGTATCTGCCCTTAAATGCTGCGGAAACTCAAGCTTTTGGGTAGCAAAATGGGCATGTTCTGAGGCAGCCACAACAGCTCCAGGTTTTAATTTTTTCTGTGTGTTTTCCCACTGAGGATTTTCCTATTTCCTTACCACTTTAGCTATATATTATATGTGTATGTATGTATGTATGAAACGGGGTTTTGCTCTGTCACCCAGGCTAGAGTGCAGTGGTACAATCATAGCTCACTGTAATCTCAAACTCCTAGGCTCAAGCAGTCCTCCTGAATCAGCTTCCCAAGTGGCTAGGACTATAGGCTCTTGCAACCACGCCCAGCTGAATTTTTAAAATATATTTGTAGAGATGGGGTCTCACTGTATTGCTCATGCTGGTCTCAAACTCCTGAGCTCAAGGAATCCTCCTGCCTTGGCTCCTAAAGTGCTTGGATTACAGGTGTGAGCGATTACACCCAGCCTAATTTAGCTTTATTTGTAGGGGGATGTGGGCTCTATTTTATCAGCACATTTATAGTGTGAGAAATTTTAGTCTATCCAGTCTCTAATGTTATATTATTGGAATGGAAGTCTCTTACAATGCATCTTTATCATCAAGAAAAATATTAACATACTTAGTTTAAAAGAAAAAAGCACCTACCTTCACTAAGGGCTGGAGCTTCCCTCCCTGGTATCTAAATCTTTCTCATCCAGGCACAGCCCTTTTTCTGCTGTCAAAGCACAGAGGAGGATTCCCAAGGGTGGCACATGGAATCAGGCCGAGTAGCCGCATGGGTGTGGCCTTTTCCCAGTATTTTTCTGCTGCTGCACCTTCACTCACTGTCCTATTCCAGTTTTTTTTTTTTTTAATTTATTTATTTTTTATTGATAATTCTTGGGTGTTTCTCACAGAGGGGGATTTGGCAGGGTCATAGGACAATAGTGGAGGGAAGGTCAGCAGATAAACAAGTGAACAAAGGTCTCTGGTTTTCCTAGGCAGAGGACCCTGCGGCCTTCCGCAGTGTTTGTGTCCCTGGGTACTTGAGATTAGGGAGTGGTGATGACTCTTAACGAGCATGCTGCCTTCAAGCATCTGTTTAACAAAGCACATCTTGCACTGCCCTTAATCCATTTAACCCTGAGTGGACACAGCACATGTTTCAGAGAGCACAGGGTTGGGGGTAAGGTCACAGATCAACAGGATCCCACGGCAGAAGAAGTTTTCTTAGTACAGAACAAAATGAAAAGTCTCCCATGTTTACTTCTTTCTACACAGACACGGCAACCATCCGATTTCTCAATCTTTTCCCCACCTTTCCCCCTTTTCTATTCCACAAAACCGCCATTGTCATCATGGCCCGTTCTCAATGAGCTGTTGGGCACACCTCCCAGACGGGGTGGTGGCCGGGCAGAGGGGCTCCTCACTTCCCAGTAGGGGCGGCCGGGCAGAGGTGCCCCTCACCTCCCGGACGGGGTGGCTGGCCGGGCAGGGGGCTGACCCCCCCACCTCCCTCCCGGATGGGGCGGCTGGCCGGGCGGGGGGCTGACCCCCCCACCTCCCTCCCAGATGGGGCCACTGGCCGGGCAGAGGGGCTCCTCACTTCCCAGTAGGGGCGGCCGGGCAGAGGCGCCCCTCACCTCCCGGACGGGGCAGCTGGCTGGGCGGGGGGCTGACCCCCCCACCTCCCTCCCGGATGGGGCGGCTGGCGGGGCAGAGGGGCTCCTCACTTCCCAGTAGGGGCGGCCGGGCAGAGGCGCCCCTCACCTCCCGGACGGGGCGGCTGGCCGGGCGGGGGGCTGACGCCCCCACCTCCCTCCCGGGCGGGGTGGGGGGCTGACCCCCCCACCTCCCTCCCGGATGGGGCGGCTGGCCTGGCGGGGGGCTGACCCCCCCCCCCCACCTCCCTCCCGGACGGGGTGGCGGCCGGGCGGAGACGCTCCTCACTTCCCAGACTGGGTGGCTGCTGGGCGGAGAGGCTCCTCACTTCTCAGACGGGGCGACTGCCAGGCGGAGGGGCTCCTTACTTCTCAGACGGGGCGGTTGCCGGGCAGAGGGTCTCCTCACTTCTCAGACGGGGCGGCCGGGCAGAGATGCTCCTCACCTCCCAGACGGGGTCGCAGCCGGGCAGAGGTGCTCCTCACATCCCAGACGGGGCGGGGGGGCAGAGGCGCTCCCCACATCTCAGACTATGGGCGGCCGGGCAGAGACGCTCCTCACTTCCTAGATGTGATGGCGGCCGGGAAGAGGTGCTCCTCACTTCCTAGGTGGGACGGCGGCCGGGCAGAGACGCTCCTCACTTTCCAGACTGGGCAGCCAGGCAGAGGGGCTCCTCACATCCCAGACGATGGGCGGCCAGGCAGAGACGCTCCTCACTTCCCAGACGGGGTGGCAGCCGGGCAGAGGCTGCAGTCTCGGCACTTTGGGAGGCCAAGGCAGGCGGCTGGGAGGTGGACGTTGTAGCGAGCCGAGATCACGCCACTGCACTCCAGCCTGGGCAACATTGAGCACTGAGTGAACGAGACTCCGTCTGCAATCCCGGCACCTCGGGAGGCCGAGGCTGGCGGATCACTTGCGGTTAGGGGCTGGAGACCGGCCTGGCCAACACAGCGAAACCCCGTCTCCACCAAAACCAGTCAGGCGTGGCGGCTCGAGCCTGCAATCGCAGGCACTCAGCATGCTCAGTCAGGAGAATCAGGCAGGGAGGTTGCAGTGAGCCGAGATGGCAGCAGTACAGTCCAGCTTCGGCTCAGCATGAGAGGGAGACTGTGGAAAGAGAGGGAGAGGGAGACCGTGGGGAGAGGGAGAGGGAGACCGTGGGGAGAGGGAGAGGGAGAGGGAGAGCCCTATTCCAGTTTTGAATCACCTTCCAAGTTAGCAACCCATTTATTTTTATCTCCATCAAGCTCTGGCTTCTGTCCTCATTCCTATTCACATCTCTTTTCTCTCCACCATTTAAGCAACATAACCAGATAGTAACTTTTTTCTGCAGAGCATGTATCATTTTGGTGGCCCAGTGTGTGCACCCTTCTCTATATTAGGAGAATGTTCCCCACCTCATAATGCTTGGCAGGAAACAAAAACAGCCTCTGATGATAATACTGCGTTCTCACTATTCCTTCCTACCCTGCAGCTGGGCCAAATGCAGGAGATCTCAGCTCTCCCTGTCAGACTGCCTCATTCCACACTTTGACACAGGAGCTAGTGACAATAGAAGCAAGAGTTGATGAGTTCACTCTCTGGAGAAGCGACAGGATCCTGGTTTGCCAGATTGACTTCCTGGCATTATGAAGCAGAAACAGGGCTGTTGCCAGTCATAGTTGCAGTATCACTGCCTTCCTACTCATGGCCTAGTGCCAGCTGGAGTGTCTTATAGCAGTAGTGGTGATTGGTTATGGGCTTTGCTCCTGGCAGCTTAGCTTCAAGTTTTCCAGCCCCCCTCAGAATTATGAGCCCCCAGACTTTCTCTGCTAAATCAACTAGGGTTGATCTCTGCAGCTTGCTACTAAAAACTAAGAACCTAAGTGTTACACTTATCAATGTTTTAACAGTTTCTATGTTTCTTCTAAGTCAACATGTCCCTGTTTGGGGGCTGTCCATGCATAGACTCTTTCTACACTGTCTTCTCTTAAATATTTGTCTTGGAGATACTCAGTGGCTTATACACTAGGCAGATTGTTCACTGTTTTACATATCATACTGAGTTGCCCCACATTTTCCAGTCTTCGAATGTTGTCTCTTTTTTTTTTTTTTTTTGAGGGGGAGCTTTGCTCTTATTGTCCAGGCTGGAGTGCAATGGCGCGATCTTGGCTCACTGCAACCTCCGTCTCCTGGGCTCAAGCGATTCTCCTGCCTCAGTGTCTCAAGTAGCTGGGATTACAGGTGCCCACCACCACGTCTGGCTAATTTTCTGTATTTTTAGTAGAGACGGGGTTTCACCGTGTAGACCATGGCTGGTCTTGAACTCCTGACCTCAGGTGATCCACCCACCTTGGCCTCCCAAAGTGCTGGGATTACAGGCGTGAGCCATCACACCTGCCCTGTTGTCTGTTTCTTTAGCATCCAAATACAATAGTGATGGCACCTACTTGGCATGTATCCGG
Source organism: Homo sapiens (assembly GCF_000001405.40). Lineage (NCBI taxonomy): Eukaryota > Metazoa > Chordata > Mammalia > Primates > Hominidae > Homo > Homo sapiens. The sequence continues at coordinate 41,303,926 of NC_000003.12, read as the reverse complement.
CCCCCTCCCAAATATTTCTAAGAATCCTTGGGGAGCTCTGAACACCTTTTGGTTGCCCCCCACCCTGCCCCGACCTCTTGTGCCCATACAGCCCCCAAATTCAATCCCAGATACTACTGCAGGCTGCTCTTCCCCCTGGCACAGCTTACCTCCCAGCACAGATGTAGTCCCAGGGCATGCTACCCAAGGTGACCCTGAATTACAGACTTGAGCATGTCAGAAGGAAACCACAGTGCAGAAAAAGCGCCTTTACAGCTGTGATCTTGAAGATCATCACTACTCCCTGGCACAGGAAACCCCTTATTTCAGAGGACATTGCTGGACATGTCTGCAGAAACTCACTTCCATTTGTGAATAATCAAAAGTTGATTGTATTTTACCCATGCAAAGAAATAGGGAAAACTCAAGCTGAGACCTCACTAACCTCACTGAATTCGCAGAGACAGCTGCATGTTATTCTTAATGTGCTGTAATATAAATGCAGTGGTACATTTCTGCAGTCACAAGATCTTAATTTTAATGAATACCACTCTTCTTTCTTTGGGAAGTGGAATTAATACTCTAGCGTGAACTAGAAATGCTAAATTGTTAATAGCCTCCCTGGAGTTTTACTTCTTGCTATGATACCTTCAACAATTTAATCTTATGTTAGGCAGAGTAAAACATCCCAGTATAGGCTCCTGAGTTTGAAGTTCTTTAAGTGTTATTCAAAAATAGGAAAACCTTTTTGTCCAAACTCTGAGAAAAGCGTGAGTCAAAATCACTTAAAAGGCAAATAATTATTATCAGAGGCAATACTATAATTTTTAAAAATGACTTTAAAAAAGTTATAACAGTTGCTCATTTATATTCGAATGCTTGACATTTCATGACTTTTGAATGTGATATTTTGTTCCTTCTGACATAAATGCACAATTCTGTCTTCTAGTCTTTGTCTATAGTCTGTTTTAGTATATTCTATATTTTAGAATGATTTCACTTATTATTTAATATTATAAAATTCTCCCATATTGAATTAGAGTAGATCATTTAGATTTCTGAACATTTAAATAAACTTGTCTATCTAAAATTTGACATATATAGAGCCAACGATAGACAGTTTGCTAACATAGATCACTGAAGTGCTTTCAATTATCCATAGTCCCCCAACAGACATTCATTGTGGATTTTTAATTTGGAATCAGAGCTTTTTATTAGTACTCTATTTTAAATTTGTCTGTTCACTTAAAATAAGCAGTGTTTTGCAAGTTAGAATCTGAACTTTTTGGAGTAATTGGGAAGCAAATAAAGCTGCACCACATCTGGGCAATATTGTAAATATTTGAAGAACTTTGCGGATAGTTAAATAAATGGCTCATTACAACATGCGGAGTTTTCATGAAACTGCCTCTTTAGAGCACAGATTTGATTATTCAGAGAATAATCTGTCACTCCTCATTCCCGTCAACCATCCATTCTTCTGTATTCTTTCTCCCCCTGGCACTTAAAAGCAGGACTGCTGGCATCCCTTTCCTCTCTGATTCCTGGTTTCCAGACATACGAAAAGCCCTACTTGCTAACTTGATTAAACCATTCCATTAAGTCTTGATTCAGATGGTTTTTGTTTCTACTTAATAATAAGTTAAGGAAAATTCCATTTATCTTTGATAGAAAAGTTAAGCACATTTCAAAGGCAATTATCAGAGGCAATGTTGTAATTTTTAAAAATGACTTTTAAAAAGTTATAACATTTGCTCATTTATATTTGAATGCTTGACATTTCATGACTTCTGAATGTGATATTTTAATAGCCAACACCTTTCAATACATCTGTTCAATTCTTTGTTTGCCAAACATTCTTCTCAGTGCTTGTATGTAAGTAGTTTTTCCTGAGAGCGTAGGAAATGATCACCTCCCTCATTCAGGTGCTTCGCATCATCATAATTTCCCCATATTCTTGTTCTGACTCTTACCATTCAGTATCAGTTAGGTCTGGACCTCTGTTACTAAGTAGAAAATGTTAAATTTATCGATATAAATATATTTATTAATCAAAAAGCCAAGATTGTTTTGCAACCTTAAACCTTAGTTTTACTTCAGATAGTAAACATCAAATAACTCTTAGAATGTCCCTTCCCAAGAGTAATGACTCACTTATTTTTCTTAAATACCTTGATTGTGAGATACTTTAGTGATGACATATCTGACAATGTGCATTAAATGGTGATTCAGCCTTTTGATTTTATGGTTTTTTATGTTTCTTCATTGTATTAATAGATATTTAAAATAAAGATACTTAAAATGCATTAAAGTAAATGCATTTCCTCAGATGTATGCCTTTGTAATACTCTAAACGTAGCACGCCAGAAAGCCTGTCTCTGTAGAAAATAATGATCAACTCTTCTACCCAGTGCTTAAGCTATTGTCTGATTGAAAATTAAATAAATTAGGATTGGTGTGAAATCTTTTCAGCTGGCTATATACCATTAAATAAGTTAGTGCTCACGTGTTATATCAGTTCCTGGTGTATAACTTAGAGCTAATTAGAAGGTATCTTGGGTCCTGGGAAGATTCTGTCCATTCTATTCTGTCGTTATAGTGAAATGCACATTTCCCCTAATCTTAAAAGATTGAATAGCATTTCTTTTAAAAATGAAATAAAATGCCAGCTGGTTAAGAGGAAAAAACCTAGTTAGTATAATATTCTCTGTATCAACAGCACCATCCCTGCAGGGTATTGATTTTTCCCCATCTCGCTGGGCTCTCAGTCTTGACTAATGAAGGCAGCAGGCAGTGTGGATGATCCCCAGGCAATAAATGATTCAGAAATCACGCCTTTTCATTTTGTAGTGAAATACAGCAGCCTCCTTTGACCCTTTCTGAGCCTAGTCCTGCTCCATCCACATGGGCTGCAAGGCCTTGGACAAGTCCCTGAGCCTGAGGAATTCAGTCACACCTAACACACCTAACAGTCTTTTATGACCCTCCTGCTCAATCTGTATTCAACCACTTCCCTGTTGTGACTTCAGGTCTTGGCCATTCTAGACCAGCAAGATACCAAATATATATATATATATATATATATATATATATATATATATATATATATAATCTGTAAAATGATCAAAATTTAATCATAAGAGAGAAGAGAAAATTAACTCTTTTGTAAACTTCAGTGCTTTAACTGCTGTGAGCCACAAATCACTTGTATCATGGCTAGGACGGTATCCCCATAGTGTTCTCCTAACTGGGATCTGTGTGATGCTTTTGTACAACCATCTGGGGGTGCTGTAGAAGGGTACAGGAGCCTCACCAGGCTGTGTAGTGACTTTGTGCATGCATTGTAGGCCTTAAGATAAAGGTTCACACAGGTGTGTCATATTGTTTGGGTAGTGTTTAGCAACTATAGAATAATTTTAATACAGAAACCAGTGAAAACTTACGACAAAATCCTGTAGAGTTTATTTGCTTTCAAGTTATTGTTATCCCTTCAATATGCTTATGTAAAATAATGCCCCTTATAAGCATACATTTAGCGGAAACTTATGCATATTCACCTGAGAGTTCTTCCTCTAAAACTTGTTTTAGAAAAGCAAATACCCAGCAGTTTCCACAATTTAGAGCTGCTGGAAATGTTCCAGTATTAAGTATCTGAGTAGCATTGACCTCTTCCTTAGTTAGTTCTTTGCAGTTTCAAATTGTATGCCAGCCTCATTTATTCGGTGATATATAAATCAGACAGCTCAATGGTTCCTCCAGGATTTTATCCATTCAAAGAAATGTAACCAATGCTCTCATTTTTCCACTTTTCATCTACTAAATTTGTACCTCCTAAAAATAAATCTAGTGCTGGCAAGCGTGTGATGAAACTGGTGCTCTTCTTCTGCTGGTGTTGGTGAAAATTGGTTCAGTCCCTGTAGAAAATATCTGATGGCCTATTTCAAGAGCCATATTGCTGTTAATAACCTTGACTTGGTAATTCTGCTCCTAAGAATCTCTCATAAAGAAATCATCCAAAATATAGAATATGTTAGATGTATAAGCTTATTTATACTTCTCAGAAATTGGAAGCAATCTAAAAGTCTACCAACATGAGCATGATTAGGTAAACTATACTGTATTCCTTCAGTGGAATATTTTGTAGCTATTAGTGATTATTATAATAAATACAGATTGGCAATGTGGAAAAATATGTAAGCTATGATGGTTAGAAGTAAAGCAACAAAAATAGTGTGCTCACTGGGATTATAAGTTATTCCTCCTTAGCAAAAGGATCACAGAACATAAGAATCTCCTGATCTAAATTTTTAGGAGACCCCCAACTCTTTCAGTTAAATATTGCAGCATTAACAAATCACCCTCAAATTTACTGACTTAAAACAAGAGCCACGTACATAGCTCATGATTCTGCAGGCCAGCCATTTAATAGGCTGGGCACTGCCAGGAAGCCTCTTGCTTGTCTTGATGGGATTTTATTGGTTGAATCCTAGCCCTGGGGTAAAGTGTGAGATTTGGAATACCTGAACTCTTTAAAGAATCATTGCAAGTTATAAGGAAAGTTGGCAATCCAGTGACTTTTAGGGTTAGGGGTTGAATGCTGTGCTCCCTCATGCATCCTTGGTCAGCTGCTAATGGGGTTGGTGGCACTGCTAATCTCAGCTGGTCTGTCTCACATATCTGGGATCTTAACTGGGACGACTGGGCCAGTTCTGCCCCACGTGGCCTCTCGTTCACCAGCAGGATAGCCCAGGCTTGTTCTCATAGACATAGACCCAAAGGAGAGAACTGAAGTGTGCAAAGCCTCTTGAGTTCTAGGCTTGGATCTGCACAACATCACTTCCATCACATCCTGTTGGCCAACACAAGTCACAAGGCCAGCCCAGATTCAAGGATGAGAAATAGACTCTAGGTCTTGATGGGAGGAGCTGCAGTGTTGCATTGTCAGAGGTGTGGATGCTGGGAGAATAATTGCAGCCATTTTTGCAAGCATTCACCCACTAACCCTAACTCACTGATTTGTTGTTCTGACTCACTGAATTGTCAAGTTTCCTTATCACCTTCAATGACCCTTTAAAGAGTTCAGGCATTCCAAATCTGATGCTTTACCCCAGGGCTGAGATTCAACTAGTACACACCAGTGTGCATCCCTTTGGGTTGGTCATGGTGCCCATCCTGACTTCTCAGTCCAATGCCATACCAGCTTCTTAAAGATTTTGAATATCTCTTCTGTTTGACTCTCTATGACTTGAGGATCCCCTAAATATGCATGAAAGTTCACAACCTTCCCAGGGTTATCACTTTCCTCATACACAGTTTGGAGAGTGTGGTTGTTAAGTGACTTAATCTTCAACAACAGAGGGCATGATTATGGTAGCTGAGACCTGTATTTCTTGCAGCTAGGTCAGAATCTTATTTTCTTTTTGATTTAAGGGAGAAAAAACAATAGGAAGATTTCAATGTTTCCAAATAGCAATAATTTTGGTTAACTTATTAGTTTAACAACAGGAAAACATTAGACAGAGGCAATAATGGAACAGTGTTGAAGTTTTGGGGGGCTGACTTTTGGATACTGACCAATTTGAAATTGAATAGTGATCCCTAAACTCTTTATCTTTAAACTCTTAGGAAAAGCTAATGTGTTCGTCTTTTGAATCCCAATGTTATCTCTTCATATTGACAGAAAAACTGAAATAGTTCATCCATCAGAAAAACCAAAAGCCAATTTTTTAAAGTATTTCAGTAGGTTTCTGGTTTGAGTTTATATGTTAGACTTACAAGCCAAATATTGTTTTCCATCTATTGCATTTTAAGCTGGATATTATTTTCTGTATATGGTGTATGATATTATTTGGGTGTCTGGTTTTTCCATTTCTTAGCAGAATCAGATGATAGAGGGAATACCCTGAGTGGTGATGGGCAATTTTTATCTACTGTAAACCGATGAGGCAAAGTGCTGCCTGGTCAGTTGTTGACTAAGGACTTACTGACTTGTGTTAGGCCTTTGACCTATAGGTGCTAAAAGTGTGTAACATTGCCAGGAAAGCATCATCCTTTGTGACCTTGGATACAGTGGGCTGATGTTTATGTTCTGAAATGTAATAATGCATTAACCCACCCAAAAACTTCTGACAGTGTTACCATCCTCAGCCTCTTATGGAGACACAGTGTTTCTGTCTGGCAAGGCAGTTCACTTTTGAAGTCAGCAGTGGGCCATAGAAAGCATCTCAGGTGTTGGAGGAAACAAATCAGCTAGTTGTATTCATTTTTCTTTGGCTTCAGTTGAATTCAGTGGCTCTTAATCTGTGGGACCTTAAAAACAGGATTGGCTCCTAACTCCCAAAGGACACTGATTTGCTGGATCTGGAGGCACCTGGAAATCTGTGTGTTTTATGGTGGTATAGGTGTTTATCCAGGATAACAGGGCTGAGACCTCTTGTGACAGCCAGTGGTAAGGAAAAAAGGTTCTGCCACTCCACTTTTAAGTGGGCTCAGCATCAGCATCAGTTCGGCCCCTGTTTTGCCAGTGCAGTATGTTGGAATGCTTCATGGGATCCTCACATGGAGCATTAGTCTCAAACTCAGAAGGCTGAGGCATGCCCTCTGTTCCACTTTCCAAGCATTTGTGGCAGGAAGAAGCCATGTCCCTCCAACCCCCCGCCCAGTGATTGCAGAGAAGCAGGGGCTAGGGTTTCAGAAGGAGTCCAGGATCACAAAGCCCATGCACAGTAAATAGATGGGGACCTCCATGATGCTGATGCACAGCAGGCGCTCACGGAGGCAGCAGGAGGGAGAGAAATTGGGCCCCTCAAAGATGGATGGGCTTCAGTGAAGCAAAGAGAGCACATTCCCAGCAGTGGACAGGTACCATAGCAGCAGAACATAGCCCCTCTTACTGTTTCAGGCTCAATTTGTGGAATGCGAAAGTGTGATGAGCTCCTGCACAGGAAAACATGTGGGATGAGATCTCACTCCTGTGTTTGATTTCCATTTCCTCAACATGATTCTTCCTCCTCCATCCCTCTCTTCTTCCTGCCATCTGTCACTTCTGCCCTCTTTTATCCCTCTCCCCTTCCTCTCCAGGTTCACTTGTTTCTTCTTCCCTCCCTCTCAACCTCCCTTCAGTGGCCTCGTTCTGTTTGTTCTTACTCCACTGGATGTCCTCTGGACTCAAGGCCTTCTGCAGTCTGCCATTGACCCCCTCACCTCACTCATCAGCTCCTAGCCATGAGGACCTTTGTTATCTTAGAGCGCTTCTGCCTGGAGTTCCCTCTGCTCATTTGCTCTTCCCCTGGTGTGGCTGCCTCCCTTTCTCCTTTAGGCCTTATCTTAAATGTCACCTCCCACCAAAGGCCTCTGATGTCTCAGGAATAATTCTTTTTCCACCCATGGCAGCCTCCCTACAGAGTTCTCACCTGGTGGGCAGAGTTTTCTTGCCTGTTCTACAGACAGGACAGATCTTCCTGACCCCAGCATCGGCCAGGAAACTCAGTTCTGGTGGGCCTGTGGCCTCGAGCACGCACCAGGCTGATGCTAAAGCTTGCCCCTGGGTGAACACCCTGGCCAAGGTCCCCAGAGGGTTTCTACTTCCAACCCTTCTCTTCAGTACCTTCCAGGAGCCCTTTTTCTTTTCTTTCAAACCGAGGTACGTATTTTTAATTAGAAACTTAATTTTTTAGAGGAGTTTTATGTTCACAGAAAAATGAAGAGAAAAGTACAGAGATTTCCCATATACTTTCTGCCTCCACACATGCACTGCATCCCGCACTATCAACATCCCCCACCAGGCAGTATATTTGTCACAGTCGATGAACCTGCACTGACAAATTACAAAGTTCATTGTATACACTTTTCATGGCTTGATAGCTCCTTTCTTTTTAGCGCTGAGTAATAATTCATTATCTGGGTATACCACAGTTTATTCAGTCATCTACTGAATGGCACCTACCTTGCTTGCTTCCAAATTTTGGCAATTATGAGTAAAGCTGCTATAAACCTCTGTGGGGTAAGCTTTTGTGTGGACATAAGTTTTCACTTTGAGTAAATACCATAGAGCACAAGTGCTAGATAGTAAGGTAAGAGCATTCTTAGTCTTTCAAAGTGGATGGACCGTTTTGCATTCTTACCAGCAATGAGCGAGAGTTCCTGTTGCTCTGCATCCTTGCTAGCATTTGATGTGTCAATATTCCAGATTTGGGCCATTCTAAAAGGTGTGTAGTGGTATATCATTGTTTTAATTTACATTTCTTGATGTCAAACGATGTGGAGCATCTTTTCATATGCTTATTTGCCATCTATATATCTTCTTTGGTGAGGTGTCTGTTATGGTCTTTGGCTTTTTTTTTTTATCAACTGTTTTCTTACTGTTCAGTTTTAAGAATTCTTTGTGTATTTTTTATAACAGTCTATCAGATGTGTCTTTTGCAAATATTTTCTCCCAGTCTGTGGCAGAAGTTTTAAGTTTTAACAAAACCCAGCTTATCAGTTATTTCTTTCATGGATCATGTCTTTGGTGTTGTATCTAAAAAGTCATTGTCATACCCGAGGTCATCTAGATTTGTTTTCCTATGTTATCTTTTAGGAGTTTTATAGTTTTGCATTTCACATTGAGGTCTGTAAGTCTTGCATTTTACATTTAGGTCTGTGATCCATTTTGAGTTGATTTTTGTGAGAGTAAAAGATCTGTGTCTGCATTCATGTTTTGCATGTGGATATCCAGTTGTTCCAACACTATTTCTTGAAAAAACTATGTTTGCTCCATTGTTTTGCCTTTGCTCTTCATCAAAGATCAGTTGACTGTATTTATGTGGGTCTGTTTCTGGGCTCTCTATTCTATTCCGTTGATCTGTTTGTCTGTTCTTTCACCAGTACCACACTGTCTTGATTACTGTCGCTTTTTAGTACATCTTGAAGTTAGAAAGTGTCGGTCCTCCAACTTTGTTCTTCTTCAATACTGCATTGGCTATTCTGGGTCTTTTATCTCTCCATATAACTTTTAGAGTCAGTTTGTCAACATTCACAAAATAATCTCCTGGGATTTTGATTGCAATTGCATTGAATCTATAGATCAAGTTGACAAGAGCTGACCTCTTGACAGTATTGAGTGTCCCTATCCAATGAGAACATGGAATGTCTCTCCATTTATTTAGGTTTTTTTAAATTTCATTCATCAGATTTTTGTAGTTTTTCTCAAATAGATCTTTTATTTTCTTTTCTTGTTATTGCATTAGCTAATACTTTTTAGGACAATGTCGAAAAGGAGTGGTGAGAGAGGCCATTTTTGGCTTGTTTCTTTACGTTTTGGTTCAGTGTGTTTGGACAAAAGGGGGACTTTTCACATCACTACTGCCGGCCATTTTGACCAGAAGTCACATTATTTTTATAAAACGTATATGATTACTTTCTTTTTCAGAAAAACTCATGATTCTCTCCTACCAACAAAAGTGCAAACTCTTAAACATGGTACACAAAGCCTGTGACAGCTGGTCTCAAATGATCTGTTGTCTTAATCCATTTGTTTCTATAACAATACCACAGACTAGGTAATTTATAAGGAAAAGAAATTAATTTATCATAGTTGTATAGAGTGGGAAGTCCAAGATCAAGGCATGAGCAGGTTCATTGTCTGGTGAGGGTCCAGTCCCTGCTTCCAAGATGGCACCTTGAATGTTGCATCCTCCAGAGGGGAGGAATGTTTTGTCTTCACATGGCAGAAGAGAGCAAACCCACTCCTGCAGGCTCTTTTTATAGCAGCACTAAACCATTCACGAAGGCAAAGCCCTCATGACCTAAACATCACCTCCCATTAGGCCCCATCTCCTAACACTGTTGCACTGAGAATTGTGTCCAACACGTATTTTGGGGGACACACTCAGACTGTAACATCTCTCCACTCATCTCTTAGCATCCTGCATTGCAGACTTTACCAGTGACATCAACCCTCCGGGCTGGGCCCTGAATTCACACACTGTTCCACACCTTCATATGTTGGTTCACACTGTTCTCTTTACTGAGAGTCATTTTGCTTTCTCTCCACCTTTCAAACTGCCTCTAATCCTTCAAGACACAAGATGAAATGTCACTTTTGCCATGAAGCCTTCCATGCCTACTGCAGATGAAATTAGTATTTCCATAGGGCTCCATGGCACTTTATATAATAATAGCTAAGAATAGATAACAAGTTACTGTATGCCAGACATTGTTTCAAGTGTAATTGTTAACTCATTTGCTCCTCACAGCAGCTCTGTGAGCTACTATTATTTTACCATTGAGGAAACAAGGCAAAAATAGTTTGGTTTGCATGTTGCTGAGAATAATATTGCCAGGAAACAGTGGAGATAGGATTTCAACCCAGGGTATCAGACTACAAAGCTCAGGCTCCTAACACTAGATGACCTTCAGAGATTCCTCTATGATGTTACAGCCTGTAACATGTTGTATGGGAATTTAGTTCTCCATTTGATGGTGAGTCTTTGAGAGTGAGGTTGTATCATGTATATCTCAAGGTCTGTGACTGGCCCAGCACTGGGTTACGGAGTGAGTGGAGGACTGACCTTCACTACCATAACATTCTTCTCTCTTTGCCACTTCCTGATTTTAATCTCATTCTCCTGAGACCTTGACCTTCCATGGAATCCTGCCAGCTTTGTTTTTCATGTTTTTTTTGTATGTATGTTTGTGTACCTATTTTTATTTTCTTCTGATAATCCCATCATTGTTTTTCTGTGAATCTTAAGTTGTTTCCTGGCTTGGTTATCTAAATGATAACCTTCCTTGCCTTATTTTTATTCATTTCTACCTTATTTATATTCTTTAGGTTACCAGTCCTATTCTTTTTTAGATGGAGCCTCTCTCTGTCTGGAGTGCAGTGACATGATCCTAACTCACCAAAACCTCTGCCTCCTGGATTCAAGCAATTCTCCTGCCTCAGCCTCCCAAGTGACCGGGACTACAGACATGCACCACCACACCTGACTAATTTTTTATTTTTTATTTTTTTATTTTTTTGAGACGGTGTCTTGCTCTGTCGCCCAGGCTGGAGTACAGTCGTGCAATCTTGGCTCACTGCAACCTCTGCCACCCAGGTTCAAGCAATTCTTCTGCCTCAGCCTCCCGAGTAGCTGGGATTACAGACATGCACCACCACACCCAGCTAATTTTTGTATTTTTAATAGAGACGGGGTTTCACCATCTTGGCCAGGCTGGTCTTAAATTCCTGACCTTGTGATCCATCCACCTTGGCCTCCCAAAGTGCTGGGATTACAGGTGTGAGCCACCACATCTGGTCTTTTTTTCTTTTTCTTTTTTTGAGATGGAGTCTCTGTCACTCAGGCTGGAATGCAGTGGCATGATCTCAGCTTACTGAAACTGCTGCCTCCCGGGTTCAAGCAGTTCTCCCTACCTCAGCCTCCCGAGTAGCTGGAATTACAGGTGCCTGCCACCACACCCAGCTAATTTTTTGTATTTTTAGTAGAGACTGGGTTTCGCCATGTTGGCCTGGTTGGTCTCGAACTCCTGACCTCAGTTGATCCACCCTCAGTAGAGGGCACTGGTTACAAGCTGAGGTACTGGACCCAGAGGCTTGAACAAAAGTCCAGGGGATTGTTGGCAAGTCATTTGATCCTTCTGAGCCTCTGTTTATTAAGTGGGAAAAATAATACCTTTCTCAAAGCATTGCTTTGAGTTGAAAGACTTGTCTTTACAAATTATTTACAATCTCCACCTTCCACTTAGAAGTAGTTATTGTTGTTGCCATTGTTATTATTATTTATTTGTAAACTTTTTGATAAATAATATACCTAGAGAAAATCACAAGTGAGGCCGGGCGCGGTGGCTCATGCCTGTAATCCCAGCACTTTGGGAGGCTGAGGCAGGCGGATTGTGAGGTCAGGAGATCGAGACCATCCTGGCTAACACGGTGAAACCCCGTCTCTACTAAAAAATACAAAAAAAAATAGCCGGGCATGGTGGTGGGGGCCTGTAGTCCCAGCTACTCGGAAGGCTGAGGCAGGATAATGGCATGAACCCGGGAGGCGGAGCTTGCAGTGAGCCGAGATTGCGCCACTGCGCTCCAGCCTGGGTGACAGAGCAAGACTCCGTCTCAGAAAAAAAAAAAAAAAAAGAACATCACAAGTGACCACGTGATGAATGTTCATAAGCAAAATACAGCTGTGCAACCAGCAGCACCCAGGCTGACAAACAGCATCGCAGTACCCCAGAAGCCCCATCATGTCCCTTCATATTTTTGAGACTTAACAATGTTTACTCGTGTAGATTAGTTTCTTTATTTTAACTGCTGAGTAGTGTTCTATTAAATGATTATAACATAGTTTGCTTATCCATTCTTCTCTTGGGAAACATTAGGCTATTTTTCTTTTCTCCCTCCCTCCATCTCTCCCTGCCTTTCTTTTTTCCTTCCTTCCTCTTTCCCTCCCTCTTTCCTTTCTTTCTTTCCTTTCTTCCTTCTTTCCTCCTCTCCTTCCCCTCCTCTTCTTCCCTCCCCTCTCCTCCTTCTCTCTCCTTCTCTCTCCTTCCTTCTTTCGTTATTCTTTTTCTTTCTCCTTCCTTCCTTCCTTTCTTCTTTACTTTTTCTTTCTCTTTCTCCTTCCTTCCTTCTTTCTCTTTCTTTTCTCCTTCCTTCCTTTCTTTCCTCTTATACTTATCTCTCTCTTTCCCTCTCTCACTCTCCTATTACTAAAAGCATAATAACCCTGTATACATTTTATATCAGGCAATGTCTAGTGAAGAAAACAGAAGTCATTCTAGGTATTCCAGTCAGGAAGGAATTGAAGACAGGAGATTGAAAGGTTAGGAGAGTGAAAATCAGAAGCTTCTGCAACTTTTCAAGGAGTCGGGACTTGCAAGGATCACCGCGAACCAAAAACAAAAACAAAAACAAAAAAAATCCCATCTGCCTGTACCACTGAATTCTCAGGAGGAGGCCTAGAAGCCATTAGCAAACCTCACACCAGCCATTTACTAATTCCCAGGCAACTGCCTGTGTTGTCTCCAGTGAATAACAGCTTCTCTTTGTCTGCCTTCCAAATGTCATGTGATTAATTTCACCAGCAGAATGTAATGGAACCTCCTGGCATGGGAGTCAGGGAATTATAGTTTTCAGGATTCCTGCATACAGGCAGGAACATAGAAGGGTGAGAACAGTCCTGAGTATCAAGAGATGATCTTCAGCTTATGAGCATACGTGTACCACAGTCCTTTCCCACAGGGAGCACATGACCTAGAGGAGTTCAAATAATTCTGGTCAACACCTGGCACATACTTTATAATGTTGCCTCCTAGCCGCTGAGTGCCCCCGCAATACAGTTCAGTCCAGTTACTGGGGACTCCCAGAACCCCCTCCCAGTGGAAACCCACTAGTTACTCAGACCACCACAGAGCCAAAAAGGGATCATTGAGGGGTGGAAGCCAGTAGAAGATGATGCAAGCCTAGTAGAGAAGCACTATAACCTAAAGAGTAAGAGCAGGGGCTTTGAAGCCAGACTGAGGGTTCAAATTCCAGCTCCTCCTACTTTCCAGTTGGTGGAAGTGACTTTTAACCTGTGTCTCAATTTCCCCATCTGTTAAAGGGAGGTAATAATAATACTTTCTGCATCTACTTGTTGCATGATTATAAATGAGTTAATATACATAAAGTGCCTGGTTTATAGCAAACTTTCCGTAAACTTAGCTGTCGGCATCATTGTCATCACCATCATTATCATCCCTGTAATATCTTATGACAGAAAGCTTACTCAGTCTTATAGCAAAATAAAGTTGGGCTGGGCATGGTGGCTCACGCCTGTAATCCTAGCACTTTGGGAGGCCAAGGCGGGCAGATCACCTGACGTCAGGAGTTCGAGACCAGCCTGACCAACATGGAGGAACTCCGTCTCTCCTAAAAATACAAAATTAGCCAGGTGTGGTGGCACGTGCCTGCAATCCCAGCTACTTGGGAGGCTGAGACAGGAGAATCTCTTGAACCCAGGAGATGGCAGTTACAGTGAACCGAGATCGTGCCATTGTGCTCCAGCCTGGGCAACAAGAGCAAAACTCCGTCACACATACACACACACACACATACATACATACATACGTACATACATACATACATACATACATACATACATACATACATACATACATAAGTTGACCTAATAAGAAGATGCAGGGTTAGGGTCAGTTTCTGGTGTTAGACTGACTTGCTCCCTTCCTTGGGCTTCTCCCCTCTAGTGCTGAGCACTAAGTGTCCTCTGTGCATTGAGGACATGTTGGATGAATAGGCCCCGAGATTCCTCCCACCCTGTCTACCATGGGCTCTGTGGCCACCTTCAACCCAGGGTTCTGTGGGATGTCCTAGGGTACTGCCCAGGCTTTTATTGTGTGAAAGGTCACCTCAGTCTTGGCCATTTGTCAACATCAAATATTTTTTATCAGGCACCAAAATCATATTAAGTCCACCTTGTATTTTGTGGATATTTTCAATAATGCTCTATTTCTGAGAGAACTGCGTGACAGTATTCATCATCATTGTCAGTGGCTGCAGTTGATTGTAAAATCTGATGGAGAATTTAGAGTAGACAGAGTCAGCCTTGGGGATTTAATCATGTGTTCCAGTCCTTTCGGTGCACTGTGTCCTCTCCTGCCAACACCTGAGCCAGTAAACTCAGTAAGTGATAGCTATAATTTAAAAATGTACAGTACACTCACATGATGGTATGTTATTCCAAAATTAAGAGCATTTTTAGCATGTGGTTTATAATTGCCATAACAGTAGCATAAAAAACAAACAAAACAAACCAATTCAAATAGGTTAACTGAAAATTTTAAAATGTATGGGAGGCACAGCTCTAATAGAAAAAGAATAGGGAAAAAGGCAGAAAGCTGTGGGAGTGGCCGGCTGCTCTGCCGCTCCCCGTGGCGCTCTGACAGAGAGCTCTTCCACACCCACTGTGTGCTCCGAGCTGTGGAGCCCCTACAGGCAGAGGTGGGGCCTGCCGTGTGCCTGCTCCATCGTGAACCTGAACAGAGTGAGGCCCAAAGATGTACCATCTTTGACCATCACATTTCTAGACTAGGTTGGAAACCTTGGCTATTCAAAGAATTACTTCAAGGAGGGTTTTTCCTCTCAGTATACACAGCCACTGGGCAGGTCCTTGAGCGGGCCTTTCTCTTGAACACTAAGTGCTGATACACTGGGGGTATAAGGTCCCTCAAAGTATTCTTAGGGTTATGTATTTGTTACTAGTTATATTATCAGCAAATAACAAAAACACTAAGTCAGATTGGTTTGATCAGTGAGTAAATATAAATTGTATTTCCTAGAAGAATCCAGCTGTATACAGGGTTTCAAAGCCTGCCTGGCTTCTCTTTCTTGAATTTTCATCTTCATGTGTCCTGCTCTTTTGGGCTATAGCAGGATATTCTCAGCAATTCCACACATCATACCAAGAGTCAGACCAAGATGTAACCTCCAAAGGCTCTCTAAGACAACCTGCCTAAGGCTTACAGAAAGAGATCTTTCCCAGAAGGCACCAGCAGACTTCCTAAAGTATCTTTGACCAGATTAGGGTTAGTGCCTTCCTGAGAATCACTTTACTGGGATTAGCTCATACTGGTCAGAAACTGCCCTGGTGCTTAGTGGGGCTCATCTTCCTGGGAGCAAGCTGTGTGAAGGAGGAGTGGATACTTAAAATTGGACTTCTGTGAGGAAGGGGAAGTGGGGAGATAATTTTTTTTTAATGGTCACAGAGATGTCTACTACTTGCTGTATTTCAAATTTTTTTGTTTGTGAATTTAGTTTTGATTTTCCACAAAACTATATACAGAGAATAACTAGACTCAAACTGAATTTTAGTGTAATTCTCATCCTCACCAAAGAAATCATCGTGTTCTCTTTATTTCTTTTCATACTTGCCTCAGACTCAAGCAGCCTGAAAGAAACTCTAAAGACATTTAACCCAATCAGATTATATTTGCCCAGGCTCATGGGATCAAGATCCAAAAAAGTTTCAACCTAGTTTATGAAAACAGGCCATGCCCACCCTATCCTCAAATGTCCCCATGTGTAACCTTGGTGAACTGTAAGACTAATTGGGCTAAACATTTGTGAACAAACCTGACTTCAGCCTCAGTGCGGTCCTTTCCAGGGTGACTCTCGTTCCTGTGTTTGGGCTCTGGCAAATGTTAATATCATGCTAGGAGGGTGTGAAGTTTTCACTGTGAGTACTTGGTTGAGAGGAAATCTCAGCTTCCGTGAGACCCAAATCTCTAGCTGGGAAATCAGGTGTCTATTTGAAGAGTGCTCAAACTCCCGGAGGGTTTTAATGCCCCAGGGGTGAAAGGAGACTAGAATGTATCCTCCATCAGTCATAACTCTGTGTCCTGTTCTTTGCAAAGCAAAGTTACACGACCAAATTTCATCCCATGGGGGCCCTATTTGGCCTTATTTTGTTTCTGAATTTTGGACCAAGAAAAATCAATATGAAGATAAGCATCATATTCCATTCACAGACGAATCCATACCCCAGGGGCAGAAAACAGAGG
Organism: Homo sapiens; assembly: GCF_000001405.40. Taxonomy (NCBI): domain Eukaryota; kingdom Metazoa; phylum Chordata; class Mammalia; order Primates; family Hominidae; genus Homo; species Homo sapiens. The sequence continues at coordinate 41,287,408 of NC_000003.12, read as the reverse complement.
AAGCTGCGTTGTTTTTTCTCTTCATATCATTTCAGTTCTTGAGCCAGAAGGAAATTATATCACACTCAGCCCTATTTTCCTTCCTTCCACTAAGTTAAACAGAAAGTTTCTTCTTCCTTAGAAGAAAAAAGTCCCTAACTCCTTTACTCACTTAGCCTTTATGAACCCCTTGCCTGCTCAGTAACTCTCTTCATCTCTGCTCTTAGCTCACCTTTTTATTGTCCCCAAAATTAAGTTCCTACCCTGATCTTGCCATTTTCCATTGAGATTTTCACCAGTTTCTGCCATAAGCTCCTAGGGCTATTGCCAGGCTCTTTGATGTGCCAGGATTGCTGACAGGCATCTTTCACAGCCTTCTGCGTCACCTCTCTGTCAAATCGGTGGGTGGTTTGCATGAACAGTACATTACAATATATACCTATGGCATCCTACCACTGAAAAGGACATGGTCTAAACTTCTAGGTCCTGTAGTCTTCTGGTCCCTATAAGTGCAGTTGAGTTAAGATGACAGACACCACTTGACAGTGGTTTAACCTCTGCTTCCTGGACAACTGTCTCTCCCAGGCTGAAGGTTTTACAGAGCGACTTTGACAGCAAGAGGCAGGGAGGAATGGTGCATGGAGAGAGGAGGCCACAAGTGTGGGAAGATCTGAGCATGGACTAGAAGGAAGGTACCCTGTGGTTTCGGCAGGAAGCCATGCCCAAAATCTGTGTTCCGGTGCTACTCCTGAGTGTAAGCCTGGGGTCTTCACCCAGCACCAGCCTCCCTTTTTCCCTAGTCGTGTCTGTGCCTGCAGTTTAGGGTGCTGGCGGGGCCCTGGAGAAGCTCTTCTTTCTACGTTTATCATGTGCCTTGCCTCCTCTTCCTGAAGGCCTCCTAGAAAGTTCTCTGGCACCGTCTGCTGGTTGTCCTAGCCTCAGCCTTCCAGCTGCTTCCACTCCCTCATCTGCTTTCCCCCATAGCATATGGTGGGCTTGTCATATCCGTCTTAGGCTGGACATATCTAATAATGCAACCTCATGTAGCTACCAGGTTAACTTAATGCCAAATCCTGGCTCTGGAACTTTACTCTCTGGCCAAAAAAAGCTGTCTCTCTCAGCCCCACTCACTCCCTCTGAAAAATGGAGATTAAAATAACGCCCGTCTCAGAGGGTGATTACAAAGATTCAAGAAGGTAATGTATGAAAGACCTTCATAAACTAACCATAATGCACCATAATAATATTAAAGGAAATCGTTATGTATCAATTTCTGAAGATACAAAAAGCCCCTCATTCAGCCTGGCCTATTAGCGTGTGCATCAAAATGAGGTCCCCAAAAGATATTCTTTCTCTAGATATTGAGGAAAGCTTTAAGGCAATCTCTGGTTCAAATTTCAATCAATAAAAAGAATATAAAATGAACACTCTCTCATCCAATCCTGTCTCTAGCCACCAAATTTTCCTCCCTGGTGATAGCCTTTATTATCTTTTTGTATGCTACCCCAGAGATGCTTAGTGCATATGCAGAAAGTGTTAGATATTCATTCTCCTCCCCGCTTCACACAAATGGCAGCTACTATGCATACTGCAACTTGTTTTCTTTCCCACATCCTCTTCAGTTGTTTTATCTTTGCTCATCAGCTAGGTAGAAATGATATTTTGCCATTGTTTTATTTTGTTTTTAATTTTTCCATAGGTTATTGGGGTACAGGTGATATTTAGTTACATTAGTAAGTTATTTTGTGGTGACTTGTGACAGTTTGGTGCACCCATCACTCACAGTATACTCTGCACCCTGTTTGTAGTCTTTTATCACTCGCCTCCCTCTCACCCTTCCCCCCAAGTCCCCAAAGTCCATTGTATCATTCTTACACCTTTGTGTCCTCATAGCTTAGCTCCCATGTATCGGTGAGAATATACAATGTTTGGTTTTCCATTCCTGAGTTACTTCACTTAGAATAATAGCCTCCAATCTCATCCAGGTCGCTGCAAATGCCGTTAATTCATTCCTTTTTATGGCTGAGTAGTATTCCATCATATATATATATACCACAGTTTCTTTATCCACTCGTTGATTGATGGGCATTTGGGTTGGTTTCACGATTTTGCAGTTGCAAATTATGCTGCTATAAACATGCGTGTGCAAGTATCTTTTTCATATAATGACTTATTTCCCTCTAGGTAGATACTCAGTAGTGGGATTGCTGGATCAAATGGTAGTTCTACTTTTAGTTCTTTAAGGAATCTCCACACTGTTTTCCATAGTGGCTGTGCTAGTTTACATTCCCACCAGCAGGGCAGAAGTGCCTGATCACTGCTTCCATGCCCACATCTACTGTTTTGTGATTTTTTTGATTATGGCCATTCTTGCAGGAGTAAGATGGTATCACATTGTGGTTTTCATTTGCGTTTCCCTGATCATTAGTGATGTCAAACATTTTTTTCATGTTTGTTGGCCATTTGTATATCTTCTTTTGAGAATTGTCTATTCATGTCCTTAGCCTACTTTTTGATGGGTTTCTTTTTTTCATACTGATTTGTTTGAGTGTGTTGTAGATTCTGGATATTAGTCCTTTGTCAGATGTATAGATTTTGAAGATTTTCTCCAACTCTGAATTTTCTGTTTACTCTGCCCACTGTTCCTTTTGCTGTTCAAAAGCTCTTTAGTTTAATTAAGTCCCAGCTACTTATCTTTGCTTTTATTGGATTTGCTTTTGGGTTCTTGGTCATGAAATCCTTGCCTAAGCCAATGTCTAGAATGGTTTTTTCTAATGTTATCTTCTAGAATTTTTATAGTTTCAGGTCTTAGGTTTAAGTTCTTAATCCATCTTGAGTTGATTTTTATATAAGGTGAGAGATGAGGATCCTGTTTCATTCTCTTACCTGTAGCTAGCCAGTTATCCCAGCACCATTTGTTGAAAGGGGTGTCCTTTCCCCTCTTTATGTTTTTGTTTGCTTTGTTGAAGATCAGTTGACTGTAAGTAATTGGGTTTTTTTCTGGGTTTTCTATTCTGTTCCATCGGTCTATGTGTCTATTTTTATGCCAGTACCATGCTGTTTTGGTGACTATGGCCTTATAGGAAAGTGTGAAATCAGGTAGTGTGATGCCTCCACATTTGTTCTCTTTGCTTAATCTTGCTTTGGCTATGTGGGCTCTTTTTTGTTTCCATATGAATTTTAGAATTGTTTTTTCTAATTTTGTGAAGAATTATGGTGGAATTTTGATGAGGATTGCATTGAATTTGTAGATTGCTTTTGGCAGTATGGTCATTTCCACAATATTGTGAAATTGACACATTGATGGATTCTCACCATCCGTGAGCATGGGATGTATTTCCATTTGTTTGTGTCATCTATGATTGCTTTCAGCAGTGTTTTGTAGTTTTCTTTGTAGAGGTCTTTTTGGCTCCTTGGTTAGGTATATTCCTAAGTATTTTATTTATTTATTTATTTATTTATTTTTGGCAGCTATTGTAAAAGGGGTTGAGTTCTTGATTTGATTCTCCGCTTGGTCACTGTTGGTGTATAGAAGAGCTACTGATTTTTGTATTTCTTATATCCAGAAACTTTGCTGAATTTTTTTTATCAGTTCTAGGAGCTTTCTGGGGGAGTCTTTAGGGTTTTTTTTTGTCTGTTTGTTTGTTTGTTCTACGGTACATGTGCAAAACGTGCAGGTTTGTTCCATAGGTATACATGTGCCATGTTGATTTGCTGCACCCATCAACTTGTCATTTAAATTAGGTATTTCTCCTAATGCTATCCCTCCCCCAGCCCCCTACCCGCTGAGAGGCCCTGGTTTTGACGTTCTCCACCCTGTGTCCATGTGTTCTCATTGTTCAATTCCCACCTATGAGTGAGAACATGTGGTGTTTGGTTTTGTCCTTGCGATAGTTTGCTGAGAATGATGGTTTCCAGCTTCATCCATGTCCCTGCAAAGGACATGAACCTATCCTTTTTTATGGCTGCATAGTATTCCATGGTGTATATGTGCCACATTTTCTTAATCCAGTCTATCATTGGTGGACATTTGGGTTGGTTCTAAGTCTTTTCTATTGTGAATAGTGTGGCAATAAACATATGTGTGCATGTGTCTTTACAGTAGCATGATGTATACTCCTTTGGGTATATACCCAGTAATGGGATCGCTTGGTCAAATGGTATTTCTAGTTCTGCATCCTTGAGGAATCACCACGCTGTCTTCCACAATGGTTGACTAATTTACACTCCCACCAACAGTGTAAAAGCATTCGTATTTCTCCACATCCTTTCCAGCATCTGTTGTTTCCTGAGACTTTTTAATGATCACCATTCTAACTGGCATGAGATGGTATTTCATTATGGTTTTGATTTGCATTTCTCTGATGACCAGTGATGGTGAGCATTTTTTCATGTGTCTGTTGGCTGCATAAATGTCTTCTTTTGAGAAGTGTCTGTTCATATCATTTGCCAACTTTTTGATGGGGTTGTTTTTTCTTGTAAATTTGTTTAAGTTTTTTGTAGATTCTAGATATTAGCCCTTTGTCAGATAGGTAGATTGCAAAAATTTTCTTGCATTCTGTAGGTTGCCTGTTCACTCTGATGATAGTTTCTTTTGCTGTGCAGAAGCTCTTTAATTTAATTAGATCCCATTTGTCAATTTTGGCTTTTGTTGCCATTGCTTTTGGTGTTTTAGTCATGAAGTCTTTGCCCATGCCTATGTCCTGAATGGTATTGCTTAGGTTTTCTTCAAGGGTTTTTATGGTTTTAGTTCTTGCATTTAAGTCTTTAATCCATCTTGAGTTAATTTTTGTATAAGGTGTAAGGAAGGGATCCAGTTTCAGCTTTCTACATATGGCTAGCCAGTTTTCCCAGCACCATTTATTAAATAGGGAATCCTTTCCCCGTTTCTTATTTTTGTCAGGTTTGTCAAAGATCAGATGATTGTAGATGTGTGGTGTTATTTCTGAGGCCTCTGTTCTGTTCCATTGGTCTATATCTCTGTTTTGGTACCAGTACCATGCTGTTTTGGTTACTGTAGCCTTGTAGTATAGTTTGAAGTCAGGTAGCATGATGCCTCCAGCTTTGTTCTTTTGGCTTAGAATTATCTTGGCAATGCAGGCTCTTTTTTGGTTCCATATAAACTTTAAAGTAGTTTTTTCCAATTCTGTGAAGAAAGTCTGGTAGCTTGATGGGGATGGCATTAAGTCTATAAATTACCTTGGGCAGTATGGCCATTTTCACGATATCAATTCTTCCTATCCATGAGGATGGAATGTTAGTCCATTTGTTTGTGTTCTCTTTTTTTTCATTGAGCAGTGGTTTGTAGTTCTCCTTGAAGAGGTCCTTGACATCCTTTGTAAGTTGGATTCCTAGGTATTTTATTCTCTTTGAAGCAATTGTGAATGGGAGTTCACTCATGATTTGGCTCTCTGTTTGTCTGTTATTGGTGTATAGGAATGCTTGTGATTTTTGCACATTGATTTTGTATCCTGAGACTTTGCTGAAGTTGCTTATCAGCTTAAGGAGATTTTGGGCTGAGATGATGGGGTTTTCTAAATATACAATCATGTCATCTGCAAACAGGAACAATTTGACTTCCTCTTTTCCTAATTGAATACCCTTTATTTCTTTCTCTTGCCTGATTTCCCTGGCCAGAACTTCCAACACTATGTTGAATAGGAGTGGTGAGAGAGGGCATCCTTGTTTTGTGCTGGTTTTCAAAGGCAATGCTTCCAGTTTTTGCCCATTCAGTATGATATTGGCTGTGGGTTTGTCATAGATAGCTCTTATTATTTTGAGATACATTCCATCAATACCTAGTTTATTGAGAGTTTTTAGCATGAAGAGCTGTTGAATTTTGTTGAAGGGCTTTTCTGCCTCTAATGAGATAATCATGTGATTTTTGTTGTTGGTTCTGTTTATGTGATGGACTACGTTCATTGATTTGCATATATTGAGCCAGCCTTGCATCCCAGGGATGAAGTCGAACTGATTGTGGTGGAAAGCTTTCTGATGTGCTGCTGGATTCCATTTCCCAATATTTTATTGAGGATTTTCACATTGATGTTCATCAGGGATATTGGTCCAAAATTTTCTTTTTTTGTGTGTCTCTGCAAGGCTTTGGTATCAGGATGATGCTGGCCTCATAAAATGAGTTAGGGAGGATTCCTTCTTTTTCTATTGATTGGAATATTTTCAGAAGGAATGGTACCAGCTCCTCTTTGTACCTCTAGTAGAATTCTGGTATGAATCCGTCTGGTCCTGGACTTTCTTTGGTGGGTAGGCTATTATTGCCTCAATTTCAGAACCTGTTATTGGTCTGTTCAGAGATTCAACTTCTTCCTGGTTTAGTCTTGGGAGGGTGTATGTGTCCAGGAATTTATCCATTTCTTCAGGATTTTCTAGTTTATTTGCATAGACGTGTTTATAGTATTCTCTGATGGTAGTTTGTATTTTTGTGGGATAGGTGGTGATATCCCCTTTATCATTTTTTATTGTATCTATTTGATTCTTCACTCTTTTCTTCTTTATTAGTCTTGCGAGCAGTCTATTTTGTTGCTCTTTTCAAAAAACCAGCTCCTGGATTCATTGATTTTTTTTGAAGGGTTTTTGTGTCTCTATCTCCTTCAGTTCTGCTCTGATCTTAGTTATTTCTTGCCTTCTGCTAGCTTTTGAATGTGTTTGCTCTTGCTTCTCTATTTCTTTTAATTGTGATGTTAGGATGTCAATTTTAGATCTTTCCTGCTCTCTCTTGTGGGCATTTAGTGCTATAAATTTCCCTCTACACACTGCTTTAAATGTGTCCCAGAGATTCTGGTACATTGTGTCTTTGTTCTCATTGGTTTCCAAGAACATCTTTATTTCTGCCTTCATTTCGTTGTTTACTCAGTAGTCACTCAGGAGCAGGTTGTTCAGTTTCCATGTAGTTGTGCGGTTTTGAGTGAGTTTCTTAATCCTGAGTTCTAATTTGATTGCACTGTGGTCTGAGAGACAGTTTATTGTGATTTCTGTTCTTTTACATTGCTCAGGAGTGCTTTACTTCCAATTATGTGGTCAATTTTAGAATAAGTGTGATGTGGTACTGAGAAGAATGTATATTCTGTTTATTTGAGGTGGAGAGTTCTGTAGATGTCTATTAGGTCCACTTGGTGCAGAGCTGAGTTCAAGTCCTGGATATCCTTGTTAACCTTCTGTCTCGTTGATCTGTCTAATATTGACAATGTGGTATTAAAGTCTCCCATTATTATTGTGTAGGAGTCTAAGTCTCTTTGTAGGTCTCTAAGGACTTGCTTTATGAATCTGGGTGCTCCTGTATTGGGTGCATATATATTTAGGATAGTTAGCTCTTCTTGTTGAATTGGTCCTTTTACCATTATGTAATGGCCTTCTTTGTTTCTTTTGATCTTTTTTGGTTTAAAGTCTGTTTTATCAGAGACTAGGATTGCAACCCCTGTTTTTTAGTTTTGTTTTGTTTTGTTTGCTTTCCATTTGCTTGGTAGATCTTCCTGCATCCCTTTATTTTGAGTCTATGTGTGTCTCTGCACATGAGATGGGTTTCCTGAATACAGCACACTGATGGGTCTTGACTCTATCCAATTTGCCAGTCTGTGTCTTTTAATTGGGGCATTTAGTCATTTACATTTAAGGTTAATATTATTATGTGTGGCCTCATGGTGACAAAATCTCTCAGCATTTGTTTGTTTGTAAAGGATTTTATTTCTCCTTCACTTATGAAGCTTAGTTTGGCTGGATATGAATTTCTGGATTGAAAATTCTTTTCTTTAAGAATGTTGAATATTGGCCCCCATTCTCTTCTGGCTTGTAGGGTTTCTGCCAAGAAATCTGCTACTAGTCTGATGGGCTTCCTTTGGGGGTAACCCGACCTTTCTCTCTAGCTGTCCTTAACATTTTTTCCTTCATTTCAACCTTGGTGCATCTGACAATTATGTGTCTTGGGGTTGCTCTTCTCAAGGAGTATCTTTGTGGGGTTCTCTGTATTTCCTGAATTTGAATGTTGGCCTGCCTTGCTAGGTTGGGGAAGTTCTACTGGATAATATCCTGAAGAGTTTTCTAACTTGGTCCCATTCTCCCCGTCATTTTCAGGTACATCAATCAAACGTAGATTTGGTCTTTTCACATAGTCTCATATTTCTTGGAGGCTTTGTCGTTTTGTTTTTTTTTTTTTTTTTTTTACTCTTTTTTTCTCTAATCTTTTCTTTATACTTTATTTCATTAATTTGCTCTTCAGTCATTGATATCCTTTCTTCCACTTGATCGAATTGGCTATTTAAACTCGTGCATGCGTCACGAAGTTCTTGTGCTGTGGTTTTCAGCTCCATCAGGTCATTTATGTTCTCTACACTGTTTATTCTAGTTAGCCATTCATGTAACCTTTTTTCAAGGTTTTTAGCTTCCTTGCAATGGGTTAGAACATGCTCCTTTAGGTCGGAGAAGTTTGTTATTACCGACCTTCTGAAGCCAACTTCTGTCAACTTGTCAAACTCATTCTCCATCCAGTTTTTTTCCGCTGCCGGCATGGGGCTGCGATCCTTTGGAGGAGAAGAGGTGCTCTGGTTTTTGGAATTTTCAGTTTTTCTGCTCTGGTTTCTCCCCATCTTTGTGGTTTTATCTACCTTTGGTCTTTGATGTTGGTGACCTATGGGTGGGATTTTGGTGAGGATGTCCTTTTTGTTGATGTTGATGCTATTTTTTTCTGTTTGTTAGTTTTCCTTCTAACAGGCCCCTCAGGTGCAGGTCTGTTGGGGTTTGCTGGAGGTCCACTCCAGACCCTTTTTGCCTGGGTATCACCAGCAGAGGCTGCAGCAGCAAATATTGCTACCTGATCCTTCCTCTGGAAGCTTTGTCCCAGAGGGGCACCTGCCTGTACGAGGTATCTGTTGGCCCCTACTGGGAGGTGTCTCCCAGCCAGGCTACACAGGGGTCAGCGACCCACTTGAGGAGGCAGTCTGTGTGTTCTCAGAGCTCGAATGCCATGCTGGGTGAACCACTGCTCTCTTCAGAGCTGTCAGCCAGGGACGTTTAAGTCTACAGAAGTTGTCTGCTGCCTTTTGTTCAGCTATGCCCTGCCCACAGGGGTGGAATCTATAGAGGCAGTAGGTCTTGCTGAGCTGTAGTGGGCTCTGCCCAGTTCGCACTTCCTGGCCCCTGTGTTTACCTACTCAAGCCTCAGCAATGACGGACACCCCTCCCCCAACCGGGCTGCAGCCTTACAGGTTGATCCCAGACTGCTGCGCTAGCAGTGAGCTAGGCTCTGTGGGCGTGGGACCTACCGAGCCAGGCACGGGAGGGAATCTCCTGGTCTGCTGGCTGCTAAGACTGTGGGAAAAGTGCAGTGTTTGGGCAGGAGTGTCCCGTTTTTTTCAGGTACAGACTATGATGGCTTCCCTTGGGTAGGAAAGGGAAATCCCCCGACCCCTTGTGCCTCCCAGGTGAGGCGACACCCCGCCCTGCTTCGGCGCACTCTCCATGGGCTGCACCCATGTGCATCCCATGAGAAGAACCAGGTACCTCAGTTGGAAATGCAGAAATCACCTGTCTTCTGCATCGATCTCACTGGGAGCTGCAGAGTAGAGCTGTTCCCATTTGGCCATCTTGGAAGCAAAAACCCCTAGGGTTTTTAAGGTAAGTGATCATATCATCAGCAAACAGTGACAGTTTAACTTACTGTTTACCAATTTGGATGCCCTTTATTTCCAGTACTATGCTGAAGAGGAGTGGTGAGAGTGGGCCTCCTTGTCTTGTTCCAGTTCTCAGAGGAAATGCTTTCATCTTTTCCCCATTCAGTATTATGTTAGCTGTGGGCTTGTCATAGATGGCTTTTATTACATTGAGGTATGTCCCTTTTATGCCGCTTTTGCTGAGTTTCAATCATAAAGGGATGCTGCATTTTATCAAATGCTTTTTCTGCATCTCTTGAGATGATCATGTGATTTTTGTTTTTAATTCTGTTATGTGGTATATGACATTTATTGACTTGCATATGTTAAGCCATCCCTCCATCCCTAATATGAAACCCACTTGATCATGGTGGATTATCTTTCTGATATGTTGTTGGATTCAGATAGCTAGTATTTTGTTAAGGATTTCAGCATTTATGTTCATCAGGGATATCGGTCTGTAGTTTTCTTTTTTGGTTATGTCCTTTCCTGGTTTTGGTATTAGGGTGATGCTGGCTTCATAGAATGAATTAGGGAGGGTTCCTTCTTTTGTTATCTTGTGGGATAGTGTCAAAAGGATTGGTACCAATTCTTCTTTGAATGTCTGATAGAAGTCTGCTGTGAATTCATCTGGTCCTGGACATTTTTTGGTGGTAATTTTTTAATTACCATTTCAGTCTCACTGCTTTTTATTGGTCTTTTCAGGGTATCTAGTTCTTCCTGATTCAAGAGGGTTGTATTTTTCCAGGAATTTATCCATCTCTTCTAGGTTTTCTAGTTTATGTGTGTAAAGGTGTTCATAGTAGCCTTTTGTATTTCAGTTGTGTCAGTTGTAATATCTCCTGTTTTGTTTCTTAGTGAGGTTATTTGGATTTTATCTCTTCTTTTCTTGGTTAATCTTGCATTGTTTTAATTTGTATGCTACTGTGAGATTAAGCACAAATTCCTATCTAAAAGTCATGTGAATGTGTTTTATGTAGTTCATTGTCTTTTAATGTTTTGCCCAGTTTCTTTGAGTTGACCTTATACTTATTGATTTGCAGGAGTTCTTTACTAGGAAAACACCCAAACCCTTTGTGAGAAATGTTACAACTATTTTCCCAGTTTCTTGTTTCCTTTTTTGTTCTGTTTATAATTAGCTGTTTCCTTGCAGAATGCAATTTTTATGTAGTTACATTCCTGTCATATACTAAAAAAGACTGAAGACAAAGAGCTGTTTCAGCTCTGAGGTTTTCCTTTCAGTCAATCTGTCTTGAGCTTTTATTCTTTTTCTATCACATGTTTTTATCCTCTGACGTCCCCTCTCAGCCTCGTGAAGGGTGCAAGGGCTGGAGCTTTCCCCTGGATGGTCCAAGGAATAAGGAAGAGTCCAAAACTTTGAGTCATGGGACAAATTGAGAACACAGATTCTCAAGATCTGAAGTGAAAGGTTTGCCCTGGAGGGAGACTCGAAGGTCCGGAAAGGTAACTAGAAGACAGAGTTTCCTCAGAGCTCTGAAGAAAGGAGTCTTTTGTTAAATTGGAGTTGGGGTAAGGGTGCCAAATGTGTTCCTTACTTACTATCATCAGATAACTATAGGAGAATGAAAGAACCAACTAGTCAGTGCATTGAAACTCTCACAGTTTGAGGTGAGCCATTGCATGGCAGATATCTGATGTTTACAGACACATATTCTCTAGCTCATTTTTCTCTTCTGAGATGCTAAACCATACCCCTGGGTATCAGCAGTAGTCCTGTTTGTTACCTATTCTGTCATTGTGGAATGGAATCAGAAGCTGGCAAAGGAGCTAATTCTTCATCCTTTCTGCATCATGGATGTCCCATTCTTTGTTGATATTCCTTCTTTAATACATCCATAGACAAAGCCCATACCCAATGAGGACAGATCATTAACCACCTGTTCTGCCTGGGAGCTGATGGCAGCAGCAGCTGGGTTGATCTTAGTTGGAGGGAATGGCAGAACTGTACATTTCTTGGGGAGATGGTGTCACCTTGGACTCTGGAAATGTTAGAAAGATTCTAAGTAAGTTCACCAGTAGCTGGGCTGTTCTATCATGAGCATTCAGACATCTGATGGATATGCCAACTTGTCAGGACTGGTAGCTGAAAAAGTTTGCTCTGAATGCCATTACTGATTTTTTCCCACCCCCTATCTCCCCACCCTTTGGCCATTCTCTTAAAGCCAGATTCTAATCTTTCTTTGAAAAGGGTATTTCTCAAAAGAAATGTTTTCTCCCTCTGCTAGACACTCCTGCAGGAAGAGAGGATGAACAGAGGCTTTGATCTTGTAGGCATTCTTTTTAAGTTGGATCTTTTGATCTAATGTTTTGTTTCTGTGTACTTAATGGTTTGCTTCAAAATCACCTAAATATCAGGTCAAATAAGACAAATACTTTCAAAAGCAAAACCCATACCAGTGCTTTACTGTAACCCTTAACAAAGTGCTATAGAACTGTTCTTTGCAACCAGCAAATTGTTTCTAACTTGGCAGAAGGTAAAGAGAACTTCTAGGTCTCCTCTGTAGTAATGGATCACTGATCCAGAGGATCCCCAAAGCCCAAGTAGCAATGACACATGAGTAACTCTGCTTTGTCACTGTCCAAACATTCTTTATGGGAAGTAATAGATAAGTCACTTCTTCTAGGGTGTTTCCCAAGCACCACAGGCTGTACAAGATTGCCTGTGTCTTTCTCATGAGGATTGTGGGACAACCCAGTTCACTGTACTTTGGCCCCATTGGAATGTTAGCCTCTGAGCCAGTTTAGTGGGCAGTGTAGAGCACAGATGTCTCAGGCATTCCCACATAGAATCATTAGTAGAAAGTGCACTGCATCCAAAGGCTTAGCAGAGTCGGGTAGCTGTCATGGAGGCATCTTTTCTCATAATCTTTTATCTTCCCTGCCACCACATAAATAGAAGTCCTTGGTACATGAATCCACGAGATACATGAGACTCAGAGAAATGCCAGCAAATTGGAGCAATATCAAATTGGAACACAGCTCCATAGAGTAGAATTGACTGTTTTGGTTGTTTGGCATATCAGAAATCTAAGGGAACTAATAAATCAAGCCCACCAAAATTTTATTCTGCTTCAATATAGTCATAACCGTGTATTCTAGGCCAAGGCCCACAATAATTGGGCTGTATCTGTGCCAAAATAGTCTTATAACAATTTAATTTAAGGTTCTGTGGCTGCCACTCATCTTTAAATCCATGAGTCTGTCCCTAGACCTTTTTCAAAAGTTGATTAATTTGTGTTTTTTGAGAGAAAACATTACCACTGTGACTGAACTGATGTGTATCAGAGTCAGATAAGTGGGCAGCGCAGAGCACAAACATCTCAGACATTCCCACACAGAATTTTTAGGGAACAATTACTAGTGGCTGTCTGTGTTACTGTGGAGCCTTAAAATATATGGCAAACCAATGCACATGCACAAAAGTGAAACCTGGAAATATCACAGGTATCCAACCATGAGAATTTCCGTATCTGGTCAAGATGGAGTAATAGGGCCCAAATTTACCCTCCTGCCTTGAAACAGCCAAAAGAAGAGGAAAAAAAATACAGAAAACAATGGCTTTCAAGACACTGGACACCAGGCAGTGAAAGATAGTGACCTCTGAGAGATGGCACACAAAACAGGTGAGTCCTATGATTGCCTCAGCTTACTGCCTTGAGAGTTTACAGGCCACAGCATATGGAGGGTGTCTTTAGTTTGTTTTGTGTTAGTATAAAAAAAAAATACCTGAGACTGGGTAATTTATAAAGAAAAGAGGTTTATTTCGCCCACGGTTTTGCAGGTTAAGGTAGTTCAAGGGCATGGCCTGGCTTCTGGTGTGGGCTTTTGTGCTGTATCACAACATGGTATAGAAGGTCAAGGAGGAAGCAGACATATGTGAAGAGAGGGAAATCTGAGGGGCTTTATAACAACCCACTCTCACAGGAACCAGTCCATTCTGGTGAGAACTAATTTAGTCTTGCAAAAGCAAGAACTCACTACTGCTAGAATAGCCCCAAGCCATTCATGAGCGATCCACTCCATTCATTACCCAAACACCTCCCACTAGGCCCCACCTCCCCACACCCCCACTCTAGCAATCAAATTTCAACATGAGGTTTGATGGGACCAAACAAATCGTATCTAAACTATAGGAGAGAGGAACTGAGGTGGGGCCCAACAGATTCCATGTTCAGAAGACAGAGCTGAGTCCAGAGAGACCAAGACAGCTAGTGTTCAATAGTACACAGTACTGGAGCGGAACCCTGGAAATGTATGGATGGTTTCTCTTGAGTATTTCAGCAGTACTGATCAGTGCCTGTATGTGAGGTCAGGAAAAGAGCCATCCAAAGGGATTAAAGGGAACAATGCCCCATGCTGGTACAGGGCCAGGAATAGTGCCCATTCCCACCAGGCAAACTAGAAAACCTTATAGTTCCTGGGGCATAGGGTAGAATACACAGAAGGGTCTTGCCTCAACAGGGGAAATAATTTGTCCTAGATTGAGCACTGCTTCAGACTTGCCTAGAAAATCAGAAAAGCAAGACCTCAAAAAAACAAAATGTTTCTAGTAATTCAGCTGTATTTGAAAGCAAAGATCAAGAGTATTTTTAGGAATACAAAAATATCAAGTACCCAATAAGGTAAATTTTATAATGTTATACAATTTTATAATTTCATAATAAAAGATTATAAGGCATGCAAAGAGGCAGAAAAATACAGTCTATCAAAGCCAATCCAGAAGTGACACAGACATTAGAATGGGCAGGCAAGGATGTTAAAAGTTACAACTCTATTCCATATGTTCAAAAATTTTAGCCAGAGACATGGAGGATATGAAAAAAGACCTAAGGAAAACTTTTAGAAATGAAAACTATAATATCTGAGGAAAAAATACATGGGATGGTATTAACAGTAGATTAGATATTGCAGAAGAAAAATTACTGAGTGTGAACGTATAGAAGCTATCCAAAATGAAACACAGAAATAAATAAAGATAACTGTTGGATAACTTTAAGTGTCCTAACATGTGTGATTGGAGCTAATGAAAGAGGGAGAATGGAAGAGAGTAGCAAAAATATTTGAAGGAATAATGCTTGAAATTTTTCTAAATTTCATGAAAACTATAAACCCATAGATCCAATATACTCAATGAACCTCAAGCACTAGAAACATAAAAAAAAAAAATACACCAAGGTATATCATGATCAAATTGCACAAAACCAGTAGTAAAGAGAAAATCTTTAAAGCAGCCAGTGGAAAAGGAAGCATTACATGCAGAGGAACAAAGGATAATGGCACATTCTTATAAACAGTGCAAGTGAGAATACAAGGAAGCAACGTCTTTATTGAAAGCGGGGTGAGGGGGGAAGAAACTGTCAACCTAGAATTCCATTTCCAGCAAAAAAAAAAAAAAAAAAAAAAAAACTTTCAAAATTGAAAGCAACAAAAGACATTTTCAGGTATACAGAAGGTAAAGTAATTTATTACCAGCAGACTGGTACTACAGGAAGCCCTTCAGGCAGAAGGAAAATGATACCAAATTAAAATCTGGGGCCAGGCACAGTGGCTCACACCTGTAATCCCAGCACTTTGGGAGGCTGAGGCAGGTGGATCACTTGAGGTCAGTTGTTTGAGACTAGCCTGGCCAACATGGCAAAACCCCATCTCTACTAAAAATACAAAAGTTAGCTGGGTGTTGTGGCACATGCCTGCAATTCCAGCTACTCCGGAGGCTGAGGCACAAGAATCACTTGAACCTGGGAGGCAGAGGTTGCAGTGAGCCGCGATCATGCCACTGCACTCCAGCCTGGGTGACAAAGGGAGACTCCATCTCAAAAAGTAAAATAAAAAAGTAAAAAATAAGAAATCTGGATCTGCACAAAGGAATGAGAAGCATCAGAAATGGTAACTACACTACCATGATGTTCTCAATATAAATCATGAGGGTTCATAGTAGCCTTATTTGTAATAGCCCAAATCTGGAAACAATCCAAATGTCAATCAATAGGTGATCAGACAAACTGTGATGTATCCAAACAATAGAATACTACTCAGCAATAAAAATGAATGAAGTAGGCCAGCTGCAGTGGCTCACGCCTGTAATCCCAACACTTTGGGAGGCCGAGGCAGGTGGATCACCTGAGGTCAGGAGTTTGAGACCAGCCTGGCCAACATCGTGAAACTCCGTCTCTAGTAAAATACAAAACTTAGCCGAGTGTGGTGGCAGGCGCCTGTAATCCTAGCTACTCAGAGGAAGGCTGAGGCACAAGAATCGCTTGAACCCAGGAGGCAGAGGTTGCAGTGAGCCAAGATCACACCACTGTACTCCAGCCTGGGCAACAGAGTGAAACTTTGTCTCAAAAAAAAAAAAAAAAGAACTATTGATACATGCTATAATATGGATAAATCTCAAAATAATTATGGTTTATGAAGGAAGCCAGAGAAGAATATATATGGTATGATTCCATTTATATAAAGTTTTAGGATATGCAAAGTAGCATATGACGACAGAAAGGAAATCAGTGGGTACCTGCAAGGTGGAGTTGGGTGTGGGGAGAAGAAGGTAGAGATTACAAACGGGCATGAGGAATGATGGATATATTCACTGTCTTGATGTGGTGTTGGTTTCACAATTGTATACGTATATCCAAACTTAGCAAATTGTATAGTTTACTATATGTCAGTTAAACTTCAGTAAAGCTGTTAAAAATTAGTATATTAAGACAGAGTAGAATGTGAGAAAGACATAGAAAAAGGACATAGAAAAATATAGAAAACACAGTTTTATAAGCCCTGCAACAACTAGGTAAAAACAATGTCAATATAAATAGTATATCTTTAAAGAAATAGTTTAGAAAGATGGTTATATTTAGAAAAAAAGTTACTGTAATAATTTTTGCTGGTGAACGAATGAATAAACAGAAGTAAAAAATGTACTCTACTCTCAGACTTTGTCATTTTATGGGATTTAAATTTTAATTACTCCATGGAAGGTTTTTAATTATTTCTTTAGAAACTTAACCTTTCTGCCACGATCTCGTCGTATAAAATGAGGACATTAGTAGTATTTAACAGAAGCTTAAATGAGCTAATTCATTTCTAAGTTTTCAGAACAGTACCTGGCATACAGTAAGCACTCAATACTTGTTAGCTCTTACCATTACCAGCTACTAACAGGATGTGCCTCTAAAGCCACCTTGGATCCAGAAGGTTGAACTTTAAAATGGTAATTCCTTCCCTATTGCTTGTATACCCAGAGAAAAACAACAAAAACTAAAAAAGGGATAGAGAGAAAAGGAAAAGGGCTTAAGATCTTTGTTTCTGCTTCGTGACTCTAAGGACCCAGACCCCACAAATGTGCAGGACAACTCTAGGGCCCATGGGGAGAAGAGTGGACAGTTGTGGACATACATGGAGCCAGTCAGGGGCTTGCTTCAAAGTCACAGCTCCCCAGCTGGGTTGGGAATGATGGATTGAGTACTTAGCATGACTCTCCAGCCCCAGCTCTCACACTCTTTCCTGGTTAGGGGTTTGTATCCTCCCCCGCCTGACTGTGCCGCATCACCACCTCTTTTCTCTGGACTCTGGGCCTTGTGTTTGAGCAGGTAGTTTTTATTTCATATGACAGATCGCTTTTTTTCTCTGAGTAATATCATGACCTCCAACTTTAGCTAACAACTTTGCTCATCCTTATCTTAGGCTGTATATGTCTGTTTATGCTGTGTGTGTGTGTATGTATCCTAATATGATACATATATATTCCAACTTATATAGAAAACAGTCTACTTTATAATTTTCGCACATGTCAGTTCATACTGATAATAGTATTTTCATTGCACCTTTCAACTAGAGGTAGAGTCATCACAAAGTACCAAGGGTAGCAAAAAGATGAGTCCCCAAAGAGTTAAGGATTTTCCCCAGCATCTCTTTAATTAGTCATGTGCAAGTACTTTATTGTACACTTTATTAGGTAACTTAACTTTATAAGAAATGGTAGAACCAAATGTTTACATTTGGATAACTTTAAGTTTGTACTATTGAGATTGTACTATTTATAAGGATGCTATGAAGGTCCTTCTCTTATGTAGATAATCTATATAATAATTTGTTTTTCATAAATTTGCATCTTTATACATTGTATTTCATTAAAACAACTTTAGAATCCTTATGACCTTAACTCATGTTTCATTATCATGAACCAAAGTATCTCATAATAGTAGCATCTGACTCATGGCACCATTTTGTAATGGGGTGAAATGGACTGTAGCCTCCTAATATCCTCAATTAAGGGAGCCTTTGGATCATGCTGCATTCTGCCACCTCATCCAGATGTTGGAAGACTGTGCTGTTGTACAGGACCATCAATTCCTGGAGCTCATTTATCTACCATAGGCCAGGTCTCTGCTTGTAGGATTTCCTGTAAAAGGACATGTTGAGCGATATGTGACATTCCTGCCAGCTGGGAACCTTATTCCTTTCATGGATTTGCATTGAAATTAGTAGTGAAGTTAATGGGGGTGGATGGAATTATCCATTTACAAGGGATACTTGTGAGTGATTATACCCTAAATACAAAATAGTCCTGCTCATCACACATCTTTTTGCCAGAATCCTGATATGTTCTAAAACTCATACAGAGCTAATTTCAGAGGTGTGTAATAAAGCTTGTTTCAAATTCTCACTCAAGTGGATCATATGGGGAAAAGAACTACCTGGTGACAAGTGTGTGCCAGTTAGTCAGGCTATACAGTCTCTCTTCTGGGTTGGTTGGGTCAGCGTGGCCAGTGAGCGCTTGGTCCAGGGAGCAGCTGAGGGTGGGCCTTCGCGAGCTGCATCTGAAGGCTGCTCCTTGCTGGCTCTGTAGCAGCTGTGTGGAAAGCCTTCATCTGAAGAGCTGCGTCTTTACTTTCTGGGAAGAGGGTGGAGTGTGGGGCTTTTTTTTTTTTTTTTTTTTTGTGTGTGTGTGAGACGGAGTCTTGCTCTGTCACCCAGGCTGGAGTGCAGTGTGCGATCTCGGCTCACTGCAGCCTCCATCTCCCGGGTTCAAGCGTTCTCCTGCCTCAGCCTCCCGAGTAGCTGGAACTGCAGGTGCACACCACCATTCCCAGCTAATTTTTGCATTTTTAGTAGAGATGGGGTTTCACCATGTTGGCCAGACTGGTCTCGAACTCCTGACCACAAATGATCTGCCCGCCTCGGTCTCCCAAAGTGCTGGGATTACAGGCATAAGCCACCATGCCCTGCCGAGTGTGAGGCATTTAAGGGTAGTCTGCCAGAACCTCTCTGCCTTGGGCAGCCCAGAAGGACCTTGAAGCACAAGTTCACCCTGGGACAGGATATAACCAAGTGATAGCCACTGACCCAAGTACCGCAGAAGTAAGAGTATTATGTGTTGGAAGAAAGGCTGGTCCAAGACTTCAACCTCAGGAGAGAGGAAAAGAAGGGTTTGTAGTCCAGTGGGGAGGGTGGTTAGTAACCTTTCAAAGAAAGGCATCCTGATGTAACATGAGAAGGCAACACAGCGTGACTCAGCATGGATCAGATGGTCTAGCCTATGGTTTCTCAACCTCGGCACTATTGACATTGTGAGTCAGATAATTCTTTATCATGGGGACTGTCCTGTGCAATATGGAGTGTATAGCAGCATTTCTGGCTCTACCCATTAGATGCCAGTCCACCTCCCCTTATCCCCAGTTGTGACCACCAAAAGTGTTTCCAGACATTGCCAAATGTCTCCTGGGGGTCAAAATCACCCCCAGTTGAGGAATATGAATGTGAAGTAGTCGGCTGTGCCATGAAGCCACTGAATCAAACACAGCTACAGTTGGACTCCTATTTCACGGGCTCTCTCAATCTGGTAGACATCTCAGCTACAACTGCTGACTCCTTCATTCTTTCTCAGTGTCCTTTGATGGTTGAGATCAAGGATTCGAAGTCAGGAAGACCATGGCTAGTCACTTTGCCTCCTGAGGTGACAGTTTCCTCATCTGTAAACGAGAGTAGCAGCAGGACTCATTGATCTGGTGTGGACAGGAGGAGTGCATGTTAAGGACTTTTCACTGTGGCTGATGTCAAATTAGGCTCTAAGAGTCATGCAGAATTTATAGTGGTAGGGCATTTAGAACTGTCACCTTTTTAGCATCCATCATATCCTCTATTTCAGGGTAAATGAGTGTGTCCAAGATAAGTTTTAAAGGATCTAGAATCAGAAACACCATTTGACCCAGCAATACCATTACTGGGTATATACCCAAAGGAATATAAGTCATTCTACTATAGAGACACATGCACACGTATGTTTATTGCAGTACTAGTTACAATAGCAAAGTCATGGAACCAACCCAAATGCCCACCAATGATAGACCGGATAAAGAAAATGTGGTACATATACACCATGGAGTACTATGCAGCCATAAAAAGGAATAAGATCATGTCCTTTGCAGGGACATGGATGAAGCTGGAAGCCATCATCCTCAGCAAACTAACACAGGAACAGAAGACCAAATATTGCATGTTCTCACTCATAAGTGGGAGTTGAACAATGAGAATACATGGACACAGAGAGGGGAACATCACACACCAGGGCCTGTTGGGGGATGCGGGGCAAGGGGAGGCAACTTAGAAGACGGGTCAATAGCTGCATCAGACCACCGTGGCACACGTATACCTATGTAACCAACCTGCATGTACTGTACATGTATCCTGGAACTTAAAAGCAAAAAAAAAAAAAGCCTTAAACCCCCCCCCCCCAATAGAGACACAGATTTACTCACACACACACACTTGCCACATGAGGTAGCTGGCAAGAGGGTTATATTTTCCACTTAGTGGCCACAGAGGAGCCACACCCTCCATTAGTATTGCCTTTGCTCCACATAAGTCGACTCCTAGCAAAGTGGTTTTAAGGGACCATGGAAGTAAAGGAGGCTGTTTGGATGAAGCACTTCAGTAAGAAGGAAGAATAGGAGCTCCCCCTTCACCCCTCTGTTGAAATCATTTTCTTGGTCTTAATTTATTTTCCTGCCTTTATTTAATGAAAACCTTCTAAGAATACCTTTGAATTTGAACTGGGGTTCATGAAGCACTTGTATGCTATTTACACTCTAACCCAACTGAAAACAGCCTTTTTGGATAATCTTCTTAGGCTTCCAAGAGACCTAACCTTGTATTATAAGCCATCAAGAAAAATGCAAAGAAACAATGACAAAGTCCAGCGTATTTGCAGCCAAACAGCCTGTGCGTGAGAATTCCCCCGTGGTAGCTCACCTGGACTGGGAGGGAGTCTCTCTTGGTCTCAGTGGTCTCAGTGCTCTGGGACCTTGACTCTGTGAGACCTCTCTTTATGCATCCTTCTCTGCTCTGCAAAAAAATGTGTAAGCAGAGTCTGCAGCCAGCCTGAGGCTTTTCTAGAATCAGCTTCACCCATTAGAGATTCAGTTGGACCATAGCTCTGCTGTCCTGTTCAAGTGCCCAGGGTTGCCCAGAAGGAGTGATTGCTACATGGTGGTCACAACTCCTTTGAGTCCAGGATCCCAACCCTGTCCTGCTACCTGCACCAGCCGCTGCTCTGGCTGGGCCTGTCCACAAGTATAAAGAGCAGAGGCCTGAGGAGGTTGGTCCACTCAGCCTGTCAAAGCCTTTTAGAGAGGAATATCCGGGCTCTTTGATGTTGCCCTTGGAGGCCTGGGAGACCTTGCTTCAGTTAATTTTATCTCAAGGCCGATTTGACACTTAGCCAGAAAGTTATTTCCTGTGCATACACATTCTGCTGGGTCCTGTGTGGTCCTCTGATTCACCCAGAGCAGGGGGTGTGTGGACCAGCAGATGCCTCCTGGGAGTTTTCCAAGCCCCTACCACACACATAGCTACTTGTCACCACCAAGCTGTGCAGAATGGATGCTTTTGGGTCAGCTGACAGTGGACCTGTCTCTTGGAGGTAAAAACCCACAGATTTCACGATTCCCTTCCCTTCTCCTGGAGCCAGACTCTCAAAGGCTTCGCAAAAAACGTCCTCAAAGCTGTGGCCCTGCCTTAGGGAGGGAAGGGTGAGATCTCTCAAAGGGGCTGCTCATTTTCTGAAAACGGTCATTATAAAATGTTTCCAAATGGAGTCGGTATTTGATCAAGTCCCTCAACAAAAATAACAGCCACCATGGGAATTTTCAGCTGTCCAGTAGTCAATATCAGGCCTAGATTTTGATTAATTGGTGCCTGACGGCTTTAATAATGTAAACCAAGTGTGCTTCAATTTTCCTTTCCATTTTATTTTCCTCCCAATTTTATTAATTTGAAGGAATTTTGGCGGCCCCTAATGTTTCATTAGAGAGCCACAGAAGTATGAGGTGAAGTCTGGAGGACAGAGCAAATGACTGAGTTTGCGTGGCCCTACCAGCTGTTTCCAGTGGGTGCCCAGCTGCACTCCGCCTGGCTGTGACTCATGCTCAGCAAGGGCCCGAGGTGACGGTGTGTCTCACAAACGTGGCTGCCCTCAGTCCTAGGAAGCATGCAGATCATTCTCAGAGCTGGCCACCTTGGGTTCACACTTTGGCTGGCCGTGGCCCCCTGTGGCCGTGGATCTGAGATGGTCCCCTACCTGCCCTCCTGACTGAGGCTCGGTGCCCAGTCCAGGCTGAGGATTCTGCAGTGCTGGCCCAGCCTCCACTCTCCAGGCCTGGCCACCTCGTGTCCCAAAGTCGTGGAGTCCTTCTGTCCTGCCTTATAAATCCCAACTTGATGCCTCTGGAGTTCTTTATGGTGGTTTCTCTGAGGGCCTGTGGGGATTAGGTCTTAGGCCCCAGCCCTGTGCCCTGTCACAAGTCTCCCTTCCACACTGGGGATTCACTGCAGCAGAGGTGTTTTTGCTCAGTAGAGCATGTTATTAAGGGCAGAAATTACAGCTGGCCATAACTGACTGACTTTTTCCTCCAGTTGTAACATGAGTTTCAAGGAGAGGCTGAAGACTTCACGTAAAAATTCCACCATGTATTAAAAGTTACCAAAAAATAGAATGCTCATCTAATATAATCTGTTGAAGAGATTGCTTATAATTGTCGATTAATCCATCTCCTTCCAAATCAGAGAATATGTAATCATATTGCCCATTTTCAAATGGAAACTCTTTTTTTCCCCTTCTTTGAAGAGTACTTGAGTGACTTTATTTCTGATAGGAATCTCACAGGTTCTGTTTCCATATGGTTGATGAGGCAGACTCTTCTCCTGTTTGCTCAGAATGGGACTATTTCAGCATTTAGCCCTACAAGAGAGGGTCTAAAATGCGTGGCTTATGTGGCATGCCCACCCCAACAGCCACCTGCTGGCTCACACCTCCACCAAGGCACTGCTTCTGCCACTGAGGACAAAGGGCCACACGGCATCTTACCTCTGCTCAATTGAAGGGTCATTGGAAGGCAGGGGAGGAGGCACTGTGTCAGCGTGGTTAGGGATCTGGCGCTGGCATGTGAGTTCCTGGATGTTGTGCCTCATCCTGTTGCCTCTCACCTGGACCATTCCCAAAGTCCCTCCTAACTGGCTTCTGGCTTCCAGCTGGTCCCTGCTTCTGCAACCTTTAAAAAATCTCTGCCTCACCTGTTCCCACTTCAGGCCTTCATGGTTGCTGCTATCACCCCTTTTTACAATATAAGTCCCTCACATGTTCTCATGGCTGGTTCTTTCTCATCATTCTACCCTTGGCTTATGTGTCACCTCCTCAGGGAGACTGTCCTGGCTGACCTCACACCATTGTTCTTCTCTCCCCTCCTTTACTTTCTTCATGACACCTATCAGCATCTCAAATTATTGTATTTGTTTACTTTTTAATTGTGTTTCTCAAGGTGGAAGCTCTGACTTGACACCCGGCACCCCCTGCTATTTCTCCAGAATCTAAACAGAGTCCAACACATAGGTGCTCAATACACACTGTCCTATTGACCATAGAATCATGCTAATATTTGTAGGATCCTTTACAGTTGCCAAAAGAGCTTTTCATGTGTATGCATCTCATGTGTGATTGTGATTGCTTTTCTGCCCACCTTTGACTAGACTGAGGGCCTTGGGTGTGAGGATTTGGTGGCACTTTCTTACGACACTGGAGGTCTCAAATTCAGGATGTATGATATTTATTGCATATCCTTGCAGTCATGGTCCATGCATGTTTTTATATTGTGTGTTTTTTTACTTTATATTATGAGTATTTTCCTGATTGTCCCTATGTATAGTGGCTGAATCACTGCAGAGTGGTTTAGTGGCTGATAGTATCCTTACCTTGTCGAGTGAGGAACTGGGGAAAGAAGGAAGCTGTGGGCTTTTTTAGCCAAGTTGACTTGACATGGCTCTACTTTGCTTCCCTCCATCCAGTGGGAGGTTCAGAGAAGGGGCTGGAAACAGGCCCTGTTAAGCTCTTTCTCTTATCTCCCTCCCGTTTCCCACCTCAGAGCCCTCCCTATCACACAA
This sequence comes from Homo sapiens, assembly GCF_000001405.40. NCBI lineage: Eukaryota > Metazoa > Chordata > Mammalia > Primates > Hominidae > Homo > Homo sapiens. Next base: position 41,263,319 of record NC_000003.12, on the reverse strand, counting down.
ACACTCTCAACACAAAATCAGTGACTCTGTTGTCAAATACACAGCTCACTATGACCCCATATAGCATTCCTAAGGACTGGTTAGTATTTGCTTGGATCAGGTTTGCGTGATAGATACACTGTTCCTCACTTCTTATGACCGAAGCTATCCCACTTTGGTTACCACCCCAAGTATTTTTTCTTGTGAGGAAATAATTCCAGCCACATCCATAGTTGACATCCTCATGCCAGTGCCTTAGAAATCTATGCTCTCGTGCTTTTCTAAGTGCTTGGTTTGGGTCCTCCTGGGCAAAACGGTAGTCCTGATCCTGTATTTCACCAGAACTTACTTTGGGCCAACCTCCCATTTATTTTTATATCTACAAAAAGTCCACATCATAATTTTTTGCCAATTAAAACTGTGTCCTCACTTATTTTGGAACTGGCTGTTGTAGTTAGTTAGTTGGATCAGGCCTAAAAGACTTCCCAAAGCAGCTATATTATATTCAACATTTTAGACTTATGGGACTTAATGGCCAGAAACTGATGTAATTATGAACAGTTTCTAAGCAATAAGGGCATTTTTACTGCCCTGCAGAGAGCTGAGAGAACTGGTTGGCCTAAAATGAAGAAAGGAGGTAGCTATGGATAATTTTCTCTTAGAAAATAATCATGTCTTATGGGGTGAAAAAGAAAAACATTCAAATCCTCCGCATGTTACTTCTGTAGCCTCTAGACTTGGCAGGTGCCCACAGGTACAGAGAGGAGTTTGGGCAAGAGAGGTGAATGGAGGTGTCAGGCTAAGTTAAGGGAACATACAGACCCCAGGAGGAGGAAATAAAGGTCAAGAGAAAGAAGAAAGTCCTTCAACACTGCTTTGCTCTCACCAAAGTGTGCCCTTTGATCATTCAAACGCTAGCTTACCATCATCCTCCTTTGCACGCTGCATCTCCAAATCTGGAAATGTCAGTGGAAAGGAGCAGTGTTCCTTACTTTGACCCCAGTTTGAGAGGCTTCTGTCTTAAATACAGGCCAAGCTATTTCCTTGGGAACCTGGGCCCCTGGAAGCTGGGACTAGCTCCCCCCATGGCAGAATGTCAGCCTCCTCACTACTCATGGAAATGTCAACTCCCGGCTTCCCCAGTTGGACACCGGCCCTGTCTCTCGCCTGGTGCTCCTGCAGCCACACCCTTCATGGGGAGAGGCAAAGGGCAACATGGTGACTGGGGCAGGAAGCAATGGAGGGAAGGCAGAGCAACAATGGGGTGGGATGCAGGAGAGAGCTGCCCAATCTGGGCCTCCATCCCAACTCCACTACTAATCACCGCCTCACCCTGTCTCTAACGTGTGATCATGGAAGATGTTCCTCATAGGGTCACTGTGAAGAGAACATGAGATAATGGCCCACAGTGGCTACCCAGCAAACTGTTGATTCACTTCTCATCACCAGCAAAGACGGACCTCCATCTAAGAGCGCCAGGAGAGATGTGCAAAGCCTTTGGTAGCCAAGCCTGAAAGAAGTTGCCAAAAGTATGGTGCTCTCCATATCAGGAACAGCTTACTGGACAGTACACAGGATCCACAGACTCCTTTGGTCAAGAGCAACAACTTCCATTTCCATCTGGGAGAGAGATTCTGCGGTTCCTGCTTTGCCTGGAAATGATGAGGATGAGCAACAATGACTGGGGGAGCAAAGGGCGCTATGCAATTTACAAGAGATGGCCGGCAGAGCAGTGCAAGCCATTTATACAAGATAACACAACATGTAGGCAGTGGGGCTAGAAACACGGCTTAGTCAGTTGCTTACTTTTTTAAATCAGCCAATCAGCCAACAACTTTGCCAGGTACTTAGTGGCAGATGTGAAGATGCCGTGGTCTCAAGGGATGAGTGTGGATCTTGAAGTTGAGGGGACTGGGTTAAATCTCAGTGCCACTGCTTGCTGGCTAGCTGACCTTGGACAAGTCACATGAGCCCTCCTAGCCTTCATTTTCTCATCTGTAAAGTGAGCACAGTTAATACTTGTTTTTCAAGTTGTCAAAAAGAAAATTATATGTTTGAAAGCAGTTAACTCTATTCCTGAATATAGTAGGTGCTCAGAAATGTTAATTTCCTTTCTTGACGCAAATCCCAAGCCGTTTTACTCCAAGGCTTTTTACTTATTTAATCCTATAGGTAAAAGTGAATCCAACAGTTTCTACCTGAAATCTGGGTTTTGTCAACTTTGCCCCCGCACATCTACTAATGCCCTGTGTACTCCCCTCTCCTACCCGGTTTGTCTGGAGTACACCACATGGAGACTCATCGCTGCCCTTGAACAAGAGGTCATCTGCTGTTTTCTTCCTTTCCTCTCCCAGCTTCCTTCACCTTGAGGAATCACTGTATTCCAGATGCCACCACTTCCTCAGGCCTCAGTATGCTTGGGGCCTCCCAGTGAGCTAAAGCAAAGCTGTGCTTCATGCAGAGGGTGACAGACCGCCTCACATAGTGGTCCTCCTGGACAGAAACATGGTGCTGCTTATGCTCCAGTACTGTTCCAGGTGTTTAGTGCAATATCTCTGTCACCCTCCAGAGAATCTGCATTCATGGGGACCTGGGTCAAATCTAGGGGAGCAAGCCTTTGTGACTGGGCCTACCTCTTCTGTAAGACCCTGCCTCTTCCCTTGAGTTCCAACTGTTACCCCCTTACCCTTGGTGATCAGCAGATGCACTGATGGGAATCCTTAGGGACACCTCTAGATCTCTTTCAGATGATCCCCCGCTTACTAATCATGGACAGGGCCTCACTTGCTTTTGCTAAGGTACATAAAGTTTCCAAATGGACTCCAGGGAAGGCACGGATGCTGTGAGGCAGCTGGAGGCCATGCATGAAAATTATTCCATTCAGTCTCAGATTTACTCAGCATCCCATGGAAGGTGTGATGAGCATATGGGCCTGGATGCAGAGCAGGATGTGTTAATATGGACTTGCTTTAATCTGAATATGAAAGGTGAGACCCTGGCAGCAGCTCAGGATGCTTCTGGAAGGACCCAGAATGCACACTGCAACACCAGGTAGAAAATGAAGGCGGGCCTGCCAGATTGCATCATGCCGACGAGAGGTTCTCCTCCAGATTCCATCCTGGCATCAGGTGGCAAGAGGGTGGCCTGTCTCTATGAGCAGTTGGGAGAAATGGCTTTGAAGTAGCATGAAAACCCCAGCTGAAGAGAAGACAAAGTGTACATTAAGAGAACAAAATGAAGGGGCTGGATGGATAGGTTTATTTTTGAAATTTAAACTCTCTGAAGTAAAGTTATCATAGTTACCTGCTTGTTTTTACTTGTATTTATGAGATCTGAAGGCCACAGAATTAAAATAATCCTCCCCTGTGTGAAGTGTGTGTCTGTAATAACAAGCACCAAGAAGCACCTGGGCTGCTCTCACTGTGTCAGCTTCATCTCCTGATATTTTTTTTCTAGTCTGTCAGTGTTGCCTGGGCCTGTTGAGAGGAACTCATGATTAGAAAGCAAAAGTTAACTGGACTTCCTTTTGCCACACACATTCAAGATCACTACAGATATTGACATATATTATTGCACACTCATAAACAAAGTACCACAGCATGCCCATACCTTACTCAGTTACAGCCACATATCTCTCCACACCAAAAAACATTTACAAATACAGAAGGCTGCACTGGAGCATTTTACAAGCTTTAGGAGGAGGATGATGCTGTGAGTCATATTTGTGAGCATAAATTCCTGATGTGCCACGGTGATAGAAAATAGAAGTTCTGGTTTGCTTGTTTTTTAAGGCCTTAGATGAGGAGTATAGGCACCAGTCTTAGATTTGTCCCTCAATGGCCACTTTGCCTTGGGCAAGCCATTGTTTTCTCTGTTCTCACATCCTCTCCTGCAAACTGAAGAGGCTGCCAACTTCAGGGTTCTGCCATTATCAGGGGGCATAGGATGGCTCCACTTGCTAGTTTGTATTTGGGGAAGCTGAAATCCAGAGAAGAGCCAACCCAAACTGTGTACTGCAGGGTGTTGTGTTTAAAACCACTACTTTACAATTCATGAGCCTAGTGGAGAATTTGAAGATGATTCTGTAGGACACTACCATCTCCTTTCAATATTTGGGTGAATGCTGGATTGACACAGTGCCATGTTAAAGTGACCATAGCAGAGTTTGCATAAAATTATGTATTTATCCCAAGTGTGTTATCTGATTTTATATATATATATATACACATATATACATATACATATATGTATATATATCATCAGATGTATATACACATATACATATACATATATGTGTGTATACGTATATATACACATAGATATGTATATATGTATACATATGTATATATGTATATCTGTATATATATACACATATATGTATATATATATATTCAACAGATGTAGAGGAATTGTCTTTCCAAGTTTATCTTAATTCTAAGCTCAAATTCCCAATTATTTTATGATTTTTCCTTTAAAGACCCCATGTTTTGAAAATTACCTGTCTACCAGGTGAAATTTATGTATTTAGTATAATTCATGTTTCCATTTTGATTGATTTTAGCCATTTAGCTACCAGGCAGATGTCTTAGCAGCATGAGATAATGGCTGGCACTCCAGGTTTGGCTGATATATTTTCATCATAAAGCAGAGAAATGTGAGGCAGGCATGACTTTGTTTGCAGGAAATGGATGCCTGCCATTTGATGTTTTGAAATATTGAAATCCACTCATGGACTCACAGGTCCAGGAACCTCTGCTATAGTACATTATTGCAAAATAAAATTGAGTTAGCCTGTCTTGGCTAACTGACTGCCAGTAATGAAAATGTTAACTTTGGGAAGAAGGTATTGTGCTTACACTCTTCGCTGGCGTTCTCTTGCATTATTTTCTTAGTGTCGCTGGAATACTCCCTCTTGACGTCTGTAATCACAGCCAGGATAAGTTCACCAATAGTCTCTTAGTCATGAATTCAGCATCACAGTAGACAAGGGTCACTTTGACTCCTACTTCCTTCAAAATGGAGAGGAGATTTCTTTGTGGGTTTCAGTTTGCACAAAACATTCTCTGCCTAAGTAGCTCAAAAGAGGAGTAGGTGGGATGACTTTTGAGTGGACCCATAATTTGGTTTTTGAAGAAAATTAAGGTACTGAGAAAATAGAAGGTTAAAGGCCACATAGTCCAGCAGATACAGTGGAATCTAATGTTTCTAAAAGAGGGCTGGTTCCTATCTTAATTTACAACCTTCAGCGGCCTAAGAGGACACTCAACTCTGGGAGACAGAAGCAGTCCACTCCCAAGGATCATTCATTTCAGAGCCCCTTGAAATCCTCTTATCACGGGCATTACCAGCTATAGAAAATGGTTTGGTATCATAGTATACAATAATTTAGCAAGGTAAATTCAAACTCTTATTGTTTCAAAAATTACTCAGATTTATTTTTTACTAATATCTCATTCTAAAAATCAAATCAGACTCTATAAGTCTGATTGCATTCCAAGTAATGCATGACGACTTCCTTGTTTTTCCATTTCACTGTTGAAGGACAGCTTGGTTGCATCTACATTTTAGTGATTATGAATAAAAGTGTGAAGGATTTTGAATACAGGTTTTTGTGTGGACATAAGTTTTCAATTCACTTGGGTAAATATCCAAGAGTGCAATTGTTTGGCCATATGGTAGGACTATGTTTAATTTTTTTTTTTTTTTTTGAGACATAGTCTCACCCTGTCACCCAGGCTAGAGTGCAGTTGCTTGATCATGGCTCACTGAAGCCTTGACCTCCCAGGCTCAAGCGATACTTCCATTTCAGCCTCCCAAGTAGCTGGGACCAGGTGTGCACCACCACACCCAGCTAATTATTATTTATTTCGTTGCAGAGATGAGGTCTCACTATGTTGCTGGGGCTGGTCTTGAACTCCTGGGCTCAAGTGATTCACCTGCCTTAGCCTCCCTAAGTTTTGGGATTACAGGTGTTAGCCACTGTGTCTGGCCTGTATGTTTAGTTTTATAAAGAACTGCCAAATCGTCTTCCAAAGCACTGTTCCATCTTGCATTCACATCAGCAATAAATGAGAACTGCTGTTATTCTTCATCCCTACCAACATTGTTATTGTCAGTGTTATGAATTTTAGCCATTCTAATAGGTATTGCACTGCAGTTTTAATATGCATTTCCCTAATGACAAACAACGTTGAGTTATCTTTTCTTATTTGCCACCCATATATCTTCTTTCTGATGTGTCTATTCAGATTTTCTACCCATTTTAAAAACTAGGCTGGTCGTTCTCTTATTATTGAATTTGACGAGTTCTTTTTAGCTGGGCATGGTGGCCTCCATCTGTAATCCCAGCCAAGGTGAGAACCAAGAGGCCAAGCAAGAAGATTGCTTGAGCCCAGGAGTATGAGGTTACAGTAAACCATGATCACACCACTGCACTCCAGCCTGGGCAACAGAGACCCTCTTTCTAAAAATAATATTTTTAAAGAGTTACTTTTATGTTCTTGATATAAGTCCTTTATCAGATATGTAAGTTGCAAATATTTTCTCCAAGTCTATGGCATATCTTTTCATTCTCTTATGTTTTCAAAAAGTAAAGTTTTTAACATTGACGAAGTCCAATTTATAATTTTTTTAAGGGATTATGTTTTTATGTTAAAAACTCATCACCAAATCTAAGGTCACAGAATTTCTTCCATATTTTCTTCTAGAAGTTATATAGTTTTTACATTTTACATTTAGATCCATCATCCATTTAAAATTACATTTTATATAAGATGTAAAATATATGTCTAGGTTGATGTTTATGCATATGCGCATCCATTTGTTCTAGCACTGCTTTTTCAAAACACTGTTCTTCCCTCCTTGAATTAACTGCACCTCTGTCAAAATTTTAACAATAATTTGTGTAGTTCTGTTTCTGGGCTCTGTTGTCTATTCCATTATCTGTGTGTCTGACCTTCTGCCAGTACCACATTGTCATGGTTGCTGGAATCATGTAGTGCCTCTTAAAGTTGGGTAGTATGATGGCTAAATTTTATTCTGCTTTTTCAAAATTATTTTACCTGTTCTGGCTCCTTTGCCTTTCCATTGCAAATTTTAGAGTCAGTTATTCTTCACTTGATCTTAGCCAAAAGGCCAAGAAGCAATAGACTCAGCTATTCTATATTACAAAGATTTCTGCTGAGATTTTGATAGGAATTTCATTAGACCTATATTTTGGAAGAAATTTTTATTATATTGAGCCTTCCAATCCTTGAATATTGTGTATCCATTTATTTATTTTCTTTCGTCAGCATTTTACAGTTTTTACTCATAGAGATCCTGATATATTTTATCAGATTTATACCTTTGGAATTTGTCAGGACTTGCCTTAAAGACCCAGCAGATGGTATATTTTGGAAATTTTCCATATGCACTTGAAAAGAATATATATTCTGCAGTTTTTAGATGATTTTTTATATAAGTGAATTAAGTCAATTCTGTTACTCTTGTTGTATAGAACCTGTGTGTCCCCTCTGGTTTCTGTATGCACATTGCTGGAAGAGATTGAAAAGTATGTCACCATGATTGTGGATTTATGTAATTCTCACTTTAATTCTGTCATTTTTATTTGTTTGTTTTATATATTTTGAGGCTGTGATCAGGAGCACACAAATTTAGAATTGCTGTATCTTCCTGGCCAATTTATTTTCTTATAAATATGAAATGTCCCTCCTTACCTCTAGTTACGATTATAGCCTTAACGTCTACTTTATCTGGTATTAGCTATGCCAACTTTCTTGGGTTACTGTTAGCATGTCATATCTTTTTCCATCCTTTAACCATCAACTGTTTGGTGCCCTTATTTATTTATTTTTTGAGATGGAGTTTCGCTCTTGTTGCCCAAGCTGGAGTGCAATGGCACGATCTCAGCTCACTGCAACCTCCGCCTCCCGGGTTCAAGTGATTCTCCTGCCTCGGCCTCCCAAGTAGCTGGGATTATAGGCTTGTGCCACCATGCCCAGCTAATTTTTTTTATTTTTAGTAGAAACGGGGTTTCACCGTGTCAGCCAGGCTGGTCTCAAACTCCTGACCTTAGGTGATCCACCCACCTCGGCCTCCCAAAGTGCTGGGATTACAGGCATGAGCCACCGCGCCTGGCCTTGGTGCCCTTATATTTAAAATATATTTGTTATAAGTACTGTGTGTGTGTGTGTGTGTGTGTGTGTGTGTAGCCATAATTTATATATTACAGATGTATATAATTATATATAAGAGATATGTTTTATTTTGTTTATATACAGCTTGAAATCTTTTACTTGGAGCATTTGGTAAATCTACATTTAATGTAAGTATTGATATTTTAGGGCCTACATTTACCACATTCCTCTTAATGTTTGCTCTTGTTTTCTTCCCAGTTTGGGTTTGTTTTGCTCCTTTTTTTCCTAGTTTCTTCTTTTTTTTCTTTTCTTTTTTTTTTGAGATGGAGTCTCGCTCTGTCACGCAGGCTGGAGTGCAGTGGCATGATCTCTGCTCAGTGTAACCTCTGCCTCCTGGGTTCAAGCAATTCTCCTGCCTCAGCCTCCTGAGTAGCTGGGATTTACAAGCACCCTCCACCACGCCTGGCTAATTTTTCTATTTTTAGTAGAGACAGGGTTTCACCATGTTGGCCAGGCTGGTCTCAATCTCCTGACCTCAAGTTATCCGCCCTCCTCAGCCTCCCAAAGGGCTGGGATTACAGGTGTGAGCCACCGCGCCCGGCCCTTTTTTCCTAGTTCCTTGATGTAGAAGCTTAAATTATTGATTGATTAGGAACATTTCTTCTTTCCTAAAATAAGTATTTAGTACTATAGATTTCCCTCTAAGCATTGCTTTAGCCCCCTTCCAGATGCTGACATGTTGTATCAAGGTCATTTTCATTCAGCTAAGATTATTTTCTAATTTTTCTTGGAATGTCCTCTTTAACCCTTGGATTATTTAGGAGTGTGCTGTTTAATTCCAAGTGATTGAAAATATTCCTGTTATCTTGGTTATTAATTGCTAGTTTAATTCCATATGGTCAGAGAATATATTTTATATGGTTTCAATTTTTTTAAATGTGTTAAGATACGTTTTATGACACAGAATACTGTATACATTTGTAAGTATTCCTGGATTCTTGCAATATATGTGAATACTGTTGTTGATGGGATCAGTGATCTACAAATGTCAATAGGATTCATGTGGTTGATGGGGTTCCTCAGTTCTTCTGTATCCGTGCTGATTTTTGTCTACTTATCCTGTTTCTTATCATGAGAGGAGTTTTGAAATCTCCAACTACGATTGTGGATTTATCTGTTTTCCTTTTCAGTTGTATCAGTTTTTGCTTTCTGTATGTGTAATTTCTACTGTTAGATGTATACACATTTATTGTTATGTCTTCTTGGTTACAAAACCCTTTAATCAAAATATGTCCCTGGTAATTTTCTTTGCTCTGAAGTCTACTTTGCCTGACATTACTATAGCCACTCTAGCTTTCTTTTGATTTATGTGTGCATGGTATATCTTTTTTCATCCTCTTACTTTAAACCACTATCTCATTATATTTGAATTAAGATTCTTACACACAATAGATGGTTGGATCATTTCTAAAAATCATTCAGGAGATTTCTTACTTGCTGCATTTAGATCATTTACATTTAATGTAATTCTTGGTATGTTACAATGTAGTTTGCCTTTTTATTTGATTTCTGATTAGGTTCAGTGTTTTTATTTCCTCACTTTTCCTTTTCCGGCTTTCTTTTAAGCTATTTGAACATTTTTAATATTAAATTTTAATTTATCTGTTGTGGGTTTTTTTTTAAATTACATCTCTTTGTATAATTTTTTTAAGTGGTTGCTCTTGGAGTTATAAAATACTTAACTTTTTAGAGTCTACTTATGACAATATTTTACCACTTCAAATGGAACATAAAAGCCTTACTACCATATAGGTTCCTTTGCTCTCCCCCATCTTATTATGTTCCAGCTGTCTTATATGTTACATCTACATATGTTGAAAACCCCATCAATACAATATTATATGTATTTTTTCTTTTCTACTATTAAACAGCTTTTAAAGAAAGATAATATCCTGTTATATTTACCATTTTTATTGCTCTTCCTTCATTCCTGATGTTCCAAGTTTCCTTCTGGTGTTATTTGCTTTCTCTCTGAAGAACTTCCTTTAGTAAATTTTTTATAGCAGCTCTGCTTCTATTAGTTTTCATTCATCTGAAAATATCTTTATTTCACCTTCATTCCTAAATAATATTTTGAAACTATGATATCATTTCTGAATGATATCTTCTAGGTATATAACTTTAGTTTGGTAGTTCATTTCATTTAGCATCTTAAAATCTAATGGCCTCAGTAGTTTCAGATGAGAAATTCACAATAATTCAAATTATTGTTACCCTATAAGTAATATATCATTTTTTTTTCTGCCCACTTTCAACATCCTTTGTCTTCAGCAAGTTTGATTTTGATGGATTTGGTTATGGATTTCTTTGGGTTTAATCTTGTTTGGGATTTACTGTTTCTTGAATCTGTAGATTTATTTCTTTGAGCATGTTTTGGAATAGTTTTAGTCATGATTTCTTCAGATACTTTTTCATTCATTTATTCTCTGTCCTCTCATTCTGGAACTCCAATGACAAAAACTTATTGCTATTGTCTCATAGGTCCCTGAGGTGCTGCTCATTTGTGTTCTCAATCTTTTTTTTTTTTTTTTTTCAATCTCTGCTGCTGAGATTGGATAATTTCTATTGATCTATCTTCTTCAGGTTCACTGACTCATTCCTTTTATTGTCTCCATTCTGCTATTGAGTCTATCCAGTGATGACTTTAAATTTAAATTTGTGGTTATTATGTTTTTAGTTAGAAAATTCTCATTTGGTTCTTCTTTGCTATATTCTCCTTTTTTACTGATATATTCTATTGTAATACTTGTTTCAAGAGTGTTAGTGATTGTTTTTAGCATTTTTATAATAGCACTTTGAAGTCTTTGTCAGATAATTCCAACATATGTCATTTTGTTTATTGTCCTCTGTTGATTGTCTTTTTTCATGTCAGCTGAGATTTTATGGTTGCTTTTGCCAAGTAATTTTGAATTGTATCCTGGTCATTAAAAATATTACATTATAAGACCCTGTCTTGTTAAATACTACAGAGAATATTGATATTTTTGTTTTAGCAAGCAATCATGCTGATTAGGTTCAGGCTGCAGGTTGGAATTGTAATTTCAGTGTCATATTGGTTTCACAGGTTTTGCAGTGCTATGTGCATCTATCTGGTGTGTCCCTCCCCAGGGGTCAGTCTGGGATGTGAGCAGAGATATATTTGTTACCTCAGTTCTTCAATTCTGGGGCATGCTATTGGGATCGGTTCCATGCATACACAGGTTGGGGGTGAGGCCAAGAGTTCATAAACAGTTTTATGGAGTAACTTTACTAAGCTCTTCTTGATTCATTCTCTCCCCAGTACTTTCTGGTTCTCTGGGTTTCCCATTTTTTATCTGGCCTAAAACTGCCTAGTTCCATGATTATGCAACATCCAGGCCAAACACTAGGAGAACAGAGAAAGAATAGAGATCTGGTTGCAGGCTCCTCTTGCTGGCTATTGTTGCTGCCACCTCTGTCCCCACTACCACTGCTGCCATCACAGAATGGCCTGGGACACAAGAGGATGGAGAAAAAAGAGCAAAGCAATCTTGAGGGGGTTTCATCTACTCTCTAGGGTTTTGGGGATTTCCCTTCTCTATTCCTCAAGCTGGGTTTCTTCTAGGGCTTTTGGGGTTTGGGTTTGTTGCATCCAGGCTAAGAAAGAAGTGGTAAACTCACTGCCAGTTCAGTGGTGCTTTGAATTCAGTGTCCTCTCCTATTTACCTGTTGCTGTTTGCTTTTCAGTGTTCTGAAATAGCTGCGCTGTAGATTTGCATCCAGAGGGAGAGAAAGAGTGTCATGTGTTTTCTCTGTCTTACGCAGAACTGGAACCTCTGATTGATATAATTTAAAATTTTTATTTTTGAATTAACTCATCCTTATATACAGAACAACAGCTGATGTTATGAATAAGAGTCAGGTAAATGGCCAAACCACGTAGTTTTCAATTGGCGTTGTTTATGTCTACATTTATGTCAGCTACACATGATACCATTTTGGCATCTTCCTTTGATCACATAACTGTCACTGTAGATTTCTATTTGCACCTTCTAACCAGCCTTGTGGATGAAAGTCATCTTCTGATTTATTTGCAACTTGTGGGTGATTTCCTGGGAGCACAGCCTCTGCACACAATCTCATGGCAGGGCTGGTCGGGGCACTGAGCCTGGATGTAGTCAGCTGACCTGTTTGAGGCAGTTCTGAGAAAAATGAAGTGGGAATCCTCACTGAAGACGCCTGATGGGGAGTGTACCTTCAGTGTAAGTTTATGCATACTTCAGACATAATTGAACTACAGCTGGCATTTTTAAGCAGTAGTCTTTTGAACACATCAAGTTGGGTGCAATTTCAGAACAAATTTACATGCAGCTCTTCCGAGATGCAAATCTTTGCAGAAATCACACCTGATGCAGTTGAACTGGCAGCTGTTCTCTGGCATACTCAGGAAGGTGGGAGAGGATCTCAGTGGAGGTGCGAATGCATTCATATATAATTCAGAGTTCATGTTAATGTTTAGTTACCCCTGTGACCTATCATGAGTGGTTGATTAAAAAATGTTGAGCCTCTTAACTAAGGAGACAATAATCCAGCCTCGGTTGCTGTGATCAAAGTCAGCTGAAGCCATCCTGGTTCCACCTTCGTGGTGGGGAGACAGTCTGGCTCCGTGTGGACTCCTGTAGCAGCCCCTTAATTTCAGCTTTGGTTACCTCATAAATAAAACATGATATATACTTACCTTGTAAGGTAGGCTGTTGAGAAGATTAAATGAGAAAACATATAGGAAACAGCATTCTGAAATGTAAAGTGCCATACAAGCGTTTATTACAAGAAATTTTAAACTAACAAAGATAACAATAGGAGGCAACGGTGAATTAAGAGAAGCAAGTCTAATAGTAGAATCAAAGCCTTCTCTTCTCTGCCTTTCAGGACATGGACTCATTTTATGGAGGGTCTGAATTGTGAGGTCTCTGGGTGGGTCTAGAATTGTGGGTCTAGATAAATCCCCACCTGAGCCTATTCTAGCCCTGAGAGTGTATGATTCTGCAAATAGGTGCTACAGAGTCAGGCATGCCCAAGTGTTTTTCTCATAGGACTGTGGCGATTAGCATGGGCACACTTCCTGGGGTTTAGTTATTAATGCCTCTCTCCCAGGTCCCCAGGCACCTTCTTGGCATCCTTCTATCCACGTGAAAGAGATCATGTTGGGCTGAGAGCCCCAAAGACAGATTTCCAGTTGCTAGCCAGGCCTCTTGAGTCCCAGCACAGAAAAAGTAGTTTTGCTTTAATTGGAAAGTTCAGGTTCCCAGACACAAACTCTCCTGAGAGATCCGCAGGAGGCTCCCTGCCCTGAACTGGCCGTCTTCTGCCCCAGCAGACTGCCTTGTCCCCTCCCCTGAGGACCACCAGTGTCCTGCCTCTTTCCCCTTGGTCAGCAACACTCTGTGGGGGAGGTTACGCATGGGGGTTACAGACAAGCCCAGGGGACACCCCCCAGTGCCTTAGGCAGCCACAGCACCATGCAGGCCTGATACTCAGGGTGCCCATCCAACAGGGCATGAGTCAGGGACGGGTCAGCTGACCACTGTCTTCTTCCTCCTGCCCTTGCAGATCACCTCCAATGAGAAGCACTTGGAGAGCCTCAAGAATGCAGGCAGCCTCCTGCGGGCTCTGGAGCGGCTGGCCCCTGGGAGTGGGTAAGTGGGACCCAGGAGGATCAGCAGTCTGCTCTAGATCAGCACACACTCTCAGCCATTCCTTTCTCCACTCCTCCCACTCATCTCCCTCCACACCAGGGACTACCACCTTCCAGCCCATCACTGTCCACTGAGATCCTTCCCAGTGTGGGAAGGGAAGCTCTGCCACTCCACACACTGGGAATCCCCAGTTATGGTGGGGAAAGTGAGGGGACAGGAATCAACAGGGGGAGAGAAAGTCTTAGTCCTGCCAGGGGAAACAATATTCCCACCTTGAGGCCCCTGAAGAGGTTGAGTGGATGACCAAGTGGGAGATGCAAGGAACCTCATGAGAAAGGCAGCCCCTGGCCTGTGCACACATGCCCCCATCAGCAGCCCAGCCAGAGGCATCCTCATCACCACCTTGTGGAGGACTCAAGGCCCAGGCAGGGCTGGGGCAAATGTGACAGCTTAGCCTGCTCTGCTGCACCAGGTTACCTTCCTCAGCCAGAAGTTCAGAGGGACCACACAGAACTGCGTATTTGACACCCGGAAGCTGACAGCATGGGGTTAGGCTAGCCTCCCAGTCCTTGGCTGTACAGTCAGTGTGTCTAGAACATCCTAGAAGTGAGTTCCACAGACCGGAGATAGGCCTATCACCCAGGAGCATGTTACATGCTGTAAAAGCAGAAGGAGCTGGCATCCCAGCCAGCCCCACAGAGACGCTGATGCTCAGTGGAACATTTCCCCACCCTGGGGAGAAGGACCCGCCTCCTATGGGGTGCCTGACCTTCACTGGACCTGGAATGCTGTCTGCCATTTCCTGGTAGATTCTGTTTTTAGAACTACATGTTTCTATGAAATCTGCTTCCTGGTGTGCTTTGGGTTTGTTATTAATTTGAAGAAAAATAAGTGGCTGAAGCATTGCTAAGAAGGTGAGTTTGCAGAGAAGGCTCAATTCCAATCAGCCTTTTGTATTTAATCCTGGATAGGTGAGAGGGGAGGATACCATCCTTTTTAGCCTAACCCTACCCCTTTTGTCTTCAGCATAAACCATAGAAGTAAGTTCGTATTCATGGTTTTCTGTGAGGTGAGGGGCAGGAGAGACTGACTTTCCTGCAAAAAGCCCCTTCACACCTTGCTGAGCCCCTGCCATGTAAGGTGTGAACAGTGACTCCCTGGACTGGCCTATAGGCCTCCTGTAAGACTATTTTGAGGAGCACATGCCATCGGATCCTGGCCTTGTGCAAAATGCCATTATAGAGCCAGCTACAGAGATTTATGCCGAGGGCAGAGAGAGAGCCACAGAGGAGTGGAGTTTGACAGACAGCTCTAGAGAGCCCCTTCGCTCTAGGCACCTGCGCTATGGGTCTCCTCATAGTAGGGACCTATAGCTGCCTTTTAGCCAAAAATAGCACATCCTCATGCTGGACCCAAATTTGGACCAAATGTGTCAAAACAAGGTTCAGTGGTCCATGAGGCTGGTGGTCTGTCCTGCACCCACACTCAGTACTCCAGCATCTAAAACGTCTACACCAGACAGATCTTGTGTTGGGCGGGGAAGTTGCTCCTGCAAAGTTCTCGTTTGGACTTTGTTCAGATTGCCTTACCAGAAAGGGTTTTCTTGTCAACCAAGAATGAGTGGATGGCATTGTTCTCAGTTCCGATGCTGCTCTGCCAGTAGTTTGTCCTTTCCAGCCTCACTGGGCCTGCTGTGTGCGGGGGCGCAGCATGGCCCCACTAGTCTAGCCTAGACTCAGCCAGGGGTGGGCCAAGTTCAAACGCATTCCTTCTGTCACACAGGGGCTTTGATGCGCAGAGCAGGAATGCATGGAACGGTCTCCTGGTCATGGCCCCATCCCACTGCCACCCACATCTTTTATGCAGGGCCCCACCCCCACCCATTTATTTGGTACCAGCTCTATTTCTGTGCAGTCAAGAGTGTGCCACGAGCTAATTTTACACTTCAAGGGTCACTGGTTTCAGTCTTTTCTTTGCTAGCAGTTGTTAAACATAGTTTTAAATGTGTCTCAAACAATTTGCTCCAGTAAAAAAGTTCCCGTTTTAAGCTCTTAATTGCACATCCACACCTATAAGAGTAAGAAAGCTCCTGGCTGATTGGCTGGAAAGGGCAATGGAGCAGGGAGGGTCAGTGTGTGGAGTGGGTCTGGGACACATAAGTCAGCTCCAGGCAGGAGCCAGGCAGGCCCACTGAAGGCCCCAGGCCTGGTAGAGTCTGGCTGCCTACCACTCACTGGCAGTGTTTCTGGCAGAGGTGGCTCAGATAGTGAGTGGTGGCTGGGGCTGGGAGCTCAGAAATAGCTCAGGGTGCTGGCATGGCCAATTCTGAACCCCACCAGGACTGTGGGCCAGGATTTCCTGCTTCTGCTTCCCAAGAGGATGCTGCAGCTGGTCCACCAGATACTCGGGTGCAAAAGAGGCTGGCCCCTTTGAAAGGGGGGAGCACTTTACCTTAGAGATGCCTATTAAGTGTACCTACTTTGGTTTTTCTTACAGTTCATTTGCCGACAGTGCGGTGGCTCCCTTGGCCCTGGAAATCCTCCAAGCCGTTGGGCACTAGGCAAGAAGGTGCTTAGCACAAGCCCGCCCTGTGGCCCCAGCCCTCGGATGCATAAGCAAGGTCAGCTCCCAGACACCTTTGCCACATCCCCTCACAGCTGTCTTTGGACCTAATAAAGTCAGCTTAACCCAGAACCTGGTGGCCCAAGTGCTCACTAACCCCAGGGCCTAGAAAACTGACTCAGAATGGACTTCCTTGGTTCCTGTGGAATGCATCTGGGAAGCCCAGGTTTGTTAGCTGTTCTCAGAAATGTTCTTTCCCTCTCTGTGTGGGCCAGGTGGGCTAAGGTTAGCACTGCCTGTGGTAATAAAGCAGTGGATGCAAAGCACAGTCCTCAGCCTGCCAGCATCTGTGAGCATCTCTCCTCTCCTCAGGGAAGAGCGGAAGGGCGGGACGAGGCAGGAATGCTCTCCCAACCGCAGCTCCAGAGCAAGCCTTTGGAAGCTAATCTCTGAGCCTCTTGTCTTCTCCCCTTTTACCTGCCTGGCTTTTGTTCATTTCGGGAGCAAACTGATTCCACGAATCCTGGGGAGGACTGGGTAAGACTCACTGACCAGCACAGATAGTGAAAAGTTTGCCTAAAGGAATGCAAAATGCTCAAGAACACTGGCTTCCTTGAAGGTTTGCCCATCTAAATGGGATGATGGCATCAGGGTAGAATCATTTCCCCCAACTTCTGCCACCTAATCCCATGTCTGCCTCATGTTCCCTCACGTATGTTTAGAACCTCCTATGTAAGAGTCAGTCAAGCCCATGGCAATATTGGGTGGATACTGTGGAAGTATGCTGGGACTGCTGTACTGGGCAGGCTTACTCTTGAATCTGGACTGGGTAGGTAGGCGTGGGCCCTGGGCAGCTCCAACCAGATGGGTAAGTTGAGGTCATGCCTTGGCCTTTCTGGGGCCTCGTTTTCCCCCATCTGCAAAATGAAAAGGCTACACTAAATCAGTGGCTGCCAACCCTTTTCCCAGCTCCAATGCTCTGGTGCTTCTTCTTAGGGGATTTGCCTTCTAACACTGCCCAGATGGATTCTGTCCCAGGCAGTGGCCATGTTGGCCCATAGATGGCCGCATCTACTGCATGTCAGGAAGCTGGTCATGCTGTCACCAACAGCCCCTCTGACACAGTAACCTGGGTAGTTTGACAGTTTATATTTGACATTACCTTTGATGCAGTTGTGCACAGAACTGTTGTTTTCATTGTAAAGCATTTCATTGCAGCCCAGCCAGAAGCATCCTCATCAGTACCTCATTACTTAATGAGGTTCTTGGGTCAGTTCTGTAAACACAGGGCAGACGTCGTCCTCGTCCCTGTGTTATAGTTCAGATATAGTTTCATTGCCTTACAATGAACACAGTTCTGTGCACAACTGCATCAAAGGGAATGTCAATTACCTTATGTAATCCCCACCACAACCTGCGAAGCAAGCCGCCTCAGTTTCATTTCATTGATGAGAAAACAGACTCAGAGGAGCCGTTTCCACTTGCTCAAGGACCCACAGCTTGGCTGAACCCAGGACTCTGACTCCATACCCTGTGTTCATCCCCTAATGGGGTGCACAAAGCTTGGGCTGTGACTAATTGGGATATGAGAGTGTGCCCTCTAAGAGTGTGACCCAGGAACAGGCAGCTTCATTTGACCTCACATGGCCTACTTAGTGCCCACGGTGAGGAGGCTTCACTATTTAAAGTCCTCCTGGGTGGTGTGCTCATCTCCAGCTGTGTGTGCCCATGTGGCCCTGGCCTGGCTGGTTTTGCCTGCACTTCTGGGATTGAGTGGGGAGTACTTGATGGAGCAGCCAGAGGCTTGGTTCTCAGCTCCAGTGGCTTTGCCTGCTGGATACAGGAACAGGCTGAGGTCTGTTTTCTTTGCCGTCTCCCTTTAGTTCTTGGGTGGGGGTAACGCCCATGGGGTTCTGGGTCTGGAGTCCTCTCAGGGTATTTCAGAGCAATGGAAGATTCTTCTTATTTCCCCTTCTCACTTGAGCAAGGAGTCGTCTTCGCTGTTTAACAGAGAACAGGAAACTCT
The DNA here is from genome assembly GCF_000001405.40 of Homo sapiens. Lineage (NCBI taxonomy): Eukaryota > Metazoa > Chordata > Mammalia > Primates > Hominidae > Homo > Homo sapiens. The sequence goes on along the minus strand of NC_000003.12, from coordinate 41,244,900 downwards.
TAATATTCCAGAGCCATTTTGTTCAGTGGGCCAGTCCTGGCCCTAGGCCCCGGTGTTGCCTGTCTGGGGAAAAGCTTATCTGGGTAAGCAAGGACAAGGAGATGATGGTCCCAAGCAGAGCCACTGCCCTGCCAAACATGTTGGGCCACTAAAGCTAGTCCATGCCAAGCCTTGTCCCTGGTGAGGCTGTGTCCTGGAGGAAAGGTGCCTATGGAAAGCAGCAGCCCAGGTCCATTTGAGTTCAGAGGTAGGGGATATGAGCAGACTGGTTGGGCAGAGGGCAGCTAACAGCAGTAACCCTTCCCTGCCCTCCCCAGGCCTGTACCTTAGTATTTGGCATGCCTAAGTGGCTCCATTCTGAGAGCAGAGCTGGCCCCCCGGGCCCCTCAGCTCTTAGGATTCTGGCAGTGGCAAAGGGCCCACACCTACTAGCCCTCTCCTTCCCTCCATCCCCAAGCTTCAGCTATCTGCTTATTAGCTACAATCCACTGGCTCTCTTCAGGGATGAATGGGTCACTGAAGTCACAGAGGTGAGAGGCAAAGGAGGTGACAAGCAATAGGGCAGAGGCGGCTCAGGTGAGTGGCTGCACACAGGTCTATTCCTCTCCCTCCACTAACAGCAAGCCCAAAGTTCTAAGACCTTGCCTTAACTTACAGCCGAGTCTGCATCCCCATTAAGCTGTCCCTCCGTGAAGCACCATTTGGGGTAACTCTGGTCACAGGTGTCCTGAAAGGTGCTGACAATCACTCATGGCACCTAAGTAGGTGAGTCAGTGGAATGCAGCAACAGAATTTACTATCTTATGGTTCTTTGCAGTTTATCTTTTCAAGTTTCTCCTATGAGGTTCTCAGGTCGGTTCTGTGAACACAGGGCGGGCATCATCCCTGTGTTATAGTTGAGAAAATGGGGGCTCTGGTAGCTAAGGCTCTCGTACAAGGTGATGGGAGAGGAATCTCCCTCACCAGGTCTCACCTGTCTCCACCTGAAGCAAGATGCCCTTTCTCTTTCCCCTGGCAACAGAAAAATGCAATGTAGAATATAATCTTATACATACAGGGGCTACGGTAGCAAGTGGTAGGGAACGGGGGAAGAGGCTGCAAGAAAGCTACAAGAGGCTTGGCCTCTTGGGACAGCTGTCTGGAGTGGGGTTGGGCGAGACTAGGCAAAGCTAGGCAGCCTTGGCCTCAAGCTTCAGTGGGGTTGAGAAGTGGTGTGTGGGAGCAAGAAGCTGGGCCTAGAACGAGGAGTTTTAATCTGCCCTTAAAATCCAGCCTCTGGCCTCTCCCATCAGAGGCTTGATGTTGAGGCGGGTGGACAAATGCATCCATTAGGTGTTTTAATAAATAATTACATTTGAATGGTGATATCCAATCCAGAAGCCTGGTACAAATGAAGCCTGGTGAAAACACCCAAAAGATAGACAGCAGAGTTCCTCCCTCACACGCTGTTAGTCCTCTCCCTGTCTCCTCCTGCAAGGTGCCCATTGCCACTAGGGTCTTCGTGTGCATCCAGGGATGGTCTATGCCTATCTTCACAAAGATTCTGCACCCACCCCTTTTTACCCATATGTGAGCAGCTGTCAACTCTGCTCCTTGCTTTTTCTCTTACTATGTATTTTGAAGACCATTTTATTCCAAAACACAGCTTTATGGGCTGGTTTTTTTTCCCCCCTTTGACTGCAGAGTGGTCCACCAAATAGATGCATCAAAATTTGCTTAACTAGTTAGGTTCCCTTTTGACACCTATTTGGGTTGCTATCTTTGACAGTGTTGCAATGAATTCCTTGTACATACTCGTGAGTATACCTCAAATAATTCTGAGTAGAACTGCTTTGTCACAGAGTGGCTCTCAGTCGTACCTAACATGGAAATTACATTTATGGACACACGGACCTTTCCCTATTCATGCCAAAACCTACTTTGGAAATACATAGAGATGGGGTTTCTCCTTTGCCTTCCTGCATACCCCTATACCTGTTCTGACCTTCCCCCACAACCTCAACTCTGAAACTTGTCACTTCCTTCTACGTTTACTGGAGTCTCAAGTGGTGGAATGGATATTATACAGAATTCCACATAGGAGGCTGCGATAAAAGAAAAAGGAAGAACTGCCCTGACAGCCCCTGCAGCCCCATCATTTCATAATTTCACTTTGGTGGGTGATCTGCTCAAGGCAAGGAAAGGCAGGTTCTCACTTAATAGAACTGCAGATCAACTTAGCATTTTTGCTTTATAAACAAAACAGCACAATTCACATCTTTTTATTATAGCAACCAAGAGTTAAAGAGTGTGTTTATCTTAAGATCTTTCATTATTAAGGATTCAGATCATCAGATTTCAAAGCCTCATGTCTGTAAGATCTGCTCCAACATAGAAAAGCTTCCTTCTTTGGTTCAATGGTGGTTGCTGCAATGGGATCAAATGTCTTAACTCTCAAGGCTGTCTCATAACTACAGCACAACTGAAAAAAGAACACTCAGGCTGGAAAGCCCTCCTATTCTCAACGGCCATGTTCATTTTGTCATTTTCACCTCCTGTACCCGGAAATGCAAGTGGGCAGCATTCCTTTTAGGCCTTTTCCTCCCCACCACTACTTCTCTTATTGAAAACTTGACCTCACTTTCTTCACCACTATTTACAGGAAAGGTTAGGTACCTTGCCAGCATCCCATGCACCTCCCTCTCCAGGTTAACCATTATTCTGATTTCTATAGTCATCTAATCATCTCCTTGCTCCATCTGTGGATATTTTCCTTAAAATAGCTTGTCCCTTTTTTTAATTGATGATCAATGGAGTTCTAAAGCATGCATCTGTAACTTGCTTTTGTTCAGTGTTATGTGAGATAGATATATGCATACTATACTGACACCCACATCACTGAAGCTGTAGTTTTTCACTGCACTGTCTCGTGTGAACAGAGATTGTTGGACACATGGGCGTCCAGTGTAGACTGTCAGCGTTGTGCCCTACCAAGCCTTACTGGCGCTTGAGGCAAAAGAAAAATCAGTACTACTGCCTTTATTTAAAATCTTGATATTTTGTTGGGTCATGGATGTTTTTCTGTATTGTTTTATTCCAACGGCTGTTTCACACCTTTATGAAAAAGTTGCTCTCCTCCCACTCGGATCTCCAACGCTGTCTCTGAAGAGTCTTTAAATGCCTGTGTATTATTCTGTATTAATCTGTATTTATATCCCTATTCCTGTAACAGGGTTAACTAACTTTAGCTTTGTATTAAGTAGTTAGGCCTTGACAGCTGCTAGAGCAAGTGCTATTTTTCCTAAGCGTCTTGGCTATTATTCACCCTTGGTACTTCCAGAGCCACCTTGTTGAACTGGATTAACTCTCACATTAAGTTTTTAAACTTCAAAAATAAAATACAATGAATTAGCAAAGCTCTGAAAACATTCTCTGGTTTTAAAAAGTTGTTCTTTCTGTAATTGAAACACCGTGCGGTGGCTCTTTATGTTAAAAGCTGAATTCACTGAAGATCTTCACGGTGTTAACCTACCAATAGCCCTAGGCTTCTTGAAATACTGGCTGGTTTGGTTTATCACACATGAGACAGAACCTGAGACCTACCACATCATCAGCTATGTGAATGTTTCTTTTCAAACCCTAATTACATTTTAGACCACAATGAATTCATTTTTGCAAAGCAAGGGCATTCACAAAAAGGCCTCCCCAGATGAAGCTGATTTTTAACGAAAAAGAACTGAATGTATGTTTTTCTCATAATTAATAGTCACTATCAATCATCATCAAAATAAAAACAGTAAATCAGAAAGAGCTCTCCCTAAAGACAAAACACTTCTTTCTTTTACTTTTTAAAAGACCAAAACACAAGTCTTAACAAACAGGTCTACCTGAAGAGATGAGATGAACTAAGCTTGTCAGACCTACCACCGGGATGATAGGATCATCTGGCAGGTACTGTGGAAGGCTCATTCTGGTTCTGATTATGTTCAGATAAACATCAACACTTAAACCTATTTAATTTATTTAATTATTATTAGTTCAAAGTCCAGTTGAAGGAATTCCCCTCTCCCAATGAGTCACACTTGGGTGAAGGTGATTCAAATCCAAATCCAGGTAGGGGTAGTTACTATTTATTTCATTACTTTAATGGAATCAAATCATCTGAGGGGGATTGGGGTAGAGATAGATAGATGGATAGTCTGCTTGGCTTTCTCCCACCAAAGCCCAGAACTAATCACAATGTGCAAGGCTGAAACACTTTTTTAGGGGTCCAGCGTAATCCAGGGCCAAATGCTAAAGAAACTTGGCAAATTGCATCTAGAGAAGTAGGGCCCTCTCTATCGCTACAACAAATTACTTCACTATGTATCTATCTATCTCAGGATAAAGTTCAGGATAAAGTTGAGTTGGATAAACTTACTTACCACCCTCACAAACCATTTATTAATGACAAGAAAAAAAGAAAGAGTGACACAATCGAATGAATTAAAAGTTTAATTCTGAACCATTTTTTATAACCGCATTTTCTCTTGAAGCATCGTATCACAGCAGGTTACAACAACTTTGGGATAAAAGGCAACTGGTAAACTGTCCAAAACAAGGTTCCAAATAACACCTCTTACTGATTTACCCTACCCATACATATCCCAAATAGTTTTTGATCAAAAACATGAAATAGATCCACCTGCTTATTTTAAGCATATTAAAAAGGAAACTAATTGGACCATTTTCTATTTGTCTATTTTATACAAAAAGGCTACACAATTGTTACACTTTATTCAGATTACAATTAATTAGAGTGATTATGAATTAGTGTTCTACACCATTACTCAATTCTTAAAAATTAGAAATTGCTGTAGCAGTATTCACTATAACTTAACACTACGAGAGACTTAAAAAACAGTTACTGCAAAAAAAAAAAAAAAAAAAAAAAAAGAGCTACTTCAAAGCAAGCAAAGTCAGTACCATTACAGATATTCTTAAAAAAAAAAAAAAAAAAATTTAACAAGCAAGGCTAGGGTTTGATAAATTCCATCTTGTGATCCATTCTTGTGCATTCTTCACTTCTTGAGTCACTCCCAAAATCCATTTGTATTGTTACTCCTCGACCAAAAAGGACCAGAACAAAAAGTTTACTTCAATTGTTCCCATAGGAAACTCAGCTTGGTTAGTGTGTCAGGCACTTTCTGAGATACCAGCCCACCCCTCGAGCCCTCTCAGCAACTCTACAGGCCAATCACAATGCAAGTTCAGACAATACAGCTGTATAAAGAGAGAAAGGCTGCTATTAATGTTTAAAACAGCAAATGTTACTCATTTGAGTATTAAGTTGCAAAAGCTGTGGCAAAAAACATTAAAGTTAATAACTTCCACACATGATCACATAACAACCAGAAATCTGAGAACATTCCAATGTTCCAAGACATCTCCTTTCAAAGTATATACCTGTTTTTGTGGCAGATTTACAAATAGCCTAAACCACTCCCACCCTACCAACCAAGTCTTTCTGAAGTTCTGTAGGCAGAGTAAAAGTATTTTACCCAAACTGGCTTTTTAAAACTTCTTACCTAAAGGATGATTTACAGGTCAGTATCAAACCAGGCCAGCTGATTGCTGTCACCTGGAGGCAGCCCATCCATGAGGTCCTGGGCATGCCCCAGATCTGGCAGCCCATCAACTGGATAGTCAGCACCAGGGTGGTGGCCACCCATCTCATGTTCCATCATGGGGTCCATACCCAAGGCATCCTGGCCATATCCACCAGAGTGAAAAGAACGATAGCTAGGATCTAGAAGAGTCAGGGTGTCAACAAAATAGGCAAGAAGGAAGGCAAAAGAGAGAGGAGAGAAGCAGACATAGACGTTAACACTGAGGTTAGGGCATCCAAAGTTCAGCAGCAAACTTGTCAGAAAACAACGCTTTCTAGCCTCTTCAACCTCCAGCTTTCTTTAGCCAAGTAATTACTCAGTGCCAGGCCACCCATGAGACTACACAAATAACATCTATTTCCATCAGACAGGCACACCAGCAGGGCCTAGTCACATCATTAGTCTAACCCTGAACACTCTGCATTTACCCCTGTCAAGAGACTTGGGGTTCCCGAGGAGAAGAAGCAGGAATCTACTGTGTGACCACCTAGGCAGTGAGAAGTCATGGGAAGGAGGATTAAGACAATAATGAGGTCTGGCAGGTGTAATCTATCTTGACAAAAAGGCCAAGTGACACCCACAAAAGTACTAAGGAAAGGCACTATTTCCATGAAACCTCAACATATTTTATCTTAGGGTTGACATGTTATTTCTCACAGTAAGAATCTGCGCTTTAGTGGTTTCATAATTAGGTAGAAGCAGATGCGGTTATAAATGTAAGACAGTTATAATTGTTAGTGGTCTATGCCATCCTCCATGTTCATTACCCAGATTTAAATTAGCTTTTCAAGAAAACCCTGATGATAATGCAACTATGTAAAAACCCACCCGAGATCTGAGCCTAGAAACAGGAGTTTTCCTATCTTCCTTGGGTAGCTTGTAGACAAAGGTATTATGAGTCCTCTGGCCAAAAAGAGAATAAAAAGCCAGGTAAATTGTAACATCCTGCACTGCAGAGGCCTAGCAGTAGCATGTATTTGTTGGTGGTGTAATCCTACTGCTACTCATTGTGTGGCTCTGAATTCCCTGTGCTCCATTAAAGATACTGTTGCTGACTGGAATTTAAGAACTGCTTTTAATTGAAGCCACTACTTTTCTGCCAACACTGGTTTCCCAGATGAGCAAACCGGCTCTTCTGATAAAAGTTTTAGAACTTTAGCTTGATCTGGAGTTAATCGAGAAATATGAGACACATACCATCCTGGCGATATCCAAGGGGTTCTCCCTGGGCACCAATATCAAGTCCAAGATCAGCAGTCTAGATAAACATGCACAAAGCAAGGAAGAATAGAAAGCAAAATGAAAATTCTCAAAAGTACACTAATTTTTTTTAAAGCATACTTTCAGATTACAAAAGGAACAAGTAACTCCAACATTACACAAATGCTTAGAAAATGGAAGTTCTTCAAAACTCCACACCTCAAAGATACATTTTTTTTTCTCTTTGCACCTCACATTAAAAATACTCACTGACTTGTTCTTTCAACAAATATTATATTAAGCACCTATTATGTGCTGCCAGGCACTGTTCTACATGCTAGAGATATAGCAGTTTAAAAAAAAAAAAAAAAAAAAAGGCAAAATGCCTACCCACAAACAGGAGCTGCTGATAGGATGTGTTATATGAAAGAAAAGTTTTAGCCTGAGCAGCTGGACAGACAAAGCTGACATTAACTAAGACAGAGAAGACAGTGAAAACAGGTTTGTGGAAGGGGGTAGGTGGAGAAAGTTAAGGGCTCAAGTTGGAACATGTTAATAAGATGCCTATTAAAAACCCAAGTAACACACTACTCACTGGTAATTTGCTTTTTTTTTTTTTTTTTTTTTGTGTTGGAGTCTGGCTCTGTCACTGAGTGCAGTCTGTTAACTCCTGGGTTCAAGCAATCCTCCTGCCCCCGTCTCCCCAGTAGCTAGGACTATAGGCATCCATCTCCATGCCCAGCTAAAGATGGGGTTTCACTATGTTGCCCAGGCTGATCTTAAACTCCGGTCTCAAGAGCTGCATCGTTGTAAACCTAACAATCTCTCTTTCCATTCACTCAACAAACATAATCCACTGTATGTCTGTGTACCATCAATGATCTCTATAGAATGGATAAAATATCAGGATGTTCTAGTTTTATTAGAAACAATGTTTCAAGGAACCACCTGTACTGAGGACAAATGCTGAAGAAAAATTCATAGCAGAAATTCAAATAGAAAAGTTTTATTAAAGTTTAGTAAAAAATACTGATAAACTGTCCTCTTAACAGTGTTTAACACTGCCTCTTTCCTTACATCCTTTTGAAAAATCTTCTTTAATCTGGTAACATTTTTCATCTTTCTCCCTTATGAATTATAATTTTAAATAACACAACTTATTTGTAATGATTCTGAACAGACTCTTTAAAGCTTGTATTATAGTTCTTCCTCAGAGCAGTTGCTAGACAGCATAAAGAAGAAATACTCAAGCCAGGGAAACATCAATGCAAATGAATGTGTACTAAGTGTTTTGAGAGGAAAGAACAAGCTGCCATACCTGCTCTAGGAAACTACCAGATAAATAACTGCTCACATTTCCCTACCTCATTCCAAGCCATTGGCTCTGTTCTGAAGAGAGAGCTGGTCAGCTCAACTGAAAGCCGTTTCTTGTAATCTTGTGGCTTGTCCTCAGACATTCGGAACAAAACAGCAGCTGCATATGTCGCTAAGAGACAAGGAGAAAAAGGCCCTTGAGGAAAAACTGAGACTTCAATGTACACATCTGCTAAAGGCTTTGGTTCCTTTTTACTTACCCACACCTTCATTCCTAGAGTGAAGTAACTCTGTCAGAGGAGCTGTGGCTCCCTCAGCTTCAATAGCTTCTGCAGCTTCCTTGTCCTGAGCAAGTTCACAGAGGACCCCTGCAGCTACTCTTTGGATGTTTTCAATGGGAGAATAAAGCAGCTAAGGAGAAAACACAAACAAAACCTAATTAAATCTAAAGCTAAAACATGGCAAGCCCCCCACTGTGGTGCAAACATTCCCAATTCAGAGTGCAAGAGGCATTCACACTGTAGTAAATAATATTCTCTGAATTTTATGTCTTGGGGTGTTTAATGCTCTGGAGCACTGGATTTCCATAATATTTTTTAGCTATAAACCCTTTCTTCAGAGGCAGCTCTAACTGATCTAAGATTTGGAAAACCCAGAATTGGTTGGGGGTCTATGCCCTGCCTCTGGCAGCCCAGGTCAGCTCTCCCCTCTAGGCACCCATAAAAGTGAAATGTGAAATCTCCTCCCTCTTCTCAAGTCTCAATGTTTCTCTTACTGACCAAAAAATGTAGGGAATTTTCATAAAATTAAATGTTGGTAACCCTATTATGGTCCCTAATTTTCTGAAATGTTATTAGTCATTACAATCTGGAAATTTTATGGACATAAAACCTAGAACACTTCACTTAAAACATACCTGCACAAACAATGGAATGGTATTTAGTCCTCTGATAACAATTCGGTTGTGAACATCCCGAGCTAGGATGTGAAGGGCTCCGGTACAACCTTCAACTATTTCTTCCATGCGGACCCCCTCCTGCCAAAAGAAACATGGTTAACAAACAGGGCATTCTCCTCTGTAAAGTTTGAGGAACAATTATTAGACTGTAATTATTTACATTATATACCCGAAGTTCCCCGTAACTTGCAATTAGTTCAGGAAGGAAGAAGGATTCCATTAACTTGAATGTCACTGAAAAGAGGCCTCCTGGCAGCACTAATTCAAAGCAGCACCCCTCCCCCATACACAGTGCAACAGAGCTTCCATACAGCGCTGAATCCCAAAGACAACTTTCCTACAGTAAGGGCACCAATCATTCTGGGTAAAAGGTATATAAAAAGAGAAGATGAGAAAGTAATGCTCAGACTATGTCAACGTTTTTCTTTTACATGCCCCCTCTATTTTTGTATATCTTCCATGTATTTGGTGAAAACTTTGCCAAGTTTTAGCACCAACTGCTAAAACTAACCGAGTTGCCAGCAGAAAAATTCACTCCTCACTCTTCCAAGACTATTCAGCTGACAGCCTCATGTATAGAAGGAAGATAGCTTTTGCAATATGTAAGTACCATCTGTTTCTCCTGTTTCTGGATTTGAGTTTTAAAAGGGGTTATTATTCTGCTACATTTAGCAGCTTTTATAAATAACTTGATTCTTACAAGGACACAAAAACTCTCTTCTTCCTAGAAAAGAGATTTAAAATAAAAGGTGCCCTCAACGTTCTATTAAGTCACCTCATGGAGATGGGCCAATACCAACAGTAATAAATGAAGAAAGCCAAAGCCCCAATATGAGTACATACACAAAGCAACCAGCAAAATGAGATTCCTAACATCTGTTCTGGTAGGCTCCATCTTTGTTTTCTAAACTAACCTAATAAGGTCTTAAAGTCTGAGAAATCAGAAATGTCATTAGACTATACTTTTAATGAAGCTACTTTTAAGACACAAACTTTGTATCAAAGCTTCAGGTTGAGATTTTTGTGGTTAAGAGTACAGAAATGCTACTACTTATTTCTGAATATTCTTAGGTCCATGAAAAAAGTTTAACTCACAGAAAAGATAATAAAACGGACTGCTAAATATTTATAGTCAAAATGCATGATGAGGCAAGGGTAAGAGGCTCTGAAATTACACAGATTTGATCTCAAATTATGACTCTACCTCTTCCTAAGGAAGTGGGCCTTTGTGTAAATTAAATGAGAACACTTTATGAAACACCTAACCCAACCTTTGTAAGACTGACCATGTGAAGGACGTGTCCAAGGAAATATCACTGGGGCCACACTATGCCTTATTTTCTCTGCAGCCATAGAAATGTGTAATTATTTATTTATTTACTTTGTCATTAGCTCTTCAGGAAGACGGATGGGGGGAACCAATGACCAAAGAAAGAAGTTCAGGATCCTTTGGATTTATGCATTCCTTTTAGATAGCCAGGTATCACTGTAAGAATTTACCTACCACAAATTGCTGCTGTGTCCCACCCATGGACGTACGGCGCTGGGTATCCTGATGTGCACGAACAAGCAACTGAACTAGTCGTGGAATGGCACCCTGCTCACGCAAAGGTGCATGATTTGCGGGACAAAGGGCAAGATTTCGAATCAATCCAACAGTAGCCTGAAAAACAGAAGGAAGAACTGGCATACAACTCAACAAAATCATTTTCTTACCCTAAAATTCCCACCACACTAAATCTATTGGTATCAACTAAAAGTAGTTCTGACTACACAAACATTTCAGAATCTTACCCCTATCGCAGCCATACTTCCTACTTACTAAGGAATACAATTCCTACTTATTGATCACTATGCTTAGACAGCCATCCAACAGCTAGAGATGCTTCATTTTCAATTCTGCAACAAAGGTAAATTCTACTTTGACAATTTACCTTTATCAGAGGCCAGTGGGATGGTGGGTGTAAGAGCTTAACCACAACTGGTAGTCCATAGTGAAGGCGAACTGCATTCTGGGCCATCTCTGCTTCTTGGTGTCGGCTGGTCAGATGACGAAGAGCACAGATGGCAGGCTCAGTGATGTCTTCCCTGTCACCAGCCCGAAGGACAGTACGCACAAGAGCCTCTATACCACCCACTTGGCAGACCATCATCTTGTTCTTATAATTATTGCAAGTGAGGTTAGAAAGAATTCCAGCTGCACAGGTGACCACATTTATATCATCTGAACCCAGAAGCTGAACAAGAGTCCCAAGGAGACCTTCCATCCCTTCCTATGGAGATAAAAACAGATGGTCAGTACAAGCACATACTCATCTTGACTCTATTCCCATGGCACCAGTTTACTCAGAATTTACCTGTTTAGTTGCAGCATCTGAAAGATTCCTGAGAGTCCAAAGACAGTTCTGAACAAGACGTTGACTTGGATCTGTCAGGTGAAGTCCTAAAGCTTGCATTCCACCTAGAAAATTAAAAAGGATATAAGGCCCTAGTCATTAGCTAGAAGTGCCTATCAATCCTAAATATCTGTTCTAGCCTTAGGAGGTGTCCTTCTGTATTTCCAGAGTTTACTTCCTTTCACCTAAGTATTTGATTTCCTCTCATTTTCTAGAATGTTGCTCAGTTTCCTTCACTTTGCCAGTTCACCTCACTAGTGACAAACTCTCAAATAGCTACTGTTCCTTTCCTAAGCCGAAAAAGCCTTTGTTATCTCCACTGTCCCCCTTAGGTAATATTCTTATTACTCATTTCTTTTCATCCATTCAATCATTTCAAAAATATTTATTCAGTACCAGGTCCTGTTCTGAGCTGCAGATAGACCAGTGAACAAAAATATTCAGAAGTTCCTACCCTCAGAATTTATGATCTAGTTGGAAGAGGCAGAAAAATATACAATAAACTAAAACCATACAGTATGTCAGATGATATTAAAGGGCTATGGAGAAAAATAATGGAGTGGGGCTGCGATTTTAAATAGATAATTAGGTCACCTCACTGTGAAGGTGACATCTGACTAAAGACCTAAAGAAGCTAGGTAAATTCCTGGGGTAAGAACAATCCAGAAAGACGGCATGAAAACACTTACTGTCAGGGACTTTATACAATTCACTGACTACAAAACATGTGTTCCAAGGTTTACAATCTTCCATCCTTTAGGACCCTTAAATGGGGGACATTTACTCTGGCAAAGGAGTATAAATGGAAGCCCAATGCCCACATAGTAGATTAACTTCGCTCATCCATCTTCAACTTAAATCACTTCTGAATGCAGTAAGAGATACTTTTCCTTGTCTCCTTCATCTTTCGGGTCTGTTTTATTTCCTCAGATGAGGTCTATCTGCTGTAATTCTTATGGTACCCTGCACTTCTCCTTCATAGTGTAAGTTACTCCACTTTCCCTACAAGACAAAGATCACCTCTGTTGGGTTCCTTTTTCATAGTAGCTCCAGCTACTAATAGAATGATCTGCGTAAGACTGATGATCAGGATGCTCAGTATTTGTGAAATGACTACCTTCTTTCCCCTCTTTAAGACTTCATTCCCTCCCTTTACATAACTATTAACTCTAAGAGAATGGATTTTAACCCCAGATGTCCATCAGAATGGCCTACAGAGACTTTAAAACACACACATTCTGATTCAGCAGTTCTAGGGTAAAAAAAAAAGTCCCATACAGATGACTCTGTGGCACCTCTACCTCCCCTTCCCTGCTGCCCTTACCCCTATATACTAAGAGGGAAACTTCCAAATCTCTAGCCTGCCTCTCTTGCATTCTAGTATCATACATTTCCAGCTACCTACTGACCTTTTAAGTCACTTTAAGTCAGCTTCTTAAATTATTATGTTCAAAAATTAAGGATGCCTTCTGAGGGTTCCATTTATCTTCATGGTACCAATGTTGTCCCCTCCACAAACCGTTTTTGGTTGCTCCCTTAGCTCCTATATTATTACATTCTATGATTCTTTCAGGCATCTCAGACATCTGCCCTTTGCTATTGAGTTCTAAAAGCAAACTATTTCATTCCTAAAAGCCTGTAACATCTCAGTAGTCTGGTCTTCTAGCTTTTGGTCATTCAAACTGTTAATCTATACAATGCTATTATTAATATTTTAAACACACCACTGTGATGCTTTGCTATTGATAAACAACCATCGAAAGTGTCTCAGCATCCTTTTAAGATAATAGAAATACTTTAGTATAACCCTGAGGAACCGTTTAGAATTTGGATCCCACCTAGCCTTCCAAACTGACCAAAGTATTCTGTATCTATGGCTCCAAAGCTGGAATAAAGCATGAATAAACTCCATGAGTAGTAACTATCTTATAGGAACCTAGAAAGTCCTGCATGTTATGGCTCTGCTTACCTAACCTCAACCTCATACCAGGCCATCCACCTCATTACTAAGTTCTGTTTATGCAGACCTTCTCTTCAGCACCTGGATCTCCACAATCTCTTTCCCTTTTTTTTTTTTTTGAGATAGAGTCTCACTCTGTCGCCCAGGCTGAAGTGCAGTGGCGCTATCTCAGCTCACTGCAAGCTCCGCCTCCCGGGTTCACACCATTCTCCTGCCTCAGCCTCCCAAGTAGCTGGGACTACAGGCGCCTGCCACCACGCCCGGCTAACTTTTTGTATTTTTAGTAGAGATGGGGTTTCACTGTGTTAGCCAGGCTGGTCTCGATCTCCTGACCTCATGATCCGCCCACCTCAGCCTCCCAAAGTGCTGGAATTACAGGCGTGAGCCACCGTGCCTGACCAATCTCTTTCCTTCTAAGGCAAGCTTGTCCAACCTGCAGCCCATGGGCCACATGGCCTAGGACAGCTCTGAATGTAGCCCAACACAAATTCGTAAACTTTCTTAAACATTATGAGATTCTTTTGCAATTTTTTTTTGTTTTAGCTCATCAGCTATCATTAGTGTATTTGGTGTGTAGCCCAAGACAATTATTCTTCTTCCAATGTGGCCCAGGGAAGCCAAAAGACTGGATATCCCTGGTTCTAAGACATAGCACATGGTGTTCCTTTTCTCTACCTGGAAAACGTTTAACCCTCACTTCTCATATAGACAAGAGACGGTTCCCTCTCATCCTGCAGTCCCACTTAACATCCCCTTTTCAAGGAGACCTTTTCCCTCTCATCTAGACAATTCCCCTCCCCATTAATTCTCATCACTATTTGCTGTCATTTCTCCCATAACACTCATTCTAATTTAGGATCACATATTTTTAAGTATTTTTGTCACCTTCACAAGACTAAGAATTAAGCACGGGGACCCTATCTGTTGTGTTACCCAATGTATACTATGTGCCTATTCCATTTCTTAAAATACATTAGATGCTATTTTCAGAATAAACAAATGAACATAAGAATAACCTGGAAGAACTTAAAGATTCCTAAGCTTCCAGTCCCATACATGTCCAGCTATCTACAGACCTCCCTGTCACTTCAAATAAAACACTATGAGATCTTGATATAAAAATTAACACTCCAGGGATTCTGATTAAATAAATCTCAAAATCTGTATTTTTAGCCTACATTACAGGTTACTGCTGGAACAGCTGACAGAATTTACATCCCATCCCCTCATTCTATATGAACTCAGCCACATTTGTCTATCCCCAAGACTATGGTTCCTCTGCCAGTAGTTACCTGGAGCAATCATAATGTCTTTCTCTCTCATAAATTCCCAAGTAAAATTACTCTCAATAAGTGAGAAAAGTAAGTGTTGCCAGCCCTATACTTTATTCCCAACATTTTCTTCCATTAAATGCCTTTATATTTTTCCTTCTTTCAATACTGATTTGAAGCTTGCTTTGAAATTCTGAGTAAATGTTGTTAGGTGGGTTACTGAAAGGAGAAAAAATGCTTGGTAGCTAAAAAGTAACTGTTTTCATGACACACACACACACACACACACACACACACAGAACCCAAGAGGCCCTAGTACAAACCATCTATTCTTTTCCCCAATTGCCAACATACACAATATACAAAGTACCACATATAAGTTGCCTTCTTAAAAATACTCAGAATAGAAAAAAATTGTTTCTCATACTTAGACGACATCTATTCACTGAGAATACAGAATATCAGGGCAAAACACTGCTCATAATCAGGCAAGAGAAAGAAAATGCATCCAAATAGGAAGTCTGTTTGCAAACAATATGATTCTATACCTAGAAAACCCCATAATCTCTGCCCAAAAGCTCCTTGATCCAATAAACTTCAGCAAAGTTTCAGGATATAAAAATCAATGTACAAAAGTCAGAAGCATTTCTAGACACCAACAACATCCAAGCTGCAAGCCAAATCAAGAATGCAATCCCATTTACCAAAGCCACAAAAAGAATAAAATACCTAGGAATACAACTAACCAGGGAGGTGAAAGATCTCTACAATGAGAATTACAAAAAACACTGCTCAAAGAAATCAGAGATGACACCAACAAATGAAAAAACATTCTATTTCATGGCAGGAAGAATCAATATTGTTAAAATGGCCATACAGCCCAAAGCAATTCACAGATTCAATGCTATTCCTACCAAACTACCAATGGCATTCTTCACATAATTAAAAAAAAACTATTTAAAAATTCATATGAACCCAAAAAAGAGCCTGAATAGCCAAGGCAATCCTAAGCAAAAAGAACAAAACTGGAGGAATCACTTTACCCAACTTCAAGCTATACTGTTAATACAAGGTTACAATCACAGCATGGTACTGGTATACAAACAGACACAGAGACCAATGGAACAGAAAAGAAAGCCCAGAAGTTAGGCCGCACACCTAACAAGTAAACAAAAACAAGCAATGGGGAAAGGACTCCCTATTCAATAAATGGTGCTGGGATAACTGGCTAGCCACATCCAAGATTGAAACTGCACCCCATCCTTACATGATGTACAAAAATCAACTCAGAATGGATTAAAGACTTAAATATAAAACTTAAAACTGTAAAAACTCTGCAAGATAACCTAGGAAATACCATTCTGGACATAAGACCTGGCAAAGATTTCATGACGAAGATGCCAAGAGAAGTTGCAACAAAAACAAAAACTGACAAATGGGACAGTATAAAGAGCTTCTGCGCAGCAAAAGAAATCAACAGAGTAAACAGACAACCTACAGAATGGGAGAAAGTACTGGCATGGGAGAAAGTACTGGCAAACTATGCATCTGACAAAGGTCTAATATCCAGAGTTTACAATAAACTTAAATTAACAAGCAAAAAAGAACAACCCCATTAAAAAGTGGGCAAAGGACATGAACAGACACTTTTCAAAAGAAGACATACAAGTGGCCAAGAAACATATGAAGAAAAGCTCGACATCACTGATCATTAGAGAAATGCAAATCAAAACCACAATGAGATACCGTCTCACACCAGTTAGAATGGCTACTAATAAAAAGTCAAAAAATGACAGATGCTGGTGAGGTTGCTGAGAAAAGAGAATGCTTATACACTGCTGGTGGGAAAGTAAATTAGTTCAGCCATTGTGGAAAGCAATTTGGTGATTTCTCAAAAAACCTGACAGAATTACCATTCAATCCAGCAATCCTATTATTAGGTATATGCCCAAAGAAAAAGAAATCTTTTTACCATAAAGACACATGCATGCATATGTTCACTGCAGCATTATTCACAATAGCAAAGATATGGAATTAACCTAAATGCCCATCAATGGTAGACTAGATAAAGAAAATGTGGTACATATATACTATGGAATACTAAGCAGCCATAAAAAAATACCAAGATGTCTTCCTCAGCAACATGGATGGAGCTGGAGGCCATTATCCTAAGCAAACTAACATAGGAATAGAAAACCAAATACCACATGTTCTCACTTATAAGTGGGAGGTAAACACTGAGTACACACGGGCACAAAGAAGGGAACAACAGACACTGGGGCCTACTTACGGGTGGGAGGTAAAGAACTGAAAAACTACCTATTGGGTACAATACTTACTGCCTGGGTGACAAAATAATCTGCACACGAAACCCCTGTGACATGCAATTTACCTATATAACAAGCCTGCACATTACCCGGAACCTAAAAGTTAAAACAAAACAAAAACTGCTCATGAGCATCTACTAATAAAGCAATCACTTTACATAAAACTGTACTATATTAGAATTTGTCTTTTCTCCTATAAATTCACAGCTCTGTTAGCAAATCTTAGGTTTACTCAAAACTGAAATTACAAACAAATTTTATTAAGCAAAACATATGCCATCATTTTTGATGGATAATAAGAACTCTACCTAAACTAGCCTTAAATATTTAGCTACAATCCAGATGACAGGTACTCTGAATGTAAATCTTGGCTGCAAACTGAATAGGACCATTTATTTTCAGTAGTTAAAGTTCTACCACCTTTTCCTAAGAAAAGTAATCTAATTAGAACTGCAGATGCTATACACAAGACTCAGAATAGATACATATACTTACCAGCTTCTACAATAGCCGGCTTATTACTAGAGCAGACAGATAGCACCTTCAGCACTCTGCTTGTGGTCCACAGTAGTTTTTCGTAAGTATAGGTCCTCATTATATTTACTAAAGCTTGGGGTCCACCACTAGCCAGTATGATGAGCTAGAAAGATATATATATATATCTTGTTAGTCAAGGAATCTTGATCACATGTCTGAGAAGAGCCATATTACCAACCTATTTTATTATACAAGAATTTCAGCCAGCTTGCCATTGGACCTAAATGTATTCCTGGACCCCATCACTCAGACCCCCATACTGGGGCCCTATCCAACTTGTCCTTTTAAAGCATTCCACTCAAATTCAGACATCCCAGTCCTCCAAACAATGTATCAGTTTGGGCCCAATTTCCTTCTTCCCACAGTGATCACACCAAAAGAAAAAAATTTAGAAACTATGTTGGTAGGCAAGAGTAATGCCCTAAGATGAAAGTTATATCAAAACTGATTCACTGAAAATTTGAACCAGAACTGGCACTTAACTCCTCATCATTTGGCCCTTTAATTTTCCTAATTATATCCACCTTAAAAACAGATACCATAAAATGATCATTCATGCTTGTCCTTTCATTCCCTGTATATCTTCCCTTTCAACACTGCCCCAATTTTCTAAAAACAAATTTCATCATTTCAGGCTTCTGCTGAAATTTCCCATTGTGCTTTTAAACATGCTCTACAAAGCCCTATGAGATCTGCTAAGTCTATCTCAATAGCCTCACCTCAAACCTTTCTTCCTCCTTACTATTAGTATTTCTTAAATTCCCAAAACTTTCCATCTCCTTCCTTCGTTTCAAAGATGTTGTTTTCTCACCTAACCTTCACCTAGTGAATCCCTTCTCATCCTTGAACACTGAACTCAACTATCACTTCCTCCAAGAGGTCTCCTTGAACCCTCAAAAAGAGTCAGTTTCAACTTGTGTTATGTGCCCTCATAGCCCCACTTCTTCCCACTACACAAATTAAATATTAGGTTATTATTCCCAACATCTACATCCCACCTAAGAACAAAAGTGTGAAGAGAAGCTTGCCTACCATATCCCTACTACTTCGCATAGTGCTTTACATATGGAAACTCAAAAATTTAAAAGAACAGAAATGAACTGGGCTGCACAGCAGGAGGTAAGTGGCAGGTGAGCGAGCATTACCTGGCTTGAGCTCTACCTCCTGTCAGATCAACTGCACCATGAGAGTCTCATAGGAGTAGAAACCCTAGTGTGGACTGCACATGCGAGGGATCTAGGCTGCACGCTCCCTATGAGAATCTAATGCCTGATTATCTGAGGTGGAATGGTGTCATCCAGAAACCATTCCCACAACCCATTCATGGAAAAACTGTTTTCCACGAAACTGGTCCCTGGTGCCAAAAAGGTTAGGAACACTGCATGGAATGACATGACACTGGAGGTGTCCAATGCTCCATGAAAACCACATAAAGAATAATTCTCTTACCTTGCTTTCTTGGTTGCCATAAGCTAAAATTTGAAGGCAGTCTGTCGTAATAGCCAAGAATTTAACATTTGTTTTGTTGAGCAAGGCAACCATTTTCTGCAGCCCACCAGCTAAACGCACTGCCATTTTAGCTCCTTCTTGATGTAATAAAAGGTTGTGGAGAGTTGTAATGGCATAAAACAACACAGAATCCACTGGTGAACTGGGAAGAAGAAAAAAGCCTCATCAGAAATATTGTGAGTATACTCTTCTACTTTTTAGCTTCAAGCATTCTGACATGTTTTCTTACCCAAGCATTTTCACCAGGGCAGGAATGCCTCCAGACTTAAAGATGGCCAGTAAGCCCTCACGATGATGGGAAAGGTTATGCAAGGTCCCAGCGGTACAACGAGCTGTTTCTACATCATTTGTATTCTGCATGGTACGTACAATAGCAGACACCATCTGAGGAGAACGCATGATAGCGTGTCTGGAAGCTTCCTTTTTAGAAAGCTGATGGACCATAACTGCAGCCTTATTAACCACCACCTGTAATACAGGAATTCAGAAACATCGTTAGTTTTCAAGTACTGGTATTGGGTAGACATTCTGAAACTACTCCCCTTGAGCATTTACTTCAAAGCAGACTAAAAAGCTAGCTATGTCATTGCTTACCTGGTCCTCGTCATTTAGCAGTTTTGTCAGTTCAGGGATTGCACGTGTGGCAAGTTCTGCATCATCTTGATAGTTAATCAAGTTTACAACTGCATGTTTCAGCATCTGTGATGGTTCAGCCAAACGCTGGACATTAGTGGGATGAGCAGCATCAAACTGTGTAGATGGGATCTGCATGCCCTCATCTAATGTCTCAGGGAACATAGCAGCTCGTACCCTCTGAGCTCGAGTCATTGCATACTGTCCATCAATATCTGGAAAAGGTTAATTCAACACTCACTATCCACAGTTCAGCATTTACCTAAGTATTTGCTATCCTAAATGGTAAAAGTGACATTGCTATTACTCTCTTTTCTTCACCACAACATTTTATTTAAACTATTATACACTAACTTTTTAGTTCTCAAAACTGCATTCTGACTTTCAGTAAGGCAATGAAAAATAATACTCTTACCAGCTACTTGTTCTTGAGTGAAGGACTGAGAAAATCCCTGTTCCCACTCATACAGGACTTGGGAGGTATCCACATCCTCTTCCTCAGGATTGCCTTTACCACTCAGAGAAGGAGCTGTGGTAGTGGCACCAGAATGGATTCCAGAGTCCAGGTAAGACTGTTGCTGCCAGTGACTAACAGCCGCTTTTCTGTCTGGTTCCATGGCCATGTCCAACTCCATCAAATCAGCTATAAATACGAAACAGTATTAGCATTAGTAGATTGGAAATGTTACTTTAATTTAAAAAAAAAGAATCTGTGATATGACCCATTGAAATATTTTTAGAAATAAAGTCAAATCTGAAAGACAGCCAAGAAAAGCAGAATGATAGCCAGGGTTAGCTCAGTGATGAAATACCTAATCCCTTAGGGAACCACCTAACAGTTACTCACTGAATCAGTGGAAGAATGGTACTGCATCCAGGCTCCAGAAGCAGTCATCCAGACTAGATTCCTGCTGGTGGCTTGTTTGCTATTTCACCAAGCCATTAGGAGGAGTGAGCAGAAAATGGAGCAAAAGGTAGCCTGACAAGTAAGCAGGGAGAGAGGAAAGCAGGGGGATCTCAGCCAGACTGGCTTAATGGCAACGAAGCAGAGCCCCAATTCAGTAACTAAAGATTTAATGACACAAACCTTGAGTAGCCATTGTCCACGCTGGATTTTCAAAACAGTTGTATGGTATACTTCAAATACCCTAAAAAAAGTTAATCAAAAGTCATTAGGATTTAAATTTAGCTTGATTAATACTCCTAAGTCACTGGGATACCTGTTAAATGTCACTATTACACCCACAAAAAAAACCCATATCCTCTTTTACCAGGTTAGTGAAACGCAGACCTCATGGTCTCCTCCAGACACCTCAACCACAGCTCCATCACTGCTGAACTTCAGTGAAAACTCCTCCTTACCAAAAATGTCTTTTTATTAATAGTATAAATATTAATTATAGATATTCAGGATGGTGATGAAAAAGCACAGAGTTGTAATAATAAAAGCCAGGGAGGGGAAAACACTATTCAAAAATCAGCTGCTCTCTGAATTCCTAAAGGTCTCTCCTTTTTTAACCTTTCACAGAAAAATTCACAGATCCCCTTTGGATAACAGAGGTACAGTGGGATTTTAAAAACTCCACATTTTCTTTAACAAGTTGTTTTCTGATATAGTGCCATCAAAAATTATTTTTCATAAAGCAAATTTTGGTGACTAGAATAGCGAATTTTAGATTTTTTGGTACAAAGAAAAATTACTTTTCAAATGAAAGTTTGCAACACAAAAGCACCTTTATTAGTAAAATTTTTCTAAGTTCAAATTTACAGCAATGATTTATTATAAATACAAATATTACCAATATGGATACATATTTTGATCAATATTTTAAAAATTTATATAAATCTTATCATCTAATTTGTCCGTATTTTGCCTTTATTGTGCAATATTGAAAAAAACTGCATCACACAGGGAACTACTTGCAAATTAGAACAGTTTAAGGGCTCATGGCCTCTAGATATTTCTAATAACACGATTTCCTTTATTACAAAATCTGTCCCAAACAAGTTCATCTTGAACTATAAATTAACATATTGGGTATGTAAAGATATGGAATAAAATATTTAAGTGTGAACTATGTTTTGTTTTTTTTTGAGACAGAGTTTTGGTCTCTTGCCAAACCAGGCTGGAGTGCAGAGGTGCATACTGGGCTCACTGCAACCTCCGCCTCCCAGGTTCAAGTGATTTTCCTATCTCAGATGTGAGCCAACACCTGGCCTTAGTTTCTATCTTTTGACTGTCTTTAAAAGAGTGGCTATGTAACTACTTCACCACCTTTCTGAAAAATTGGTTCCCCACTCCAGCCTCCAATGTATTTCTGCAAAAGGAGACTCCAAACATGTTCTACACTGAGCTTCTCCTTTGGCCAATGTCAACAGACTCAGAAACCAACTGGTCATGTCTATAGGCTATATAGCTATTTCAGAAGTGCTTTGATACATCCGGCTTCCAGGAACATTTTTTTATAGTACTGTTTTTCCTTGTTGTTGATGCAAAGGCAAAACATTTACGCATATTACTGGGTAAACTCTGTGTGGGCTGACCTAGTAACTTGACCGCAATTTATAATGATTTCATTTTTACAATGGAAAAAAGCAAGTTCATGTTCCAAATTTACAATAGCCATTTGTACACTGGGACTTCCCAACATTACATATATATTTTTTAGCTTTTAAAATTTATGCAACATAAATAAAAATTCATCTTGCTCTTCACTGCAACCCTATGAGGTGAAGGAGGGTAAAAACCTATCAGTAGATAGAGAAGTAAAAACAAAGGGTAGAAATGGGGATCTAATTAGGTAACAGCATAGACTCACTCACCTTGTACCTGCTCTGGAGGCAGATCCACATATGCCAAAAAACTGAGCATTAACTGCTAAAGAAATCAAATAGACTGCCAAGCAAGACCTAGGGCAGAACCCTGCTCCGGAAAGGAAAAGGAAAGCCTTCCTCTTTCTTTTTCTGGCCTGAGCCTTTGGACTAAGGGCTGTCTCTCCTCCACCACACCCTGCCAACCATTAAGGGCCCAATTCTAGTGCTCCCAA